>NC_000020.11:40860173-41163203 GCF_000001405.40 Homo sapiens | reverse complement strand
CCTGCAGGGAGAGAAGGTAAGCTAGCTAGTATGGTCAACAGACAACAAGGTGCCCCACGGAAGGCAGAACCCAACTCCCAGCCAGCACAGCTTCCCAGAATGGTCCAGCATGGTTCCCTACTCCCACTGCCTCCCACCTGGATCAAGAATCGCCCAGTGGAGAGATGAAGGGGGCCCAGGGAAAACCCCACCTCCCCACTCCAAACCAAACCTCAGAGTACTGGCTTCCAAGAAGGGGAGGTCCATCTGCAGGAAACAGAACCTGGTCAGGGCAAGACCCCTGGGAGGCCATGTGGGAAATGGGCTAGTAAGAAGGCAGGCTAGAGCAGCAGATGGGGGCAGGCCTCAAGAGGAGAAGAACTGGAGAAATGGCACCCAAAAGCCCCTAAGCAGGGCAGCAGGGCTGAGGCAGGCAGAGCTGGGGTGTGGGGTGGAAGAGCAGGGGCAGGGGTTGAGGGAGGGCAGGTGGCTCATGCACCGTCTTCTGGGCGCTGTACATGAGGCTGCGGTACAGCTGAGCAAACTGCCCGTAGGTGATGTCCCCGCTGCGCTGCTCCAGGTCCTGCATGGTATAGAGCAGGAGTGCCAGTCAGGCAGTCAGGCCCCCAGCTGAAGGGCTCTTGGCTTCCCCTGCCCCCATCTACAGACAGCCCTGGGTGGCACTTACCGTCAGCCGCTCTCGGAGGAAGCGCATGTTGGGGACCCGGTAGTTGACCTGGGACAGCATGTTCTTCAGGTCCTTGGCTGATATACTGAGAAAACAGGGACATCCCCAGTGGTCTCATCCAGCTTCTCATGACCTCTGACCTGTGGGTCGAGCCCACCTGGGGCTGGACAGGTAAACAACACTATTCTGGGAACCTGGAGGCCTGAGGGCAAGACTGGATCAGAACCCATGGGGTGAGGTTAGTCCCTTCCTTTCTTTGGACCTCAGTTCCTCATCTGAGCAAAAAAAAAAAAAAAAAAAACAAAAACAAAACAAACAAAAAAAACCTGTAATTCTGGCAAGGAAGATGTGAACAGATTCAGTAAAGTGGGTCAGGCATGGGAGGAAGAAAAACCACACTCCAGGCCTCCCCTCCTACCGGCACTGCTGAGGCCTGTGCCAAGGTGGCAGTCAGCCTATCCAAGACAGAAGGCAGGGCTCACTCACAACTTCCCTGTTGGGGGCAGCATGGCAGCAGGTCCCTACCTGCTGCCCACTGGGATGCTGGGAGTTTGGTCCTCAGAACCCACTAACCCATGAGAGGGAGGAAGGAGGAGGTGCATGCTCCACCAAATACAATGACTGGCAACTGGGCACCTCCTGGGGCTAGACAGGGCCTGGCTCCAGGAAAGAAACTGAGAGAACAAGCGCCCCTGCTCTCCAGGGGTGTCCTGCCCAGGATGTGAGGCTGGGGACACTGCTGGACCTGGCAACAGGATGGACAAGAAGGGGGAAGGGGGGGGCTTTCTCTCCTGGAAGGTGGTGTCAAGGAGGGGAGGGGAGGGTGGGACCACCTCCTCTGGGCCCCAAGAGCCTGGGAGGAGGCACCAAAATTCCCCGAGGGGGCTGAGCGCCACACTGAGTGGATCAAGCACTGCGGAGGGAGGGCTGGCTCTATATAGGCGCCCCCTCCTCTGATCCTCAGTCACCCAGGAGGTAGGTGCTATCAGGGTCCTTGTTTTCCAGTGAGGAAACAGAGGCCTTCTGGTTGCAACTGCCTGCATCACCGATCTTGCCCTCTGTGGTCTCTTTCCCATCAGCATACGAACAGCTTGTTACTTCTTCCACCAAAAACACCTGTCTTGCCCCTGCTTAGCTCTCCAGCTACTGCCCTCTTCTTTGCTCCCCTCCATAGCAAAACTCCTTGCAAGAGTCATCTTGCTCCCTCTCATTCCCTTGAGCCCCTCACCGCTAGGGTGACACCGCTCTTCTCACCATGTTAAATCCAAGGGTCAACGGTCAGATTTCACCACTGTCTTCTTCCTTGGGCTGCCAGAACTCAACACTCTGGGGGTTCTCCTCTTACCGCACTAGTTGTCCCTGACCCCTCCAATCTCTAATATGGGGGTGGTCTGGGATCAGCCACTGGACCCTGCCCTTTTCTTGGTCTGCTTGCCCCCTAGGTGATCTCACCCAGCCCTGTGGCTTTCAGTGTTATCTACATACTCCCAAGTTAAAATCTGTAGCCCCTACTGTGTATGTACCTAAACTCACTCTAACCACCTGCCTACTCAACATCTCTCCCTGGACAGCTAATAGGCATCAGAAAACTTAACATGCCTCGAACTGAACCCAAGCTTCCCTCCAAATGGGCTAGTCCCATGATCTTCTCATCTCAGTCAATGGTGACTCTGTTTTCCAGTTGCTCAAGCCAAACAGCATACTATTATCCTCAATGCCTCTCACACCCCAAAATCAATCTGTTAAGGACATTCTTTCTGGCGCTATCTTCAAAATACAACATGGCCAAAATCCAGCCACTTCCTACCATTACCATCATGATCCAAGCCCTCTCATTTTTCACCTGGAGTGTGGAAACAGCTCCTAACTGAGCTCTCCACACAGCAGGCAGAGTGATCTTGAGTAACCCAAGTCAGGTCACATCACTCCTCTCCTCAGAACCCTTCCATGGCTTCCCATTTCTTTCAGGTCAAAGGACCTCACCATGGTGCAGCACCCACACTATCTGGTCTTTGCTCCCCCTTCTCTCCTTGGCCCCTCTGGCTGCCATACCAGGTCTCAGAGCCAGAGTTTCAGGGCACCCTTCACACGCTACTGGCCACCCTCACCTCCAGGACACCCAAAGCCAGTTCTACACATCCAGTCTCTGCCCATAGTGGCAGGGCACACAGCATGTGGCTGGCTCCTCTCACCAGCTCACACCAAGGCCACCAGAGGACTTTGTGCAGAAAGCTACACGTGGCAGAACCTTCTGCCCACCCTCCTGGCCCCACTTAAGGTCCCCTGGGTCCTCTGGCTCTCCGGGCAGCTACTTAGAGGCCTGGCTAAGGTTCTGGATGCCCATCCCCACCCTGCTGGGCTACAGCCACAGCTCAGTACTTACCGATCCTCACGATTCCGATCCACTGAGTAAAACTGCTTCCGGAGCCACCTGGAGAGAGAAGCCTGAGGTGAGGGCCACTTCTCCATCTACAGTCAGGCCTGGGAGATGTCTGGGCACACAAAGGTCTGCTGTCCCTGTCCCCCTGGTCCCTAATGCTCCCAGCCCTAACCCCTTCAGGAGTGGTTCTTACCTCTCAATCTGCAGGGGTGTGGGTGCCTGCAATGTATCCTCCATCAGCCAAGTTAAGCCCTTGATCCACATGTTCACTTCATCCTCAGATGTGGCTGTGAGCAAGGTATCAATAGCTGCCCCGAGGGCACATACCTCCCACTGGGCAGGAGCCAGCAGGCATTCCCCTAACTATCCTCTACCTCCTCTACCCCCTTAACTCCCACCTTGCAGGCTCAGCGTTTTCAGGCGAAATTCCATTCCATAGAGAATGACAAAGCAATGTGACTGGTCCGGCCGGAAAGCTGGGTCCTCTTGATAGCGATCAAAGTCCCGTGAGGTCTTCCCTGGGCGGATCTCCTTAATTTCACGAATGTCAACTAGGAAGGTAGCAAAGAGGCCAAGATCAAGCTGGGGTCTCCCAGAGTCAACACCGAAAGGAGGGCAGCCTGGTTTCCTCATTCTTACACTCTCTCTCAGGGAGGAACCCCAGAGGCAGAGCCAAGACCACTCAGTCACTCTGGTAATAAGAGGGCTGGGTTGAGTCTAGGGATAGGCCTTTGCTAAGTAAGGGCTGAGATGTCAGAGAGGGCTATATGGGGGAAAGGTGGTTCTGTGGGGTGTCCCTTCCCTATCTTTGTTCCCTCACTGAGACATTTTGACCTGCAAAAGAGCTAGACTCCAGAAGAAGAAATAGGGACCCAAGGCTGTTCATGAGGACCACTTCCTGACACAAGGTACACACAAATCAAATCATAAAGTCCCAGAGGCAGGGCTGGGTAGGTCAAGATGGGCCTCAGGATCCCTGGGAGAAAGTAGGCTCTGGCCCAGAGGACTGGTGCATCCCTGAAATGCCTAACTGCTAAAGCCATCCCCACACAAGTCTCAGCAAGGGGCCTAATCCCCACCCCATCCCCTGACCAAGGCACTGGCTGTCCAAGAGCAGCAACCATCCTGGACCCAGACCACCATTTTGCCTGGGACCATTTCCTTATCTTAGCTATCCAAGGCCCTTGCATGCTCCCGTGGCCTTCACAAGGCATAGTCAGAGAGGTACACGGGCTTGAATAGCAGATGACCTGCCCTCAGCCACTAAAACTTGAGGCAATGATGAATAATTTATTTAACTTCTCAGAGTCTCAGTTTTACCATGTGTAAAGCAAAGGGCTTGACTGAGTTTCTCTAGAAGGCAGGGTGGTAGAAAAAACATGCACGAGCTCTGGGTGAGACTGGCTGAACTAAAATCCTAGCTCTACCTCACATTAGCTATGTGATCTCAATAAAGTGACAGCCACTCTGACCTCACTGCTACACCTGTGAAGAGAGTAACATAAGAGTAACACAATAGCATCAGAAAGATGTTGGTAAGATCAAAAGTCGTAACAGCTAGAAACACCCAGCACTATATGTGGGACATGGAGGGGGCCCATCCAATGGACTCCTCTGCTCCCTCAGCAAAGGTGCACAGGCTCTGACACACTCTCCAGCACAGGGAGGGGCTGCCTGCTGGCTGGAGGGCAGACATTCCAGCCCAGAAATCACCGATTTAAGGTAGATTAGGTCAAAGGAAAAAAGCTTGGCTTAGCCAACAGCTATGACTTTCTTTGAGTACTCCCCAAGCTCTGAAGCCTCTTAAAATCCTCTAAACCCAGACTGGCCTGGTAACTTCGGAGCCAGATGCAGTGCCAGCATTTGCCTGGCCAGCCCCCACCCCAGGAGCCCTTCCAGCCCGAACTGCACACCAACCTGCCTGGAATGTCCTAACGGCCCAACTCCCCCAGATGCTCTCTTCCTGTCCTGTCCCTCTAGCAACTGTCACAAAACTCCACATCTATCCCACCTGGAACAGTGGGCATTGCTTCTGGCCCTAACCCTAGCTCCCCGACACATTTCTGGTTCTACCTGGAACCACCTGTCCCCTCAGCAAACCCCTCCAGCCTGTCCTCCAGCTGAGAGTCCTGCCTTTTCTGCTGTTTTCCCTGACCCCTGGTTCTCACCCATCAGCCATCCTTCCCCAGTCTTCTGGCTCTTCATAAAACATTATTCTGACCCCCCTAGACCTCATTCAAGCCCCTCCCGAGGCTGCCCACTGCCAGTCTAAGGAGAACAAACAACAAACACCTTCTATGGCCTTGAAGGCTCTTTGTGACAGGGCTCAGGAATTTACCTCCCCAGCTTTTGCCCTCTCACCCTCTCTGCTCCATCCACACTAAGCCACACCTAGGGCAAGAATAGCTGTTGCTTCCCATCCCTATTTCATCTTGATTCCTAGTCTGGAAATGTCCACCTCCCCGGCTCCCTTCTCTTCCACCAAGGGCCCAACTGAGAAGCTCCTTCCTGTGGTACTAATACACTTGATGCCTCGTGCATACAAACACGTACATACATGCTCACATACCTAAGGCCAGGCAGGGCCCCTCCAGGGCTTGCTTAATGACTGAAGAAATGAAAAAGGCAGGTACACAGGCAGAAGGAGGGAAAACCAAATAGGGATGGGGAACAAAAATGAACAGTTATACTCGGGTAGAAACAGGGGCAGGGAGAACTGGGCCATAAAAGACCTAACCGAGAACACAGGGCTTCCAATGACAGAAGGAGGAGCTTCCATCAGGGGAAATGGCTAGATCAGAAACTGCAGAACAACCACAAACTCTGCCTTTTGAAACAGAAACCAGTCTGCTCTTCCGGTGTGGAGCTGCTGTCATCCCCCTCCCACACCTTCTTGCAAAGGTGAGTGTGACTGTACACACACACACACACACACACACACACACACACACAGAGTCAACAGGCCTGCACTCCTGCACATATTTCCATTGAGATCAGTTGAAGGCAGAACAGGTGCCTGAGATAGGAACCAGGTAAGCATAGCGCAGCTCCACGCCAGGCATCCAATGCTCCCAAGTTCCTGTTGGCCACACCTGATCCCTTGTACTGTCTTCCGTAAGAAGGCACCAGCCTGGCCCTGGCAGCACAGTGAGATGCTCTACTAGGTTCTTGAAAGCCACATCCTGTGCTACCTCCCAACCTCACCCTTCATCTTCCTGCCTCCCAGAACAAATATGGCAGCATCCTCTTTCTTGAGAGAGCCAGAGCTGGTCCCCAGAAATTCACAAGGAGACTCCCCAGAGAGGAATGGCCTCTGCCCTGGTGGCAGGTGACAGAGCGAATGATCCAGTCTGGCACAGTCTGGGTCAGACCTCTCTGCCATTAGTCAGGAGGGCAGGAAAAGAGACCTTCCCAGAACTTAGGAGCTTGAGAAGGGGAGAACTACTTAGGGGAGTAGGAAAGTCACACGTTATACCCAAAAATCCATGACCTAGCACTCCTCCCCAACTCAGAACCATGAGAGGACAACATTCAGGGGAACTCTGGGGAAAAGAAAAGCCAGGGGTACGAAGAGGCCGTCACTATGAAGAAGATGGGGCAGTGAGAAGGAGGAACTCTTTGAGAACAAGGGCAGGATCCCACAAGTAGCAGCCCAGAAGCCTGATGTATAGCATAATGACAAAGGCCTAATGCCCAGGCTCGCCTTGACCCAAGAAGGCAAAGCCCAGCCAGCACAGCCCATCAGGGCTGCAGCATATTCATTCTGCCCAGCACCACGTCCCCAGGCCCATGGTGATGGCTGCCCAGGCTTCAGGAATGGCACCATGTCCCCAAGCCCACAGTGAATGCTGCCTGGGCTTCAGGAATGGCCTGGGCATTACCATTCCAAATGTGGCTATGGTAGACAGTGACAAGATAAGCTGCTTGGGGCAGTGAGGGGGATTTAGTCCCTTATATTGAATCGCTCACAAACTCTGATGAAGAAATAGATTCAGTCTTTCTTAAGGGGCTCTGAAGTAATGAGGGACCACACACACCTGTGCCTGGACTGTATATCACATGTCAGCTCTGAGGACTGAGAACCTTCTCATAAGCCAGGCTTCCTGGTGCCCCAGGCAGAATCCTGGGGCCTTGCTCTGCTCCCTGCCCTGATGGAGATCTGCCTTCTCCTGCTCTTTCAAGAAGCTTTCCCTGACCATCCCCTTCCCAGCTTAGTGAGGAGAACCACACAGCTCTTAAATTCTAGCTATGAGGCCTTGGCAGTCCCTCACTCTTTTGGTCTCAGTTTCCCCATCAGGAAACTGGAAATTCCTCTTACCTCACATGGTTGCTGTGAGGGCCATGCTGGGAAGTGCTGGTAATAGAGAAGTCTGGAGACAGCCCACCTGTCTACCTGTGTGCCTAGTGCCATTGACATGGAGCCTACAAAAGCTGGCAGTAGTGGAGACAAATAAGGCCACTTGCCAAGGCTCCACTAGGTGCAAACCCAAACTTGGGTGAAATAAAGATGATCCATGAAGAGAAGAATACAAGCAGCTATTTCGCCAGCTCAAAAAGAAGCCTGGCAGGGATGGGGGCATTGTATGGGGAGAAGGGGGACTCTTACAGACTTGTGTACAGATAAGCATATGCAGACACGCTGCTTCCTGAGCCTGCAGTGCCCCACCAGCACACTCACCAATAGTCTGAGGCACGTGCATCCCCAAAGATCAAGTTTCAAATCCTGGCTCCAAGCATATAGCTAGGCCTTGGCAAGTCTGCAGTCCTCTCTGGTTCATCGTAAGATGAAGGCTTTCGTGGGAGTAGACCCACAACAGACCCTTACATGTAGGCACACTACCTCACAGATATCCACATAGGACGGTCAGCCTTGGCCTGCCCTTACCACGCCCAACCTCAGATTCATGTGTGTTTTGTTTTTTGGGCAGAAGGAAATGTGCCTGCTGCCTGGCACCTGGGGCCAGCTCTAAGCATTAAAGCAAAATGCCACAAGACTGAATTTGTAAAATAAAAGGTTATATGACGAGGCCAGGGAGACTGGGAAGAGCAATGTTCCTTTTCCATCTCTTCCCTCTTCTCCCCTCCCTTCTCAGCCCAGGGACAGACTCCTGGCCTGAGACCACAGAGATTAGAGACCAGCAGTTACTCAGAGCGGAGCTTCTGGGCCATGCAGTCCTGGACAGCATCCCCCTTTTGGACATGCCAGTAATGGCAGTTGCTTTCCCTTTAAAAGAGGAGCCTGTTTCCTCATCTGAGCCACCCTATGCCCAAGCACTCTGGGAGCTGTGAAGCTATACAACCCTCAGGGCCAGCTGAGAACCTGCCTCTGCAGGAGAGTAAGCCCCCACCCTGGGACAGCACCCAATCCACTGAGTGGGGAGAGAGGGTGCTGTCGAAGGGACAAGCTATATGGCGGGCAGCCAGTCTGGAACCTGGGAAAGGGAGAAGACAATAACCACAAAGGACCCATCTGTGTGCCTGGCTCTTCTGAAGGTAGGGCTGCTTCCTGTCTTTGACTCTTGCTCCCACCCCGACTCCCCCGAGACATCAGGCCAAGTCACAGGCCTGCCACTAGCTCTCTTCCTGTCCAGTAAAGTGGGATAACCACCCTGTCTGGCCACCACGAGGATGTGCATAAGGGCAGTATTCCTGTTGCCCCGGCAGAGTTCAAGGACAGCAGGAACCCTAGGGAAGAGAAAGAGAAGAGCAAAGGCAGGGCTCCTCAGAGCACAGCCAGTGAGAGCCAGCCAATCCTGCCCTAGGGGGCAGACACATGGCAGGCCCTAGAAGGGGGAGAGGGAGCCCAATCATCAAATCCAAGACCCTAAATTAGACCTAAGTTTCTTGTTGGAACCTGTGTCCTAGTATCCCCTGTGCTCAAAAAAGCCACTTCCAAATAGCCCAACAGACAGAGGTCCCCCAAATTTATAAGCCTGTTAACCGCTCAGCAGGCAAAAAGGGTGTAGAGAGGTATTATGAACAAAAGCACTGGCAAGGTGGGCAGGAGGCCTGGACCCATCTCTCTGAGCCTCATTTTCTTCATCTGCAAAATAGAATCACCACTCCTGGCACCTCCTTCATTGGACTACAGTGAGATGCCAATGAGGTAAGAGATACAGAAGTGATTTAATCAGAAAGGGACAGGAGGACATATTGAAAACTAAACCCACCAAATGATGAAGATATGGCCAAGAAAACCATAACCAAAAGTACCCCAAATTTCTGAACATGAAACATGCTTTCACTGAAATATTTCTCTGGGTCTGGGTGTCTCGCTCTGTTGCCCAGGCTGGAGTGCAGTGGTGCAATCTCGGTTCACTGCAACCTCTGCCTCCGGGGTTCAAGTGATTCTCATACCTCAGTCTCCCAAGTAGCTGGGATTACAGATGCACACCACCATGCCCAGCTGATTTTTGTATTTTTAGTAGAGACGGGGTTTCACCATGTTGGCCAGCTGCTCTCAAACTCCTGACCTCCAGTGATTCGCCTGCCTCGGCCTCCCAAAGTGCTGGGATTAGAAGCATGAGCAACCATGCCCTGTCTGAAATATTTCTCTTCAGAGAGGGTTTTCCCTTTATAAAGTGCATACGCTCACTTTAGAAGGCTGAGGCAAGAGGACTGCTTGAGGCCAGGAGTTCAAGACCCATCTGGGTAACAGAGGAAGACCCCACCTCTGCAAAAAATAAAAATTAAAAAAACTTAGCTAGACATGGTAGCACATGCCTGTAGTCCCAGCTACTTGGGAGGCGGTGGGAAAGATCACTTGAGCCCAAGGGTTTGAGGCTGCAGATGAGTAGGAAGCTCTATGAGCTATGATCACAGTACTGTACTCCAGCCTGGCCAACAAAGCGAGATCCTTTCTCTAAAAACACAAAACAAAAACACAAAACCCAAAGTGTGTAAGCTAATTGATGTAAATGGTAGCAAAAACTATCCATTTAAACATGCATGGAGTAAAGAAATTTTGTAACTTAAAAAAACTGCAACTCATAGTAAATATGAAAGGTCTCTTTAAAATCTAAAGAGCTTGAAAGAGGTAAGCGAAGATTTCCTGGACAGGTTCCTTCCCTTCTGGGGGTTTTTACTACCCCCACCTGTGGCCTGTGGACCCCAGAACCCCTCAAGGCCTGTGTGCCCCACTCTGCAGAGGGCACTGGAGGAAGGCAGGGAAAGCCCAGCCCTCCTCAAAAGGGTCCAAGTCCAATTAACACAACACAGACACCAGCCCATGTCTCCCCATACTCCTTCCTGCCTCAGCCTTTGCACAAGCCACTCCTACCTCCTCACTTAAGCCCCCACCAGGCCCAGGCCAGGGGCACACTAGGTGCCCCCTCCTCTCTTGTGTGTCACCACTTGTCACACCTGCTGGTGCTTCCCTGGTGTCTTAGGCCACTGGCCTATGAGCTCCTCCAAGGAAGAAACCACATTTGACTCTTCTCTCCATTCCCTACCAGTCCAACACAAACCCAGGGCCTGGGGAGGCCTCAAAATGTTCAGAGTACTTAAGAGCAGGAGTAAACACATGGGAGTTAGATTCCAGAGCTAATTATCTAACAGGCAGCAAAGGCCACAGATGCTCAAAAATGGTACCAGAAAGATGGTATCAAGGATGGCTTCCTGGAAGAGGTGGCACAGTGGGCCACAGAGGCTGAGGGGCTACAACAAATACTGAAAATGCAGTGGTCAGTGAGGTAACAACGGGAACAGAAAAAGCAGCAGCAGGCATAGTTGGGGGGAATGTGACCCCTGGGGGCAAATACAGTCTGGAAACACTGGGAAGTCCTTACATAAAGATTCCTATAGCCAGTGGGAACCACGGGAAGCTAACAGAGCTTTGGGAAAAACAGTAAAAGCAGCAGGATGCCGAGCACCCACGCCCTGCTGGGCCCGAAGCCAAGACCATGAGGAGATTCAGGAGAGTGGTCCCAGGGGTCAGAAGAGGTGTGTAGATCTCCAAAATGACCTCTCACCAATCACCCTCTCCACATGTAGTCTGTGGCAAACAGATGAGTCCCTCCCAGTTCCCCACTCCCATACCAAAGAAAATACACAGCCAGGACCTAGGAGAGCATTAATGGAGCTAAGCCTTCTCCACCAGAGGATGCTGAAAGATGGACAAAGAAAAGTTCCAGCAGAAGTGAGTATCATCTGGGCCACTTCTGGCCCCCTACCTCAGTCACCCCATCCCCAGGTTCCTATACAACTCCCTGTGGGGTACGGCAGGCACTGCACTGCAGATCCCCCTTCACAGGCAGCCAGAGGCACAGGGGCTCTGCACCCATCAGGACCATACGGCTTTGGCAAGGTTTTTGCAGCTCTGAAGGAAAAGGATGGAGGTAGCCAAAGAAGAGACAAAGATAGGACCTGGACACAGGTGGGAAGGAAGCCTGATGCAATAGTAGCCAGGTCACAGGATGGTCAGCATTTCCAAGCTGGCTGCATATGCCCAAAGCCTGTGGAAAGGGTGAGAGTTCTCCTCTCCCTCTCATTCCTCCCTCTTCCTGAGACTATAATATTCCTCCTCCTGCCTCTCAGTAGAAACATACTCACAAATCTGAGGTTTCCCTGAGCACATCTGGCTGCCACCAAAGGAAGGTCAAAGTGGAGGGGTGGGTAGCTATCCCTTTCCATTTTACAAACAAGGATCTGGGTTCAGGGACTTCTGAGGTCACAGGGTTATATGGCAAAGGGAAGGCGATGGTGGGGCTTACTGTCCTTCCCATTACTGTGCAGCAGCTGCCTTCAAACCAGACCCGCGGGCAGCGAGTTGGACAAGCTTGGTCTAGATTCTAGACAAATCTCTTTGAAACAATGAGGAAACAGAGGGTCCAAAGGGTCTTGTCATGGTCATATGGTGAGTCATGGCAGAACTGGGACACTCTGCAGTGTCCCCACAGCAGCTGCTATCCCTGACACTGGGTATACAGAGAAACACAGAGCAGCCACAGCCAGCCTTTGTACCATCCAGGCAGGCAGCCCTCTTCCCTAGGACTCTAAATTAATCTCACCTATTTCAGAGGTAAGAACAGAATCCAAAGGAAGGAAGGGAAAGGAGGTCCCACCCAGAGAAATTAAAGCTGGAAGAGCACTCAGCAGTGATCTATTCGGCTTATGCAGTCATTCATTCCATCATCTGATCAAACATTTATCGGGCATCTATCTACTCCATGTCAGGCCCTGGGCTGGGTCCTAGGGAAACAGAGATCAATAAGGCATTTGAGTTCCTGCCTTTGAGAAAACCCCTGCCTGATGGAGGAAACAGATGGGGAAGCAGATAACTATGAGGTCATGCAACGAGTAGAACAACAGGGAGGTGTCTGTGGAGCTGAGTGTGTGTAGAGCAATGTCTTGGAGTGCTCTGTAAAAGCCAGGTCTGGAGGGCTGACAAGCACACATTGGGCAGAGGGGTTCATGGAAACCAAGACAGAGGTGCAGGAGTCCACTAAGTTCCACAAACAGGGCATTCAGAGTATCATGGATGAGAAGGGAGGGAAGATGGCCTATACCAAGCCTTGACTGCCACAGTAGGGAAAGGTGGCTTTCCCCAACTTTTCTGCACAAGCCCAGAAGATTCTCCAGGCAGCCATGGGTCAGCCTCTGTGTCAGGAGTCTAGTGTGCTCCAAACTCTGCCTCCCTTGCAGACTGATGCTGCCTAAGTTCTTTCTAGATGGCCTGTGTATGCCAGGCTCCTAGCTACAGGAGAGAGACTGGGGACCCACCAGGGCCATGTCTCAGGGATGCCCAGGACCTCAAAAGTCCCTCATAAAATGCTCCCCCACATAGTACACTCAGGCTACTTGGAGAACCAGAGCAATGGGTATAAGTCACTTTTAAAATTTTTCTTTATATTTTATAGAGATGGGGTCTCACTATGTTGCCCAAGCTTGTCTCAAACTCCTGGCCTCAAGTGATCCTCTCACTTCGGCCTCCCAAAGTGCTGGGATTACAGGTGTGAGCCACCATGCCTGGCCCATAAGTCACTCTGTTGTCCAGGCTGGAGTGCAGTGGCACCAACAGGGCTCACTGTAGCCTCTACCTCCCCAGGTGCAGGTGATCCTCCCACCTTGGCCTTTCAGGTAGCTGGGACTACAGGCAAACCACAACGCCAGGCTGATTATATTTTTTGCAGAGATGGTGTTTTGCCATGTTGCCCAGGCTGTTCTTGAACTCCTGGGCTCAAATGACTCGCCAGTCTTGGCCTCCCAAAGAGCTGGGATTACAGGCATGAATCACCGTGCCTGACCCATAAATCACTTATCTATGGTCCTCCTTCCTGACACCTCAGAGCAATCAACATGGTTGATCACGCCCTCTCTCCTTGAAGCTCTGCCCTTGATTTCTCCTGCACAACCTTGCCTGGTTTTCATGCTTCTTTGTGCGCTACAGGCCTACCTGCATTTAGCAATGGCCTTGGTCAAGGCTCAGGTCAAGGTCCTCTCTTCCGGTGCTCTGCCTTCTTCCTCATCAGTGTCAGCCATGCCCACACCCTTAATTACCTCCTATGTACAGATAATTCACAAACAGGTCTCTAGCCTAGTCCTCTCCTCTTAAGCTTCAGATCCTTCAATTCAGCTGCCTACTTGCTATCCCCACTCTTCATCTCAAAACGTCTCAAAGACAACTCCTCAAAACCAAACACTGTCTTCTCTCTCTCACCAGAACCAAGGCCTCTTGCCATACCCCCTGGGTCAGCTAAGAGCATCACCATTCAAACAGGTACCCAAACTCCAAACTTCAGAATGATCCTTCGCATCTCCTTTTCTCTCACCAGCCCCCAATCCAGCCCTCTGAGAAGTCCCACTGGCTTTATTATTCAAAATTAACCATACGTTCTGAGCACCTACATGAGAGACATTAAACTAGATACTTGGAATACAAGTACCTCAAGGAGCTTGAATGTGGAAGGAAAAATTAGATATGAGTATTATGCTAGATAGCTTACGTTAGAGTCCACAGACAAATACTATAAGAAGCTGAGAAGTAGAGGATGAAGTAGTTACTACCTCTGCTGGGTGGGAAGAGACGATGAGCAACAGCAGCATCTGGCATCCTAACACTAATTTCTTGCATATTTACTTTGCATAGACATTGCATAAAGCTCTTGATAAGACTGCCTTACAACGATAAAAACTGCCTTATATTTTATACTTGCAAATAACACTATGAAGTAAGTATTAGGGTCCCCAATTCCCGAGTGAGGAAATTGAGCACAAAGAGGTTAATTAACTTACCTAAGGTGGCAGTTGGTGAGTGGCAAAGCCAACAATACTTCAAAGCCAAGACTGCCTGTACCCTAGACGTGTGCTCTGTAATGCCTCAGAATCCTTGTTGGAAGTGGCCAAGCAGGGCCAGCACAGACAGAAGGGGAGGATGGAGAGGACTCCAGGTTTCGTGGTGCACTCCTGCTTCACAGTATTTATTATAGTAGCCATACATGTATTTTAAGGCTGTCTGATTGTTTTCTCCACTAGAGCGTAAACTCCTTGAGAGACTGCACCATGTCTGCCATCTTCAATGCTCCATGCCTACCAGGAACTTAATAAGGTTTTGGGGACCTTATTCAAGAAAAATACTATGAAAGCATCACTGCTATATAACCTGTTCCTGCTCACTAGATAAATGAGGCCCTCCTGACCACAGCCCAGCATATCTCCAAGTCTCTCTCTGCTGCCCTGTCTCTGCAGAGCCCTCTCACAAGGGAGAGGAAATGGAATGGGTTGGGAGAAGAAATAAAAATCTGGGGTCTCCCTCCTACAAGGAAACAACAGGGGCCTAGGACTCATAGTGGTGGGGGAAGCGTCAGAGCAACAGGGGCTGAGGTAGGGAGACAAGTGGGAAAGGGAGAATAGAGGCCTTCCCCTCTGCCACTCCCTGAACCCCATGACATCTCACCACCCCAACCTTGGTTCCTGCCTCTTTGGTTTCTGTGTTACTGCCACCTCTTGGACAGTAAATGTTGGTTTAGTCCTTAAGCCTCCAACAGAGTAAATCTGTGGGGCTGGAGACGTTCTAAATAATGACCGGAAGTCGTCAGGTCAGAGGCCTGCTTGCTGAGACATCCTGCTTCAGCAGAACCCACTAGGCTCTCCTGTTTTAGAGCTACTTGACCCAGCCGCCACAGCATCTGGCTGCACTCCCTTTGCGCCATGCCAGCCCAAGCCAAGCCACTCTCCTGTTCCCTTTTTGCTTCCTGGGAAACAGGGCCCCAGTGAGTGATCTAGACTCTGATCTCACTCCAAGGTGCCAGGGATCTCATTCACTCACTGCCTGCCCAGAAAGCCCAGCTTAAATTTTTTTTTTTTTTTAAAGAGACAGAGTCTTGCTCTGTCACCCAGGCTGGAGTGCAATGGCGCGATCTTGGCTCACTGCAACCTCTGCCTCCCGGGTTCAAGCAATTATCCTGCCTCAGCTTCCTGAGTAGCTGGGTTACAGGCGCCTGACACCACGCCTGGTTAATTTTTGTATTTTTAGTAGAGATGGGATTTCACCATCTTAGCCAGGCTGGTCTTGAACTCCTGACCTCGTGATCCCCCTACCTTGGCCTCCCAAAGTGCTGGGATTACAGGCGTGAGCCACCGTGCCCAGCCCAGCTTAAATTCTTTGAACTCACCTCCCCTACTGAGAGAGATGGCTACCTTGGATTTCTTTCTCTGAAGTTGAAGTTGAATAACCTATCGTTTTACCTGCTTAGGACAGCTGCTTGCCCAAACTTTACTAGCACACATGATTGTATGGAGCTTCATGCTTCCGGTGTAGACCAGTTCTCAGGCCAGAACCAGGCCATCCTCTTGTGATCAGTCTGGCAACAGACATTCTGTTCTCACTGGAGGGAATGCTCTGTGTTTCACTGCTGGCCTCAAAAGGCCCTCAGCAAAATCCTTAACAAAGTGACATATGTTACCTTTTCCAACCTCCTTGGTAGATATGCTAAGAACGCCCAAGAAAAGGCCACAGTCCCAGTTAGGATGGACAAGCTAACACAGGCACATTATACTCAATTACTGTTGAAGGTGGAGGAAGTGACTAGGGCAGGAAGAGGGGAGCTGCCTCCAAACAGGTGGTGGACTATCAGGCAGAATAGGGTGACCATAAAGTGGGTCTTCAGTGCCTCAGAGAAGGACCATCACCCCTGCCCCCATCGCTGCCCAACCTCCCAACTGAGGGAATGGAGTTGTATTCCTTAGCTCACCTCCTGCCCCCAAGTAAGCTGAGAAACCTGTGGGACCTATGGCCAACTGGAGCTCTCCTTCACTCCTTCCTAGGGTTAGTCACCCTGTGAACTCAGGCCCACACTCTCTGGGCCTTAGGCTGAAGTCAAGGTGGGGTTGGAATTCTCCCACCACACATCCACACCTACACAGCCAGAACCCAGTGTGGTCAATACCCGACTCCTACCATGGGCAAGGCCAAGCCAAGGACACTATGACCCAAGCCCATGCCCTCAACAATCATTTCCCTCAGAACATTTTAACTCAACCATATCCCCAGGTGTCCAAGAAAACAGGAAGCCAACCCCAAAGTGAACTCCCCACCTGTGCCCAGGAAGAACTAAACACACACAAACAAGTGGCCAAACTCGCCATGGCCCAACTCCTCACCAGTTTGGCCAGCTGTTCACTGTCAGGGCCCAGAACATCAGTAAGACCACCCACTCTCCTCCGTACCCAAGCCTTGCTGCCTTGCGCCCAGGCCCCTCACAGCCTTTGTACAGATGCTTTACCCAACACCTGTGTGCCAGCTGGCAGGTGGAGGGACCCCAGGGGGTAGGATGGGCTGCTACAGGGAGAAAAGCGATTCCATCTTGGCCCTCAGGCCCAGCCTACAGCACTTTAGGCACAGCTGTCTCCTGCCAGCCCTGGGCATTAGCGGTTTTCTGCATGGTCCAGATCACAAGCTTCTCAGGATCAAGGACTGGGTCACCTCGTTTTCTTGCTTCCTAACTCCAGCCTCCTCTGTGCCAGGCCTGGGCTCAGTAAAAAGGGATGCCAGTCTTCTGTAGGAGAACGCCCTGCCCCGTTTACTCTGCATCCTGAGTCTTGCTGAAGCCAGGGCCACCGGCCAACACCAGGAAGGGCCAGGGCCGGAAGGAAGCAGCAGAGCCTATACACAAAGCCTACATGTGGACTATAAAAAGGAGCTCCTCCCTGCCTCCCCCAGGATGGGCCCGGTTCCTAGGAGGTAAAGAGTGGGGAGAAAGCTAGGACTTAAGCCTGGGCACACAGCCACTGCAGCCTCTCAAAAGCTAGCCAAGAACCACCTCAAAAGGAACTAGTCTTGCAAGGAGGGGTGCGAGAATATTAAGGGCTTAGCCAGGAATGCAAGTAGAGACTCTCCAAGTCCCATCTCTTGGGACCATAGCCTCTCTTAAGGCAACCAACTCCACTGTCCCCATTGCTTCTTCCCCAAAACTACAGAATATTCGGGGACCAACCCCTTCTCACACTTCTCTACTCTCTAGGGGCTGAAAACACCCCCTAGAAGTCTCTAGGCACCCATATTCCCCACTTTCTCTGGAGACTTCAGCACACCCAGCAAAGCTCTGGGAAGCAAGTGTGATGAGTGGCAGAAGTAGCGAGAAACTCAAACTCTGGGCAGCAGGAGGATACTGTGGCCACAACAGAGTAGGCTCAGCAGGCAGCTCAAGTAGGGCCATGGGTTGGTGGGGAAGGCGGGGGCAGCTATGGCAGAGATGACAATTAGGCAAGGGCCACACAAATATACCTATTTCAAAGATGTCAGCCAAGACAGTCTCTTGACCCACACAGGCAGCACTCTACTCTACCACAACAGCAAAGCCACACTCACCACATGCATCCTAAGTCATAGAAATTAATTCCTTCTAAACCTCCATACTCCAAATCCCTCTCCAGCCTAGTTTGCCCAGGGTGTTCAGGTTCTGTACTAGAGGCCTCACCCAGAACCACTGAGGCCACTCTCCAGGGACGGTGGTGTAGGTTAGCACACATAGCAAACAGGGGAAATTAACCTTCCTTGTTGCCAGCCATTGATATGTGGGCATCATTTGTTATCACAGCACACCCTCACCTACCCTGACAGAGCAGCCTCTTGCCTTATTTCCTTCATAGAACTCACCAAATCCTATAAGAATTTTATCTGTCTGCCTATTTATCTCCTTTCTGGCTGTATCTACCCTAACCTTATGTCCACTACTGGTCTCCACAGTGCTTGGCACAGTTAGCAAATGCCAGAGTCTAAAGCCAGGGAAGCACAAGTCGTCTCTCACTTATTCAATGAGCCACTGAGGCCCAAGAAAGCTAGTTTTTTGTTTTTTTTTAAGGAGAGTAGGTATGGTGAGATGGAACACAAACCACGCTAGAGATCTACTGCCACCATGAACAAGTCAGAGGCTGGAGTAATCACATCCAGCTCAGTGTGCCCAACACACAGTAGCAAGGCCCACAACAAATGTATGACAAATTAAAGAGCACATGAATGAATGCATGCTCTTGAGTTGTCATAGAGAATCCTGGAAAAGCCCTTCTCAGGATATTTGGGGCATGGAGCCCCAGGTTCCCATGTTCTGTAGAAGCTTAGGCGGAAGTGTCACCACAAACCAGAAAGTCAAGAGGGTGAGGCTCTTCTGTGTCCCACCCCCAATCAGCGGCTACATTCACCCCCATGTAGGAGTGTGGGAAAGGTCTGGGTGGGCCAAGCATCTCGACACCGGTGTTGTGGCAAGGATGAGTGCAGGACGGGTTTTGAAATTGAGGCAATGAGTCCAGCTTGTCCACAGATGGAAGTCTAGGCTGGTCAAACACATGTGGCCAGAGGGAAGAAAAACAAAACAAAACAAAATAACCCTCTGTTCCTATAGAACGGTCCATCCTATTATCATTTTCCCCAGAATGGGAGAATAAACTGAATACTATAGCAGGAATCTGAAATCCTAGGATCTGCCATGAACTTGCTATGTGACCTTACCCTTAGGGCTTGGTTTTCTCCTCTGTAAGAGAGGGATAGTAACTCCTGCCCTCCATGGATTCATGGAGCTGCTGTGAAGTTCAAACAATACAACAGGTGAGAAAATGTTCCATGAACTCCCAATATGCTATTCCAATTCCAGAGTTTTTTGATGCCCCAGTCCTCTGTGTACAGACTCAGGGAAGGAACACAGAAAGCAAGTAGGAAACAGACTCCTAGCCCAGGTTGTTGGAGCAGCCACTTGTGGCCGAGCTTAGTGGTGGAAAAGATTGGAGCTCTGTGGTTAACAAAGGTGAGAGTAAAGGAAATGAATACTGTTAAGTGGCCACTAAGTGACAAATGTTGTGCTGGGTAGTTTTCACATAAAATCTCTTACTCTTATATATAATCTCCCTTATTATTAATATACAGCTCTGTGAGGAGAAATTACTTTTACAGCTAAAGATCAATTTCAGACAGGGAAAAGTAATCTGCCCAAGGTCACAGTAAGAGCTGAGACCTGAACCCAAATCTGACCAGCTCTAGCCACAAATCTCCAGGCACTTCAGCTCAATTACCAGCAAGGTGGGACTATCTGGTCAATGGTAGCCTGAAGCCACTCCTCACCCGTGGCTCCACCTTGAGTCTTGCCACCTGTAAACATGCTGCTCTCAGAGATTCCCTCCAAGGACGCACTGTTCCCATGCTCCTCTCAACAAGGCACTCTACAAGGGGCACCAGAACATTCCCATCCTCCTATCCCACACCCATCTCTCCTAGGACTCTCCTCACAGTCTGCAGTGACTTCTCTAGTTCTAACAAAGCAAGTGGAAAGGGGGAAAAATCAGTCTCCTAATATCACACCTTTGCAATCTCAGGCCTCACTCCCTTCCTCCAACTTATCATCTGTGGTCTCCTTGAAGCCACATCCCACAGGAAAAGGCACAGAGTAAGAAGAGATGCTGTGAGTTAACGGAGACTGACACAGAACAGTGACAGCAGAGGCAGGCCCTACCACATCGAGGCTGTGGCATTAGAGCACTTCCTCAAAGACAAGATCTCTCCAGATAGCGTCCTGGGCTAGGCACTTAGAAATAGGACAATATCATACCTTCACTCTACAGAAGGGGTTACCACCCAAAGCAGCTGCTTCCAGCCAACTGCCCTGTCTCCCTGCAAAACCAGCAGTGGGAAAGAGCCCTGACAATAGAGGGACTGCTGAGAGCTGCAAGAGAGGATGGGCGGGCCTCCTTGCCTCTGAATCAAAGGGCTTGGTGGCCAGGCACCAGCCCCTTAGGACAGCAGGTGCATTCGAACTCCTCCCCACCAGGTCCTCCTGAGAACTTAATCCTCATCTCTGTCCTGTCAGGGATCCTACGTAGTAAGCACTTACACTGTGCCACACTCCATGCTAAGCACTTTATACAGGTGCTAAGCACTTTATACAGGTTCTCATCAAATCCTCACAAAAACCTTATAAAATAAATGCCATTTAATACTATCCTTTTTACAGATAAGCAGCCCAGAGAGGTAGTCATATGCTTTAAGGTCACAGAGCAAGTAAGCTGCACAACAGGATTTTAATTCAAGCAGAGTCTAGGGCCCAAATGCTTAACTACTAAGCTCTGTCTCACCCCTCAAGACCCAGCCCTTCTCCCATCTACCACCATGGCATCCCCACCCTGCCTCAGCAAGAAGGTCTTGTCTGGGCCCTCAGCAGCTCTCTCCTGCAAACTGTGCAAACCGTAGGAGCTCACTGGCCTCCCTCCCCAACACCTGCCTGACAAACCACTGCCACTGTGGTCTCCCAGGCAGAGGCAAGTCAGTCCCACAACAGCCTCCGCTGACTCCCGTCGCCTCCAGGACTGAGTGTAATCTGCTGGACATGGCACACTAGGGCTATAGCTGTCTCCAACCAGTCCCAGCTTCCTCTCTACCACACCATATCTGTTCCCTACCCCTGCACAGAGTGATTCCCAGTTCCTTAGCCTCGGCACAGACAGGTGCCTCAGTAATTCAAGGCCTACCTCAAAGGTCACCTCTCCTTTAATGCCTTCCTGGCAGAGCTCCTCACAGTTCTTGGTAGAGGCCTTTATATTATGGTATGTAACACACAGGGTTATAATCATATGCCTCTACATCTGTCTTTTCCAAGAGTTCATCAATGGCACAAACCATGTCTCAATAAACTTTTGAATCCTTGGTGCCTAGCACTGGGCAAATGGGGAGGTATAATAATACTTATTGCAAATATTAATAAATGTGCCTCATTCCAAGAAGCTACCCAGAGCAAAGCTGGTAGCCAAGATCTCTAAACTCCAACTGAATCCTGTGCATCTGTGTACACACACACACAAGAGTCTGGAGAGAAGCTGGAGGTGTTGTGGGTCCCAGGACTGGGTGTGCTCAGCTCCTCCAGTTATCTGTGAAGCAGGCCCTTTTCCTAGGTTCACAGGAAACAGAGGATCCCAGCTGGGCGGGGGGGCCTGGAAACCCACACATCGGGGCAAGCCTGGGGTGCTGAGGAAACACTAAAAGGTCTGACTTCCCTTGGAAAAAACTACATCAGACAGGAAATACACAGGCAGGGATGGCTAGCTCTGGAGATCCGGACATGTGCTCCTGCCCCTCTCCCACTGGGAGTAACAGCCAGTACAAAGAAAACCCTTGATGACACCGGCCTGGGCCTTGCCCTCTCCCGTGCTGTGGGCCTAGCCCTCGGAGCAGGCCTCCTGGTGTGGTCTGCTCCCCAGCCACAGGGGTCAAGCCCCAGCCAGCTGGTTCCACTACTACCTCCCTTCTGAGCCCGCCTGCCTCATCAAGGCAGTTAGCTGTTTTCTTCCGCCACCCTCACCCTCTTCATCAAAGGTACTGCTCACAATTGTCATTGCCTGTTTTCATTTCCCTAAAAGCAAGCACCCATACTCCTTCACCTCAGAGGGCCTGGCATCTAGAAAAGTATCTAGTGAAGGATCAGCCAAAGACAGAAGCCTGGGGCCTCAGAAGTCCCCATGGACATGCTCAGCCAGTATTCAGAGTACCTCCACAGTGTCTACACCAGTGTTTACTGGGCCCACAAAGACCCTCAAATGGACAACCTCATTAAACACGAGTCTGAACCATCTCAACTCAGAAAACACCAGAAGAAAAAGTGTGGAGCCAGAGCCTAGAGAGGCTGAGGCTGTCTTGGGATACAAAAGCCAAAGTGGTCTTTGCCCTGTAATGCATGGTCTGAGCACAAAGGTGTCTCACAGAGGAGCCACGTGGACCACAGGGAACATGGGCTTGGGGTTGCTAGTCAGCCTCTGACTAGTGAGCTGGCCCCAGCTGAGGCCCTGGCACACACTGACACAACACCTTGGGCACAAACGATTCTCCATTTCCATTTGCTCATCTGTAAAATGGGACGAAAGGTCTCAATAGCACTCAGCTGGAACTCTACATAACTGCATTTTATTCATTTATGTCAGTATCTGCAACATAAAAGGCCAAACACCAACCTGGTTCCTGTCATACCACCAGGACAACCAAACTTGTCAACACCTAAGCACTTCCCCACCCCGCTTTTGAGCCAAATGACCACCCTAGAAATCAGGAGGTGTCAGCTCCATTTCACAACTGCTGACAAGAGAGGGCACAGAGTCAGGGCAGAAGAAGGTCTTACATATCAGTATGAGTGCTCCTTAAACCACACTGTCTCTCCCTCAGGTCTACCAACACCCTGAAGGTAGCACAGTGTCTCTCTCTTAGGCCAGGCTTCAGGCACTGCTGGTACCCTGGTAGGGTCAGCAGGAAAGGCCAGATACCTGAGGTGCTTGGGCAAGAGTCCAGGTGGCAGAAAACCCGGCTGGCAGTCCAACCTCCTCAGAGGCCGCAGGGATCAGAACCCACCAACAAGGAGAGCCCACGAATGGGTAGAAGCAGGGCACGGCTTCAGTGGAAGCCTCCATTAGTTAAGTCTGAACACACAAGCATCGACCAGACTTTTCATCCAGGCTCTTTTCAATCTGAGCCCCCAAAATCCAAAAGCCAGGGTCCTCCTACATCCTCTGCCTACTCTCCAGGCCTGTTAAATCCCAGCTAACTGATGAGATCACTGAATTTGTACACCTCTGGCTGACCCACCTGCTCACCCCTGGGTAGGGGGTTATCAGGTCCTCTGTATGCCTGCCTCCATCCCCCAAATACATGAGGCATGATAAATCATCCCCTCTCTGCACCCCTCTTTTCTGTTCAGGCCCCAACTTACAAACAAGAAAGGTCACACCCAGGAGTCAAATGTGCACAACTGCAAACACTTTCTCTACAGAAACACTGTTCTACATGGTGGGTGGGTGAGTGGGCACATGGGTTGGGGCAAAACAAAACTGTTTCCTGCCTTTTTCTGAGTAGCAATCTAAGTGAAATGTGAATTTGGTCACCGTCCTCCTCCCTTCCTGCACCTTCATCCTCACCTATAGCCACACCTCACCCCCTCACCATTCCCAGTTCAGGGTCTTGAAGGGCAGCCACGGTCTATTGTTAATGTTATTGCTAATAACAGCTCATATTTATTAAACATTTATGTGTCAGACAATGCTAGATGTTTTATATGAATTGTCTCATTTGATCCTGGAGCAACCATATATACTGGATATATTATTACCCCCATTTTACACATGAGGAAATCAAGGCTCAGAGAAGGTAAGTAACTGGCCGGGAAACACACAATGAATATATGGGCTTCAAATCCAGACTTGCCATCAACCACTGTGCTACATTTATTGCCTGCTAATATGCGTGGTTTAAAATGCAGTCTGTTACCCAGGAGATCTCTGAGAACTTCCAGCCAGTGCCACCAACTCAACACAGCATAGGGAGTAAGGAAGGGGACCATGCCTGGAGCCTGATGCCTGAGTGATGTTCCCAGGGTTATCTCAGCTCTTTGCAGTGTCGATTCTTCCTTTACTTTGGAATCCACAGGCTCTCAAGTCACTAAAATGTTCTCCCAATGGCTGACAGGGTCAGTGGGGGCACTGAGGAAGGGGGCTGCCATTTCTAAGTTGAGCAGCTGCATTAGATCTGTGTCAGATCTGGAGTTTGTAGCTGAGGATGGTTGGCTGCCTCACCACAAGACCTTCCTTCCTCCCAATCTCCTCAACTATCTACACACATGCACACCATACCCAAGAAGGTTTGTGGGACCCCCCCTTGGGGTGTCACTTCCTGATCTCCCTCCTTCACACAGACCTGGTTCTGAGCCTGGGTCTCTCTAACCCTAGTCTCCGGGGGTCCCTGCAAGAAGCAACCCAGTCTAGAGTTGCAGACACACCATCTCTTCACACTGAGAGGCGGGGGAATGGAGGGCAGAGCAGAGTGCCCATCCGACCACAGCACAGGCACGCGCTAAGTGGAACAACTCTCAAAGATCTGGGGTTTTTCAAAATCCCCCAACTCCCTCCTCCCACTAGAGACCAGCGCAAAAGCAGCCAAGCTCAGGCCTGGGAAGGCGAAAAGGCAGGAAACTAAGAGAAGCCGCTCCCGCTCCCTGAAGCCACCGGACAGAGGACAAAGGGCTAGACTCACAAACTAGCTGCACTCCTGAGAAGAATACCTGACTCCAAGGCGCTGGGGCAGGCCTTTATGGGGCCCATCTCCTGGGAACGTGCTTCCCAGGGCAAGGGGAGTCCCTGCCCTGGCATTGAGTGTCTGCCCACCCACATAGGCCTCCAAAACCCAGCTTTGGGACAAAAGTAGCAGAAAAAAAAAAAAAAAAATTCCAGCCACTGGCTTCTCTCAGGCTTCTCCAAACCAAACAAGACCACCTTCCTCCCTCTCCCCCAGAGGGAGATGAGTAGGCCCAGCTCTGCTCCAAGACCAGCCCTACCCAACATCTGCCTAAGTTCTACTTAGGGAACCCAAAGATTCCTTTGCAAATAAGAGCCCAGCCTGGGGGCCCGGAGAGTTTCACAGACTGCTCTTTCTGGATAAAGAGTGGGCGGGGACCGTCTGGTCAGGCCCCAGGTTCCCGTGCAGGGTGGGGGCCACTGCCTTAGCTCCCCTCGCCGACGCCGCCACCACTCCCAGGGTCTGGGGGGCCCGATGCCTGCACCGCAGGTCTCC
The DNA here is from genome assembly GCF_000001405.40 of Homo sapiens. Classification (NCBI taxonomy): domain Eukaryota; kingdom Metazoa; phylum Chordata; class Mammalia; order Primates; family Hominidae; genus Homo; species Homo sapiens. The sequence continues at coordinate 41,138,132 of NC_000020.11, read as the reverse complement.
AGCCCGCGAGGATTTTTAGGCCTCAGGGCAAAGCGCCTGGAACACTCCCCCCAGCTGGGGGAGGGGGGGTGTCCTGTCAGGTGACCGAGGACCCGGATGCCCCCCGCCCCCAGTGACCACCCGAGACGAAGCGGGGGCGGGGCCCGGAGGGAGTCTGGGAGGGCCCGAAAGTTTGCCCAAGTCGCTGGGGCGGCCGGCCGGGGTGCAAGCAGTCGGGCCGGGCTCCCACGACCCCCGCGCGGGGCGGGCCCAGGCAGGAAGTGGGCGCACTTACTGGCCCCCTCGATCTTGTCGGCGCCCCGGCTCCACGTGATCTGGCGCGTCTCCAGCTTGACCTGGAAGGTCTTCCGCTCGGGTCGCTGCGACTTCTTGGAGTAGAACAAAGTCATGACGGTGCCCACCTCGAGGCTGCGGCAGAGGTGCAGCACCTCGGCGTCCGAGGGCGCGCCGGGCCCGCAGCCGTTGGCGCAAGGGGACGCGGCGCCCGCCATGGCTCCGACGCTGGGGGCGGCGGCGGCACAGGCCAGGACCGCCCGGGAGCAAGCGCAACGGCGGCGGCTGAGGTTGGGGCTGAGGCTGAGGCGGCAGACGAGCGGGACCCGGCGGCGGCTCCTGCAGGCGGACACGGGGCGGGGCCTCAGCGCGGCGGGGCGGGGCTGCCCTGAGGCCCCACCCCGCTTCGGCGCCGGGAACAAAGGCGCCCGCGCACCCGTGGGGAGGACCCCCGCCCGTCGGCCCGCCGCGCCTGCGCCCCGCGACCCCCAGACAGGCCGCAGGCGGGGACGGAGGCGCGATGGCGGCGGGAGCGCGCGCCGTTCCCGGTCGACCCACCCAGCCCTCAGTCCCGCAGAGCTTTCTCACGCGGCCCCGGACACAGCCCGGCGGCCACGAGCGGCCCTGTCACGCACGGCAGCCCCGCCCACAGGCCGCAGGCCCGGCGGCCGGCGCGTCAGTCAGGCGTACTCGCACGGGCGGCCGCTACCCCGCGGTCCCGCACAGACGCAGCCCCCGCGTCCCGAACACCGCCCATGCAGCGACCGGGACGGGACGTGAGGGGATGGCGCGTCCTCCGGGAATGCCCGGCCAAACTCAGTTACCTGGGCGGGCTTCCCGGACAAGGGAGCCAGGACGGGCCGCCTCACACCGGCGGCGGCGGGTCCTCCGCGCGCCCTCTCCCGGGAGGGGCGGGGGCGGGGCTGCCTGCGGATTGGTCGCGGGCACTGATGGACAGCCGACATGTCCCGCCCCCCCGGCAGCGCGGGGCTGGTCCGCAGGCAGTTCTGGCGACGGCCAGACCCACGTCTGTCTGTTCCGCCCCTGCTGCCAGGGTGGCTTTCAGTGGTCCTCTCTTTCGGAGAGTTCCCCCCAAGCGTGAGCACCCCTTACAGGGGCGTTAGGTCCGCGGCCGCGCTGTCCAGTGGTCTGACCTGCAGCTCCCAGGGCCTTTGTGTCTGTCCCTCGCATGGGCCTCTGCACGCTCCGTCCCCACGCGACAGGACTCGAGTCCGATTCGGGGCTCCGACTCAGACCCTACCCCGCAGCGCCCTCCTGCAAATGCTCTCCTGAACTTTGGTTTTCCCCGCCTTGCTTTCTTCCTCCTCCTGTAGCCGCTGCCTCTCGATCTCAGAAGCTTCTCTTCCTCTGCACTCAGTGCTAGGCCAGATCCCAAGGCGACCTGACCTTTCCCCTGGCTTTGCCCAACAACACAGGCACCGGTGACTCCAAACCTGCATCTCCCCTACGTTCCAGGCCCCAGCATCCCACTGCATGTTCCACATCCCCCCCCCTTAGACAGCTCGCCTTCCCTCCCCAAACGATTCCTTCCACAGTCTTCACTTTCTCAGAACGCGGCGCTAAACTTCTCTAAGTTGGAAGGTCAAAAACCTTGCAGCTAACTTTGATTCCTCCCTTTGCCTCACCTCCAATCCATCAAGACCTTGTCACTCAGCCCACAAGCTGAAGGCCCCATCTCCTGTCACCCAGACTACTCACCTTGTTTGGTTTTGCCTGGATCTATCAGTTTGGTTTTGCCTGGATTTATCATGCTTTAAATCTTTAAAATGAAATTAAATCATGATCCCCTACATCCAGGCTAAAACCCTCCGTGAATTCCCATTGCACCTAAAATCCACACTCCCTGCTTGGCCTAGCAGGTTCTATATGACCTGCCCATCTCACCAGTTTCATCTCTCACAAGTGATCCTTCACTCTCCATTCTCCAGCCACAAGGCCTTTTTCTGGTTATGGAATATAATTCATACTCTTTGTCTTTCTGAAGCCATTCTTGAAACTCACCCCTGCAATCTATCTACCCTTGTCAGCACCGCCAAAATTGAGGACACCCACGGTCGCGGTGGAGCCTGTCTGACATGTTGAGCCAGGCAGTGGGTCGGCTGCCAGGCACAGCAGGACAACTTACTGCATTTCAGAGGTGAGAAGCCCAACAGAGCTTCCAGCTGATGCCAGAGAAAGAGCCAGGCTTCCTGGGAATTGTGAGATAGTAGGACTAGACTAGAGTTTGTAAGAGCGTGTGCTCAGGCAACCCACTCAGCTGGATAGTGACCTGGGGCTGCTGCTTCTGACTTTGTCTTGCTGTAGTGGAAACTTGTGTGTTAACGTTGATTTCCTCAAGTGCGTCCCCTAAGAAGCTCAGAATTCAGCATGACATTGAGACCCTTTGTCCTAGCCAGCCTCTGTGGAGTAAGGAGCGGTGGGGTAGCTGAGATGGACTGCCACCTAGTGGCAGGTCTTTACGTGGGCGGGACGGAGCTAGCGTAGACCCTGTGCTGAAGGTGTGCACCTGTGGTCACACCTGATCCTCATAATTATCTTCTAATCAGGAATGATGGTCCACAATTTACTGATGAGGAAACAGAGATTCAGAGAAGTTCTACAATTTGCCCCAAAGCCACATAACATGACTAGGTGGGAACTAGAACCCAAGTCGGCCTGACTCCATGAGTTTTCTGCCTCACAGGAGATCCACTGGCTTAGGTAAGTCCTGGTGGTCAGTAGTCAGTGGGCATGGAGGCTATCTGGTTAATCAGCATGGGTGAGGGGAGGCATGCTCACCGCTGGCCTTGGGCACAGGGAATCCAGCAGAACGTGAGTGCTCACAGAGTGTGGCTTGAACTGGCTTAGGCTTGAAGTTCTGTGGACCCTGCTCTTCTCTGTGTTGGGCATTGACAACATGAGGAGCACAAGAGAGACACAGCGCCAGCTCTCTGGGAGTTCAGACATTAAATAAACACTCTGTTACATAAAGACAATTATGATGAGGGCTAGAAGGAAAAACATTGGGTCGAGATCTCTTCAGACCTCAGCAGAGGTCTAAAGGAAGTGAGTCGATGGCGAGGTGAATTATTAAAGGTGGGTTGGAGAAAAGTACATTCCAAGTAGAGGTAACAGCATGTACAAAGGCCCTGAGGCCAGGAAGAGGTTGTTGAATTTAGGGTTACAAAGCTAGAGTTTCCTGACTGAGGAGGGGACAGGGAGTGATGAGACCAGGAAGGCAGACGGGGGCTGAATGGGGCCCCTCTCTGGCTGTCTGATCCTGTTTTGTACAGGAGGCACCCTCTTAAGTGCTGCAGCCCTCATTGAGCTTACTGTGCTGACTCCGGCAGCCTGTGGGCTCTGATGCACTTTTTACATCCGTTTCTCCATTTTTTTGGGAGCTTCCTAACATGCAGGGTAAGGCTTCCTTGCTTTTACTTTTGCCTCTGGGTCTGGACCTCTAGGGGCTCAAGAAATCCCTGCCAACAAGAGCTTGAGTTTTCAGCCCGTTGCCAGGCCTGTAATCAGGGAACAGGACCCATTTCCTCCTGGGACTTCTGGGCCAGCATCCCAGGCCTCAGGTGCCTCCTTCCACCAAAGGAGGTGCAGGAAAAACAGGGCATGCAGAGGGTGTGGTCTGTGTGGGCTTCCCCCAGCTCAGCATATATATGGGTGCGTGGGTGTGAATGGCAATACGTGCAGCTGCGCTGTCTGGGAGGAGCAGCCCAGCACCCACACAAGCACACGCCTGTGACGTCACCCATGCTAGCCCTGCTCAGGCCTATTTCTGTGAACATGCATGCTTCAGCATGCCCTGGCCTACACTGTACCTGTGCCCATGCCCAGAGTCTGGGGAGAGTCCCAGCCCAACTGCCCCTCGGGACCTGTGGGTTTGGCCTCACAGCTGTTTATTAAATGACCACTTAGAACAGTGGTTGACATATAGTAAACACTATGGAACTGCTTTATCCACATTGTCTCATTTCTTCCTCATTACAGCCCTATAAGTGCTCTTATTATCCCCATTTTCCAGATGAAAAAACTGAGGCACAGAGCTAAAAGGCAGGATTCAAACCCAGGTAGTCTGGCCCCAGAGTCAGTGCTGTTTTGCTTCCCATGTATGTATGAACACTTTATTGTATATCCTCTCTCCTTTGTAAAATACCCCTACCTGATATGTTTTCTCTCTTTTTTTTTTTTTTTTTTTGAGACAGAGTTTCTCTCTCGTCGCCCAGGCTGGCGTGCAATGGCACAATCTTGGCTCACTGCAATCTCCGCCTCCCGAGTTCAAGCAGTCCTGCCTCAGCCTCCTGAGTCTCTTTTGATTTGGTGCTGTCACAGGTTGGGTTCTTTGGATGTGGACTCTGTGACAGGTTAGTGTGCAGTATGTTTATTGGGGAGTGGCCCTGGGATCAACACTCTGGGAGGTACTGGAAAGAAACAGGAGTGGGCACAGGGAAAACTAAACTGAGATGCAGGCCTGATGACAGTCTCAGCCAACTCCCAGGATCTCTGTTGTCTGGCACTAGCCTGGAAAGGAGTTGTAATGTCCTGGGAAGAGCCTAGCCTGGGCCAGATGGCACTCTGCAGCCAAGATGATCTTCGAGGGGCTGACAGCTGAAGATTTTCTGCTGACAGCTCTCCCAATAGTTGGGTCAACAAGTCCTTCTTTGAAGGGGATCTGGGTGGCACGTTGCTATGTCTACCACAAGTGTATTCTTTTTCAGCCCTTTAAAAATGTTTTGAGTACTTAAAAATAGAGAATAAAATATAGAAATAGGAGATGAGATTATAAGGAGGAGGACGATAATATGGTTTATGGGTTAATGTAGCTGATGTGATTGAGAATTAAACATGGCTGAGCTTCCTGATAGCCAAAACAATAACACTTTCTATTCTGTTAACTGGTTCTTTGGAGTAAAAAAAATTTCTGGGGTTAAATTATAAAAGAAGTTTCTCACCTGGATACTTATTTAGTTGAAATAGTGGAGAATGTTCTCAACTGGTTAATAGCAAATGCTGATGCCGTTTTCATTTGTTCCTTGTAATGGCCTTGAGTGAATATCGAGGGCATAATATACAAGTATAGCTCAGTGAAGCCCTTTTCACATTAGAAGGGTGCAGATTTATAGTCTTGCAGTGTCTAATTTGATCCATGTGTAAAACATTGTCCTTTTTCTTTAAACCATTTTTTTTTTTTTTTTTTTTTACTCTTGTCGTCCTGGCTGAAGTGCAGTGGCGCAATCTCGGTTCACTGCAACCTCTGCCTCCCGGGTTCAAGCAAGTCTCCTGCCTCAGCCTCCTGAGTAGCTGGGATTACAGGCGCGTGCCACCATGCCCAGCTAATTGTTTGTATTTTTAGTAGAGACGGGGGTTTCATCATGATGGCCAGGTTGGTCTCGAACTCCTGACCTCAGGGGATCCACCCACTGCAGCCTCCCAAAGTGCAGGGATTACAGGCGTGAGCCACTGCACCTGGCCTAAACCATTCTTTAATTTTTACTCAGTTTCTCGTGTTAGACATCTGAACAGCCCCTCCTCTGGGTTTGTGAGCCAGCCTGCACCTCAGCACACAGCCAGTACTACTTGCTAAGAACTAACCTCAGTGCACCTTGAACTCCACCCACAACCTGCTGTTTAGGCTCCTGACCCCTGGCCCCCAAATCTATCTGTGGCTCCAACTTAGTCATCAGGCCTCACACTTCTTAGGTCATGTCCACCTGCTTTCCTCCTCACCTGGGTTGTGTTATCTGTCCCTCAAGAGCCTCGTGTTCTCTCTCAAGGCAAAATCACACCTGGCTCGGCTGCTCCCAGGGACTGCTGTCTCCATTGACCTTGGTGTATCTCTGCTGATTGGCCCCCATAGTGGGACCCAGATGTTGAGGTTCTCCAGCTGGGCTGCAGATGTATCTTCTTCTGAAAGGTGGCAGGGACACTGTGACTGCATCACTGAGGCAACATATGGCAATAAAGGAAGAGAAGGGGAAAGCCCAGGCCAGGGCAGACCTGCACTTTTCTGTTTTTCTCTCTCCTCCTTGCAACACGCTTCACGGATGCATCCTCTAGAGCACTAAGACAGCACAGCTGAGTCAGAACAAGTTCCCACTCCAGCAGTGGGTACAGAAATGCCAACAGACCATGACAATTCAGTGTGATGGGGGCCATTGGAGCACTGAGAAGGGACACTTGGCTTTACTGAAACCTGTTAGTGTCTGTGGAGATAGAGCAAAGTGAGAGACTGTATATGCCTGAAAGAGATGGCCACTCCAGATACAAGGCAAACACTCATTTTCATCATAGGGTCACTCCAAGTTGTTTTGTGGGTTGTTTTTTTTTTGCAACTAAAATATAAACTTTTTAGAGATGCAAATGTCCACATATAATAGTTTATTTAGCTACAGGTACATACTTTAAATCACATATTTAAAACAATATATTGATTCACGAACATTGATTTTCCCCACACTCACATTTTCAGTAAACTATATTCAACTCTTCACATGAATCTTGGATTTCTGTATTTTCACCATGAGTCGCTTTTTGAGTCATCTAATAGAATCTCTCAAAGCATATCATCACTTTCCCTCCCTTCTAAGTTGAGAGAGAGAGCAAACAACTTTTTTTTTTTTTTGAGACGGAGTTTCGCTCTTGTTGCCCAGGCTGGAGTGCAATGGTGTGATCTCGGCTTACTGCAGCCTCCGCCTCCCGGGTTGAAGCGATTCTCCTGCCTCAGCCTCCCGAGTAGCTGGGATTACAGGCCCGCACCACCACGCCCAGCTAATTTTTTATATTTTTAGTAGAGATGGGGTTTCACCGTGGCCAGGGTGGTCTTGAACTCCTGACCTCAGGTGATCCACCCACCTTGGCCTCCCAGAGTGCTGGGATTACAGGTGTGAGCCACCGTGCCCGGCCAACTTTTTTTACTTAGATTTTTTTTTTACTTAAAAAATAATTTTTGTTGAGGAATAATTTACATATAAAATACATCCATTTTTAAGTGTAAAATTTGTGCTTTGACAAATGTATACCCTCATGTAACCTCCACCCAATCAAGATAGAGAATATTTCCACCACCCCAAAATGTTTCCTGGTGCGCCTTCGCAGTCAGTCTCCTCTGTCCCCATCCAGCAACCACTGATTGACTTTCTGTCACTACGGATTAGTGTTGCCTATTCTGGAATTTCACATAAATGGAATCATACAGTATGTACTCTTGTGTCTGCGTTCAGCATAATGTTATTTAGATTCATCCATGTTGCTGCAAAGGGAATACTTTCTGAATTAGTATGTGATGTTATCACTGAAAATTGTAACCTAAGCATAATTACCTTTTAGTATAACATTAAGATGTTGCTTTTCCCCCCTCAATTCCTCTATGGATATATACTAATAATCTTCAAAATAACCAGTTACTGTATTGCTTTAAACATGTTATGAAAAATCTCTGCTGGGCATGGTAGCTCACACCTATAATATCAGTATCTGGGGAGGCTGAGACAGGAAGATTGCTTGACCCCAAGAGTTGGAGACCAGCCTGGGCAACATAGTGAGGCCTTGTCTCTAAAAATATAAAAATAAAAAAATTAGCCAGGCATGGTAGCATGCACCTGTAGTCTCAGCTCTTCAGGAAGTTGAAGTCGGAGGATTGTTTGAGCCCAGGAGTTCAAGGCTATAGTGAGCTATGATCACACCAGTGTACTCCAGCCTGGGCAACAGAGGTGAGACCCTGTGTCTAAATAAAAAAGACATTTTTAAAGAAAAATCTTGGCCAGGTACGGTGGCTGGGCCGGGTGCAGCGGCTCACACCTGTAATCCCAGCACTTTGGGAAGCTGAGGTGGGCAGATCACCTGAGGTCAGGAGTTCGAGACCAGCCTGGCCAACATGGCGAAACCCGGTCTCTACTAAAACTACAAAAAAATTAGCATTACAAGTGGCACATGCCTGTAATCCCAGCTACTCAGGAGGCTAAGGCAGGAGAATTGTTTAAACCTGGGAGGCAGAGGTTGCAGTGAGCCGAGGTTGTACCACTGCACTCCAGCCTGGGCAACAGAGCAAGACTCCATCTCAAAAAAAGAAAAAGAATGGTTTTAGGTCTAACGTTTAAGTCTTTAATCCATCTTGAATTAATTTTTGTATAAGGTGTAAGGAAGGGATCCAGTTTCAGCTTTCTACATATGGCTAGCCAGTTTTCCCAGCACCATTTATTAAATAGGGAATCCTTTCCCCATTGCTTGTTTTTCTCAGGTTTGTCAAAGATCAGATAGTTGTAGATATGCGGCGTTATTTCTGAGGGCTCTGTTCTGTTCCATTGATCTACATCTCTGTTTTGGTACCAGTACCATGCTGTTTTGGTTACTGTAGCCTTGTAGTATAGTTTGAAGTCAGGTAGCGTGATGCATCCAGCTTTGTTCTTTTGGCTTAGGATTGACTTGGCGATGCGGGCTCTTTTTTGGTTCCATATGAACTTTAAAGTAGTTTTTTCCAATTCTGTGAAGAAAGTCATTGGTAGCTTGATGGGGATGGCGTTGAATCTATAAATTACCTTGGGCAGTATGGCCATTTTCATGATATTGATTCTTCCTACCCATGAGCATGGAATGTTCTTCCATTTGTTTGTATCCTCTTTTATTTCATTGAGCAGTGGTTTGTAGTTCTCCTTGAAGAGGTCCTAGGCATTACCATTCAGGACATAGGCATGGGCAGGACTTCATGTCTAAAACACCAAAAGCAATGGCAACAAAAGCCACAACTGACAAATGGGATCTAATTAAACTAAAGAGCTTCTGCACAGCAAAAGAAACTACCATCAGAGTGAACAGGCAACCTACAAAATGGGAGACAATTTTCACAACCTACTCATCTGACAAAGGGCTAATATCCAGAATCTACAAAGCACTTAAACAAATTTACAAGAAAAAAACAAACAACCCCATCAAAAAGTGGGCAAAGGACATGAACAGACACTTCTCAAAAGAAGACATTTATGCAGCCAAAAAACACATGAAAAAATGCTCACCATCACTGACCATCGGAGAAATGTAAATCAAAACCACAATGAGATACCATCTCACACCAGTTAGAATGGCAATCATTAAAAAGTCAGGAAACAACAGGTGCTGGAGAGGATGTGGAGAAATAGGAACACTTTTACACTGTTGGTGGGACTGTAAACTAGTTCAACCATTGTGGAAGTCAGTGTGGTGATTCCTCAGGGATCTAGAGCTAGAAATACCATTTGACCCAGCCATCCCATTACTGGGTATATACCCAAAGGACTATAAATCATGCTGCTATAAAGACACATGCACACGTTTGTTTATTGTGGCACTATTCACAATAGCAAAGACTTGGAACCAAGCCAAATGTCCAACAATGATAGACTGGATTAAGAAAATGTGGCACATATACACCATGGAATACTATGCAGCCATAAAAAATGATGAGTTCATGTCCTTTGTAGGGACATGGATGAAACTGGAAATCATCATTCTCAGTAAACTATCGCAAGAACAAAAAACCAAACACCGCATATTCTCACTCATAGGTGGGAATTGAACAATGAGAACACATGGACACAGGAAGGGGAACATCACACTCTGGGGACTGTTGTGGGGTGGGGGGAGGGGGGAGGGATAGCTTTAGGAGATATACCTAATGCTAAATGACGAGTTAATGGGTGCAGCACACCAGCATGGCACATGTATACATATGTAACTAACCTGCACATTGTGCACATGTACCCTAAAACTTAAAGTATAATAATAATAAAATTAAAAAAAAAGAAAAATCTCAAATGTGTCTACGTGTATAGTATAGTGAATGCCGACATACCCATCATCTAGCTTCAATAATGAATTGGTGGCCACTTTTGTTTCATGCCAAATTCTACCCACTAACCCCTCCCATATTATTTTGACCCAAACCTCAACTCTTATTATCCATTACTATCTCAATTTTTCTAAAAGACTGTGTGGTGTGTGTGTGTATAGATAGAATCTCACTGTCACCTAAGCTGGAATGCAGTTACAGTCATAGCTCACTGCAGCCTTGGGCTCCGAGGCTCAAGTGATCTTTCTGCCTTGGTCTCCCAAACTGCTGGGATTACAGGCATGAGCTAACTGCTCCTGGCCTAAAAGACTCCTTTAAAAACATTTGTGTGGGCCAGACACGGTGGCTCACGCCTGTAATCCCAGCACTTTGGGAGGCTGAGGCGGGAAGATCATGAGGTCAGGAGTTCGAGACCAGCCTGGCCAACATGGTGAAACCCCATCTCTACGAAAAATACAAAAATTAGCTGGGCGTGGTGGCAGGAGGCTGAGACAGGAGAATGGTTTGAACCCAGGCGGCAGAGGTTGCAGTGAGCCAGGATTTCGCCACTGCACTCCAGCCTGGGTGACAGAGCTAGACTCCGTCTCAAAAAAAAAAAAAAAAAATTGTGTGTGTATACACACACACACACACACACACACACACACACACACAGTACAATTATAAAATCTAAAAAAGTCTTTGCTATTTAGTGATTTCTAAGAGGCTTGTCTGAATGGAATTCTTGGGATTGTGAAAATTACTAAGTCTGTGTTAAATTTCTTTGTCTCCTTGTTTACTGATTTTTGTCAGGGGACTACTTATAAGCATCCAAAACTGGCCTGACTGAGGTCATTTCAGGGTAATGTGTTTTCTCTAAAAAGTGCTTTTTGGTTCAAAACAAGTTGATAGTGTCTCATTATTTGAAGAATTTCTAAGGAGTAAAATTTTTTCAGAAAATAAATTTTATGGTATTGAGGAGATGATTTTGGAGTAATTTACTGGGTGTGGAAACGAGAGGAGTGAAGGATGGTGGCTACCCTAGTTTCTGGGTTGGGGGACAGAGGATCTGGTGCCTTTCCCTGAGATGTGAAGCCCAGGCCCAACAGGCTTGGGGTGGTGGGTACTGAGCTCAGTTCTAGAGACGCTGAGATTGAGGTGCCCGTAGACATGCCCTGCAGAGGTGTAGTTGATAATGTGAGTCTGGAGCTTAGAAAAGGGCTCTAGGCTAGAGAGAAAGAGAAGTCATCACCTTTAGGTGCAAATGAAATCAGCTATGCTGAAGTAAGAATCATGGCACTTAGGACCTGATAGAAAAGGTGACTCAGAAAAAGCCTGATAGGGACAGGAGTAAAACCAGGAGAGGGTGGCATTGTGAAAATCAGAGAGAAGGTAGTGGTCACCTATTGAATGATTCCATTTACATGAAATGTTCAGAATGCAAATTTAGAAAGGTTAGTGGAGGCCGGGAGTGGGAATGTGGATTAACTGTAAATGAGCATAAGGGATCTTACAGGGAGATGAAAATGTTCTAAAACTGACATGGTTAATAGTTGCACCACTCAGCAAAGTTGCTAAAAATCATCGTACCCTCAAAATGATGGAAGGAGTGGTCAACAGTGTCCAGTGCCACAAAGACTCTAAGACGCAGAATGGAGAGCCCATGTATTGGTTTGGTTATCTAGTCATTGGCGACATTGGTCAGAGTGAAGAGAAGGAATTGTGGGCTCATGGGACAGAAGCTAGTTGCAGTGGGTGGGGGAATGACTGGATGGTGATGACTTATTGCAGGTGCTTGTTTGGGAAAAAAGGGAAAGGTAGTGGCTGGAAAGGGCTGAGGGTTGTGAAGGTTTTTTACTTTTCATGTTTTAATGTAGCAGAGGTCTGAAATTTGACAGCTTTTGGCAGGGAGAATGGAGAGACAGGACTTGCTGGCCAGATTTGGGGGATGGGAGATGAAGGTGAGGTAAGAGAGGAGAAAAGCCAAGTCAGCACAGAGATATCTGGCTTGGGTAGCACGTGGAAGCCCTTTGCCCACACCGAACTCGGGCATCATAGAAAGGCCTGATGGGAGGGAGTTTCTCAGACCCTGCCCATCTGGCCTGTTCTTGGACGTGGCTGGAAGTAAAACCTACTGGACTAGGCAAGTGGATAAGTTTATTCTTGACTCCTGGGTTAAGCATCCTTCAAGGTCCTTTACATCTGGCCCCCACTTACCTGTTCAGCCTCTTCTTTCATCCCCAGTGGCCAGGTCAGCTTCCCATTCTCTGGCTTTGGTCTCCCAGGCCTGCTGCCACTGTCTGGGATGCCCTTCTTAGTTGTGTTGAGCAGCATCTTGTTGCCCAGCATCTGCCCTCAGACTTGCAAGAGAGGTCCTTGCCAGAGAGGTAGGCATTACTTCCTGTTCATCAGCAAGGTCTTCTGCCTGCAAGGCCTCCTTACCTGACTTCTAGTTTTGGACCAAAGGTTGTCCCCTAGCTGTGGCATCTGAGGTCCACTTACACCAACCTACTTACCTACCAGCCACAGTGTATCAAATGGGTACCAAAAGAGCCTCTCTGTTGTATTCCCTACATTCAGTGGCCCAGCTACCTCAACACAGAATTCAAAAACACCTGGCTGGAGTCTCTCTGCTCCAAAGCAGTGATGGCTACATAACCTCCCTTATTCCCTGGGGTGAATGCTGCCTCTTTCACTGGTTAATAAAAATACAGGCTGCCAAGGACCTCCAGGATTCTCTGTTGTGGGCCTAGTACCAGCCCTGCCTCCAGCCTCAGGGAGAACAGAGACTATGGGTTCGCCTCCCCGAAGACACCTACCTGCTCGTGCTAACAAGCTAGAGGGCCCAGGGCCCTTCCATTAATTTACCAATTTTGACCCTTCTGGCCTTCCTGCTCCCTGCAGTCCATTTGACCTAGACAGAGACCTCACTTTCATTCTGAATTCCAGACTTACCTATAATTTAGGATGAGCAAAGGAACAATTTTTGTAGAGACCATAGCCAGCTAGGGTAACTGGAGCACCAGAAAGTGGTCAGAGACCACACCACACTGCCTTTTTCAATTAAGCAGTCAATGCAGGGAGAAGTTTGCATCCCATGTGGGAAGGGGCTTCTGGGATCTGGAACCTTAATTCTCCCCATCCTGATTGTAAGCTTAGCCACGTGAAAAAACCTAAAGCAGCTCCCTTCTGCTTCTGGCCAGTACACATGGAAAGCTCTCCAAAACTTTTGACTCAAATACAGCTGCAACATCCTGCTCAATATACTTTACCTACGCTAGGCCTCCGATGCTGTCTTTGCACCACACCTCTTACTGTGGATTTTTTGCACCCTTCCTTCCTTTCCTGTCTTTTATCTAAGGATATGGACTTTGGATCCTCTTTAACCCACACCCACAGCAGCAGGACAGGCACACAACACTCCTTTCCAGGCCAGGCCCTGCCTCATCTGCTCCTGGGAGGAATCTACTCTTGCTGACCTGAGTGGTGAGACCTCATCCCACACTAAGTCCCAGCCCCAACTCTGGCCTGAGGCCCTTTGTAACAAAGAGGCAGACACTTAAGTTTCCATTAAGTTGTAGGAATTTATTTTAAATAACCTACAGTTGATTAAAAGGGAATTCATGATAAAAATAGAAGATACTTGAGGAAAGATGTGGGAAATGGACTCTGCACACACACTAAACTAACAATGCCTCTAAAACTAATGATTATAGCAAAAAATGTCTTCACATTAAAATTCTGCTTTTTATGTTTTTTTCCATTTTTTACACAATTACAAAAGAAAAAATAAAAGCCCTAAAATCTTGATTATTTTTCCTTTTTTTGGACCAAATACTCATTTTCCTCTAAGTTTATTGACCTGTGAAACTTTTTATACAATAAAATCTTTCAAGTGAAAGATTAGGGTTAAAAAGAAAAAGATGGATATCTTAAAGGGTACAGCGAATGCTCAGAACAAAGGATGATGGGAAAATGGTTTCAGTCACTGATTATTTCATTATCCTTAGATTCACTCGCCCTTCATCCCTCCCCAACCCCAATCTACACGATCTTTAAGATCAAGAAAAAGGTTTAAATATTTTAAAATAATTAAAAAGAAATAAAAATTCACATTTAAAAAGGAACACTCAAGTCAGGAAATATTTTCCCATCATGCTTTTTCTGTGAACAGGTGTCTGAACCAAAACACTGCCAAAGCCACGACTGCTTCAAGTTTAATGAAAATTGATCCCCATGACAATAGAGAGTGACGACTCTAACAGGTGCGCTGGGTTTTTTGTTCTACTTAATTTTAAATTCCTGAAATGGGAGAGAGGGAAGGGAGTTTAGGAATTTATTTCTATTAAAATATAGAAGTTATTGCAAAACCCTAACTGTAAAAACGCACCAATATAATCGGACTTTGCATACAGTAGCTAAGAGAATCCAAACATTTCAGTGAAACAGTGAATTTGCCTGGTAGAACGCTGACAAATTCCCATCCACTTGCCCTCTTGAAAATAAAAACAAAATTCAAAACAAATCATACAGCTAGAATTTTGATATCTGAAATATTTTTAAATAAGTTGTCCATAGGACAACTGGCTCAGCTCTCCCTTATAATATCTCCAGGTTTATCTTTTCGCAAAGATGTTGGTTTGTTAAGACTTGCTGCCTCTCTCCCCCAGGCACGAGGGCAAGTGAGGCTCAGTTTATCCATCTTTCCCAAACCACACTGTTCCTCTTCACAGAACTCTGCCTCTTGAGACTGGCTAAAACTCATAGTCTTCATCAGCCATGTCAATGGCCCAGGCAAACTTCTCCCGCTGGGTTTTGTTGTAAATCTTCTCAATTGGGACACCCCACTTCTTGCACCTGCAAACAAAGGAGAAATAAGGGGGGGATTAGGGTGACTCAGCAATGGCCCATATCTGAGGCCCAGGGTCAGATGTTCCATCTTCTCTTTCACATCTGTCTAGTGAGGATGCAAATTAATAGTGCACCAAGCATGTTCTAAAGGTTTTATGTGATCAACTCATTTAATCTTGGCAGTGATCTCTAAAGTAGGTGCTTCTGCAGATGTACAAGTGAAAAACGTACAGATGAAACTGAGGCAGAGACGTTAGGTAATTTACTGATTTTCTCACACAGCTAGCTGGTAAGTGACCTGAAATTTGAACCCAAGCAGTTTTTCTCCATGTTCTTAACCACTATACTATATTGCCTTTTAAGAGCTAACCAAATCTCTAGCACCAAACAAGGCAAAACGAGCAGAAAGAGGTACAAAAGACCTAGATGGAAACTTTAGCCCGGACTAGCAAGTGCCATAGGGGAGGATATCTCCACCTATGCTCAGAACTTAACAGCTCAAACTAAACATCTTCCATAACAAAGCCACTTGTTTCAGATGTTATGTGACACTGTGTGTGACACACAGAGAAACCTAGTATTTATCTGCTTTTGTTAAAGGTCCCTCTGCCTCTCTGTGTAAGTTGCTCAGATCTGTATTCTCATCTTTATCTCTTGTTCCTACCTTCAACTGCAAAAAAATTCAACGAAAAGTTTTGTTGAAGTGTAGAGATGGATGGGCTCTTTCCTATTCTTCCAGAAGCTAAGAGTTTCCATTCCTGTCCTAAAGTTCCATTAGGAATAGGGATGGCACCTGCCTCTTAAAAATATACACTACAAGGCAGTGTAACAGCACTGACCATTTAGGAGCAACCAGAATGTTGCAATGCATTTACAGACAAGGTTCAGCAACCAGAGTAACTTGTACACAGCTGAAGCCAGAAGTTTCCCCAGAGGACTAAAGTGTGTAGCTTAGGAATGGCATGTGAAGGCCACCAGTGCTCTCGGAACCCCCTCCACCTTTCTTAAGCTAGCAGCAGGAGCTCAAGGAGGGCTCAACACTTACCAAGCCACTGTGATCCTAGGGTCCAGATAATTGAGTTTGGAGGTTCCCAGGGCAATCTGTTTATTTTCCTCTCGGTCTGTGGCTTGAACTTCCAGCTTCATCAACTGTTCCTCCAGTCTCTGAACAGCCTTCTTCTTTGACTCTACTACCCTAGAAGAATAGCAAAGTCCTCAAGAACCAGGCCTGGGCTCTAGACAAGAGCACACTGTACCCATCCTGCCACTTTGAGTCAATAAAAGCCCTAGTATAGAGATTTCCAAAAGACATTTCTCAGAAACCATCGAAAAGCCAGGGCCCCAGGGGCCCTGACAGATGCTGCACACTTTTCTCTACCAGCCCCAACTTTCACAATACCAGGTACATACTTCTTCGTCTTTGCATCCTTCATGACCTTGGCATCAGCCTTAGCACTTTTCAGGTCTCTCCGGGCATCTGCTAGCTGTTCCTTCTTGGCATCAATCTAGGGGAAATAATAGTGGTAAGGTTATGAGCTGTAGAGGAAAAATGGCTCCACCTGAGAAGGTGAAACCAAGATGTTATCTGGACCAGGCTGTCTCTGTCAGTGGTTTGTCAGATAAAAAAAAACAAGGGTGGCTTCATGAAGGCAGGGAGAAGATGCACAAGGACTAGTGAATTCAACTATTTGTTCTTCAGTGATCTGGAAAGAAACAAGGGTTTTACAGGGCAGTAACCTAGGGGCTCAGGGAAAGGAACCCGCTGGGGCTGGGAATCTGGGTGCTGATCTTTCCATCAGAGAACACTCTGCTGTCATACATCTGGGAGGATGGCTACAAATGACAGCTGTTTATCAAATAGATCCTGTGCCAGTTCTTAGCTTTCATTCTAAGAACACTGTAGGAGCTCCTCTTTAGGAAACTGAAGCAGGATACTTGCATCTACTGGGCAACCCCAGCTCGTTCCTCAGATCCCACCAGTACTCTGGGAAGGCGGTGCCAGCTTCTCAAGGAAAATGGATGCACTGAAGAGAGTACTCAAGGGGCTACAAACTGGCAATTAAAAGACACCCAGGAAGCCAAACAGCTCAGCCAGTCTGTCCCAAACCAGGACATGGCAGGGCTTAGCTTTGGCATTCTGTTTTTAAAAGGAGAGCGGTCACCAGGCGCGGTGTCTCACGCCTGTAATCCCAGCACTTTGGGGAGGCTGAGGAGGGCGGATCACAAGGTCAGGAGATCAAGACCATCCTGGCTAACACGGTGAAACCCCGTCTCTACTAAAAATACAAAAAATTAGCCAGGCGTGGTGGTGGGTGCCTGTAGTCCCAGCTACTCGGGAGGCTGAGGCAGTAGAATGGCATGAACCCGGGAGGCAGAGCTTGCAGTGAGCCGAGATCATGCCCCTGCACTCCAGCCTGGGCAACAGAGCGAGACTCCGTCTCAAAAAAAAAGGAGAGAAGTCTGAGGTGGGAAGGACCTTAGTTGTCACTCAATGGATGTGAAAACACTTTTAGCTGTGGAGCTTTTTTCCCCATGTGAACTCTCATGGAATCCATATCTATAAGGGAAGAGACAAGGGCAGTTTCAGCCTTTCTTGCTTGTTAGAATCTTTGAAGCACCCCTGGTGAATCTAAGTTCTTCTCAGATTCCTGCTTAGAGACAGCAGTGGATAACAACATGGAGCTAGAGCCCCTGTCACTGAGCTCACGCTACTCAGAGGGCAGGAGAACCCCATACCTATGGTCATCTATGTGAGGTGAAGACAACCTCTACGGAGTAAATAACATGTCTGACACACACTGGGCTGCTCACTGAACCTGGAATTGTTTGTTGTTAGATACACACAGCCCAAGATTGGAAACAGAGGCCACCATTGTGAGAGGATCACTAAATATGTTTTACTATGAATGGCTTACTTCCAACATCTATGTTGTCCAAAGCCAAACTGAGGGGACTGATTCTATATACAAAAGCATCACAGACACCACTAGCCAGATTCTTTTTAGGATAGAAATGTAGCAAACCATGATCTTTTAACCATTTCTGTGAATGCTAAATTGGCAGGCTATGTCAAATTCTCTCAAAGCATCAAAGACTCCATTGATTCACTTGGCAAACAGGGGCGTGTGTTTGCTTTGTGGGCACACAGGAGAGGAATCCTGGGTTTGGAGGGCTCATCTGGCAGGCAGCCTGGGCTGCCCAAACCCGGTTCCAGAGCGAGAGCAACAAAAGACCTCCTCATGCTCCTGGGAGGGGTTTTCCTGAATTAGGTAAACAGCACCTGAATATTCATGCTTTTATTTCTGGCTTGTAATGATAACATGAGGAGAATAAACAATTCCAGATGACCAGCATTTAACAGAGTGGCAGCAAATGTGAGCTGCTAGGATGGGCCGTCTATAGAGTTCTTTGCCTGCCAATCATATGATCCAAGGAATCAAAGGTCTATGGATGTATACTCATTCACTGTGGACATGTACGTCTCTTCAAGAAAGCCAGATGGCATCTGTAGCATAAATTATAAGTTGTGTGTACCTTTTGAACCAGCTATATTACTCATGGGTACTTATCTTAAGGAAATCTCAACAAATGGAAAATATTCTGGGCCTTAAAATGCAGTCTCATTCCACAGTAGTAGTTCTTAAACTCCAGTTGTACAAGTATAGAATTCCATGAACTTGGATGAGAAAAAATCTATAATTTCAATAACCTCTTTTTGGAACTTATTTATATTTATTTTTAAATTTTTAATACAGACAGGGTCTCACTATGTTGCCCAGGTTGGTCTTGAATTACTCAGCTCAAGTGATTCTCCCACCTCAACCTCCCAAAATGCTGAGATTACAGGTGTGAGCCACTGCACCCAGCTTCTAGCTGAAATTTAGTATTTCTTCTTCAGTTATGAATATGGGGAACAAACCATAGTAATAGCAGCAGCACTTATGACTTTATCATCAATAGATGTTAGACATCTTCATTTCATATTTGAATTGCTGCAGAAATCTTAAAGTATCATTGATATTAATTAATTACTACCTTGAAATTTACTACAGGCCACCTCAAGACCTTAATAAGGAAGCACATCTATTATCGGACTTTAAAATGTATTTTGATAACTGTATTTCAATATAATTTGTTTCCTTTTTAACCCTGTGTATCTGTTCTATAATGAAATATCTGCAAATTCTCACTGTGGACCACCATGTTAGGATGAATTAGTTATGAAGTCACTGCTAACACAAAAATGTTCATCATCAAATGTTAAGTGCCTTATGGTTTAAAAGCTCAGTACCAGGCGGAGTTAGGAGGAGGAAAGAGGCTCAGGGACAAGGAATAGCACCTATTTGCACACCAGTCTTTCCCTTTAGGGCAGCAAGTTGTCTGGCACACGGCCAGTATTCAACAGATGTTTGATGATGAACTATATAAAAATATGATTCATGTGGAATGCGTAAAAATAAAAATAGCTATGCTAGGATTTGAAAGACTTTAAATATATAATTGTTTCATCATCTTTTCAATTTGAAACAATCTAATTTGGAAATGGCTGTATTTCTGGGCTGTAGCAAGGAATTATGAAGACTCTCTTTAAATCCACTTTCCTCATGTACAATAAGGACAGTAATTAGCAATTAGAATGTACACCAAAGTTAGTTTTTCAAAATAGGGAGTGGCCAGTATAGAACTTCTATGCGTAGAATAAAGATTTCTTGAATAATGGATACTCTGATATTCAGTATCTTGATCAGAGATTAACTACTATCATATTTCCATTTGTTTATCTTTAGCATAGACCTTCTACAACAGACCCAGCACTGGCCTGCTGATATCTCAGCCCTGAATCCTCTCATTCGCAGATAATCTGCCCACAGCAGACACAGTTCCCTTCATTTTATCCAAGATACCTTAGTTTGCAAGTTCATCATAGACTTCTCAAAAGTTTTTGGTGGTGCCCTCTGATGGTTACAAAGAATTGCAACAGCTCGATTGGCACGGTTATAAGAAAGGATCTTCGCTGGGATGTTCTCATCCGCTGTAAAGAAAGGAACATGGTAGCAAGAGGGTCAGTTTGTACACCAAAAGTGAACACACAGTATGTCTTCCCCCAGTGCCTCGTCCCCATGATTTTGCTGGCTCTTATCTTACTCAGATGATTAATTCAAATTGCCCCCAAGGACTAAGGTCAAAATTTGAGTCAACAGTCTTAAGAAAATGATAGTAGGAAGTTTATATGTAAGCTTGGCCTGGGTAAATTCCTATCACAAGAGGAACTCTGAGTCTAGGTAATATAATAAAATCTACACCTTTCTTTTTACTCAGGGAACTTGGCTAGGGACCCTTCATCTCCTTGCTTCCTCCCCACCCATATGCTCATCATAGGTGCTGCTGATATTACTATGGTTTGTTGCCCATATTCATAAGTTCTATACTGGCCACTTCCTACCTCCCCACCTCTCCACCCAATGTAGCCAGAACAGAACGAGGAATTGAAGGGACGTTAAAAGTTTAAAAATTTTGGCCGGGCGCGGTGGCTCACACCTGTAATCCCAGCACTTTGGGAGGCCGAGGCGGGCGGATCACAAGGTCAGGAGATCGAGACCATCCTGGCTAACACGGTGAACCCTGTCTCTACTAAAAATACAAAAAATTAGCCGGGCGACATGGCGGGCACCTGTAGTCCCAGCTACTCGGGAGGCTGAGGCAGGAGAATGGCGTGAACCCCAGGAGGCGGAGCTTGCAGTGAGCCGAGATCGCGCCACTGCACTCCAACCTGGGTGACAGCAAGACTCCGTCTCAAAAAAAAAAAAAAAAAAAAAAAAATTAAGCCACAGTTGGTAGTATTATTATGGTTATTATTATTATTTTAGAGATAGCGTCTCACCCTGTCACCCAAGCTGGAGTGCGGTGGTATGGTCGTAGCTCATTACAGCCCTAAACTCCTGGGCTCAGCCTCCCAGGTAGCTGGGATGACAGGTGCACACCGCCACACCTGCCTAATTTTTAGAAATTTTAGTAGAGACAAGGTCTCACTACATTGCCCAGGCTGGTCTGGAACTCCTGGGTTCAAGTGATTCTCCTGCCTCGGCTACCCAAGTGTTGGGATTACAGGTGTGAGCCACTGCACATGGCCTGGTAGTATCTTATTTAAAAAGAAAAATTAAAAATGCCATCCAAAAAAATTGTTTTTATTTGTATAGTGTGGCATTCTTTATACCACCTTAAAATACTGACCCTCAACATACCTACCTCTGGCTTTTCTGGTTCATATTCTAAGGCCATCTGATGTATTTACAGAGGGCAGTGGAAATTCAATAGTGACTGGGCTCCAGGAAAAAAAAAGCCCGTGGATCTTGGTGATAATATTCTAAAAATCAGCTATAGAAAGTATCTACTCTCTTATGGGAAAAAAATGACAGAAACCTCAAGGAAAGGACTTGTTCCTGTATTTTTCTGGTAACCATGACAACTTTACTCTCTCCAATTTAACAGAACATCACAGCACTGTCTTCACTCTGTGGGCTTTTAAGTAATATATGTATAAAACACAAATGCAGGCATTTTTGTAGCAGGTGAAAAGCTGTCAGCATTCCATGAAATTAATCTTGAAGTTGGGGTGGGAAGGGGGAAACAGCATTGATCCTATGTTTATACAACAAAGCATTATCTCGCTACTAGAGGTCTAAAGGGAAAAAGTGTCTGACCACAATGGTAGGGAAAAAAAGTAGAACTGACTCTAGGCCTTAGATAAGCAAGGTCACCGGATACCATTAGTAGGGGTGTGGGCCCTATCTGGCCAAGCAATACTTACGGGCTGTCAGTTCTTTTAGCTGCTGCTGTAGCGTGATGGAGGCATTGTATGTACGGAATACCTTGGCTGTCAAGCCCTCCATGAGATCCTGAAGATGCTTATTCAGAATACCAGTCTGGAGGAGACAAAGCAACAGATTTAGGTCAAAGCTATACTACCTGCTCCTTCTGGCAGCCCTAGGAGTAATTTATGCCAGTGCAGTCACAATCTTGTCAAGTTTATTGCCCTACAAGTGGGAAGTTAGGGAAAGAGGAAAAGAATTCCAGAATACAGGGTTACATGATGCCTCTCTATGAAGTATTTCAATCTTTGTGTGTGTGTATGACAGGGTCTCACTCTGACACCCAGCCTGGAGTGCAGTGGTACAATCTCGGTTCACTGCTGCCTCCACCTCCCGGGCTCATGCAATCCTTCTGAGGCTCCTAAGCAGCTGGGACTACAGGTGTGGACTACCACACCTGGATAATGGTTTTGCCATGTTGCCCAGGCTGGTCTCAAACTCCTGACCTCAAGGGATCTGCCCTACTTGACCTCTCAAAGTGCTGGGATAACAGGCGTAAGCCACCAAGCCTGGCCCAGGTTGGTGGGCTTAACAAACCAATAAAGCAAATTTTTCCTTCCCTATTAAGATATCAGGGACAGGTTTTGGGTCTCCAGCAGGGGTGGCTGGGCATTCAGTGAAGGGAAAGCTCTGCAGGAGCAGGGAAGGATAAAAGGTAGGGCTCATCTACCCCCCACCCTGAGTGCTTTAGCAGTTGTTCTGCAGCAGATGTGTCTTCTCTTGACTACAGATTCACCGTGGACTCAGAGGGAGGAAGAGAGAGTGTATGGGATGCCACAGAGCAGGCCAGGCTAAAGGGAGAGCCCAAGTCATCTGCCAGCAACCCTCCCCTTTAGGTACTGTGAGGCTCTGGCTGGGACTCCCTTCAACATTGTGTGCTTCATCTACTCACATTGAGTCTATCAAAAAGATCATCCTCGGGCTGCTTGTTCTCCATAAATAGTTGTAGGTTCTTAAAAACCTAAAAGATATAAGTGAATCCTAATTATTACTCTTGAAAAAAATCCTAACTTTAGAAATAACCCCAAACTTAAAGAAACTTGCAAAGAAAAAGGCACAAGGAACACGCATACATCCGTCACCGAGATTCACTGTTAACATTTTACCCCATTCATCATTTGCACAGTGTGCATGTATGCTCACTCTCTCCATGTGTATATTTACAGATATATATACATAATTGTTTGTTCTGAGCCATTTATAAGCACTTACTTATAATATGGTCCTAAAGTACATTTATAAGTACTTACTTATAATATGGTCCTAAAGTACATTTATAAGTACTTACTTATAATATGGTCCTAAACATTTCAGTGTGTATGTTCTAAAAATAGATATTCCCTTACATTTACACAGTATCAGCTTCAAAAATTTACATTGATACATACTGTTATCTAATCTGTCCAGAGTACTTCCACAGCCAGCAAAACCTGATTACTGATTATGGTGTCCTTATGAGAAGAGGTGTCTTTATAAGAAGAGGACTGCTGGTGGGCTGGATTATTAGGATCCTGCACACTGTAAGTCTCTGGTTCAAGCCCAATACTATGGAAAAGATTAGGTTGGGACTACAGAGCTATAGTACCCTCTTCAGTGATGGGCTCAGAGATCTGGGGACTAACATTAACCTTTCACTCAGTCAGGAGTTGGAGAAAGGCTGAGCAAAGATGAAAAGTGACAAATGTACCACATGACCAGGGGATACTAAGATATAGTTAAATCATATGCTGAGTTTGCTCTAAGGGCCTATTCTACAGCATGCTCCATTGAATACTGCTATAGGAGAAGGCCACTCCTTACCAGGAAGGTAGCACAGGGCGGAACAGTGACTAAAAGGAGGTACACAAGATATCAAATAATACCTCTCCCCTCTTTCAAGTCATTTATTTTTATTTATTTTAATATGAGAGGCAAGGTCTCACTATTTTGCCCAGGCTGGAGTACAGTGGCTATTCACAGGTGTGATCACAGCACACTACAGCCTCAAACTTTTGGTCTCCAGTGATCCTCCTGTCTCAGCCTTCTGAATAGCTGGGTCTACAGGCATGTGCCATGTTGCCTGTCTCAAGTCACTTTTGCTGGTGCCCAGCAAAGTGCAAAGCACACAAAAAAGCAGTCAACCCATGCTTGTTGAATAATGGAAAACAAGTCAGACAGTACAGGTACATTAACTTACTCGTTTCTCAACAGGGACCTTGTTATAGTATCTGATGGAGTCCTTCCCGAGGAAGTCAAACTCTACCACATATTCCTGACCATCCAACTCTGGGTGTAGATTGATGTGCTCCACACGAAGTGAGCAGCAGCCCACAGTGTCCGCTGTTTCTCCTTCCTCCTTTTCATTGCCTGCTCTCAGAGCAAGCTGCCCAGGAAAGAAAGAAAAGATGAGCATGAATGGAAGAGACATGATCCTTACACAATTTCGTTCTGTGTTTTTTTTTTTTTTTTTTTTGAGACAGTCTCGCTCTGTCGCCAGGCTAGAGTGCAATGGCGCAATTTTGGCTCACTGCAAGCTCCGTCTCCCGGGTTCATGCCATTCTCCTGCCTCAGCCTCCGAAGTAGCTGGGACTACAGGCGCCCGCCACCACGCCAATTTTTATTTTTTTTTTTTTTTTTGTATTTTTAGTAGAGATGGGGTTTCACCACATTGGCCAGGATGGTCTCTTGACCTCGTGTTCCACCTGCCTTGGCCTCCCAAAGTGCTGGGATTACAGGCGTGAGCCACTGCGCCCAGCCTTTTGACCCTTATGCAATTTCTAGGCATCCAAAACAGAAGCCTCCCAATTCTGTTTGAAGCCACAGCATCAGTCAGCATGGCCTGGGAACTCTGGATTCTGCAGTGTTACTTCCTCCCCCACTCACTATGAAATCTATAGGGATGTTAAATATTCATGCTCCTTTTCTTTCTATTCTGTCCTCTGAAATAGGGATGGAGAAAAGGAAAAAAAAAATTAAATAAGGCAGCAAATGAGGGAGTGCTGCTACTCTGGGCAATCAAACTCAAAAAGCTAGTGTGAATTTTGAGACAATTCAGAACTTATGTTAAAATACAAGACTGGGGGAAAAACATGAACTTTTTTTTCTTCTCGTGAGTACCAAGAAATTGATCTCCTCTAGAGCGTGGTCTTTAAAACTATATAATGGTGATACCTGCATGGTTTATTTAAACAATTTTATAAGTTATAACCAACTTTCTAAAGGAATGAAATAGAGTTAAAAAAAGATCAGAATCTACTGCTCACAGTAAGGCTAAGCATTGTTTTGTGCAACTTTTGATTCAGTTTTACATACAAATATATGTATGTTGAGTTGTGATATACAGTATGTGGCACAGGGCCTGGGGCAGAGCAGAAACTCCCTTTGTTAAGCTCAACACTAGACAATGCCGATGGGAAGATGCTCTCACCTTGTCGATGAAGTACAGGGCTACAGCTCTCTGCCGGACTTTCATCTCTTTGGACTTCCAGTCTTCTCGATACTGGTTCCGGATCTTGTCCACACATTTTTTCAGCCGCCGAGCAGTCTCGTATTTCTGCCAGTCCTTCTCACCCTGTAAAGACCCAAACCCAAATGTAGATTACTTTGGGACAGTGTAGTAAAGACAGACTTTGAATATAGCCAGGCAAGGTGGCGCAAGCCTATAATCCCAGCTAGCTAATAGGGAGGCTAAGACACAAGAATTGCTTGAACGCAGGAGGCAGAGGTTGCAGTGAGCCAAGATCACGCCACTGCACTCCACCATGGGTGACAAAGCAAGACTTTGAACAAAAGAGCAGGAACTTGACCTTAAGCAAACGTAAAAAAGAATAGTACTGAAGAGAGAGTTTGGCACATTTAACCTGTTAAGAATGCACATTGTCCCATCTCACTGCCAAGCACAACTGACTTCTAAGGCTTTCCCAGAAGAAAGTTTCTAGCTCTAATTCTCTAAAATGTTTATGTTCCTGGGAAAAACCCACATGGGATGTCCCAAAAACTAACTTCTGTCAACACAAAGCACATAATCACCCCCATTCCCACATCAATTTCACAGCCTTGCTGCCAACTCTGTGACCCAATAGCAGTTTTCTACCAGGACTGAATTCCATTAAATCTAAGTGAATTCCATTAAATTACAGTGTGGTGGAGCTGTCAAAGAAGCAGAACCAAAGACTACAACATGTAATTACTAAGGACACAATGACTTCCAGGAACAGCCATAATTATTCACCATTTTCTAACTTCTGCATTTAAAAGCATTTCTTGATGAGATTGAGAGAAACTATGTTTCTGGGAAGCCTTTAAAAAAATAAGAGCTTTTGGTGGAAGGGTTAAAAGTTGATTCTAAACCCAATGAAGGGTTACTAAAACCATGTGAAAACTGAATCTAAACAATAGTGAAGAAGACTTCTGCTACCAAGCTGAATGAAAATAGACTCACAAGCAAGAGCCAATTATGACAAGTGAGAAGGGGAAAAAAATTCAAGAAATCCAGAAGCAGGGAATTACATAAAACAGCATAAAACAGACTAGATGACATAAACATAGAGAAGGAATTTAAGAATCCAAGAATCTCTGCTCTTAATTTCCCCACCCGCAACAAAGGAAAGTGGTAGTGATTTCTGCCCACACATGCCTGGTTCCTGACTATGACGTGGACCCGTGGTCCTTGAGACATAAGACCTGTGGTGAAGATAACCAGCCTTTCAGCCTGGGCAACAGAGCATGACCCTATCAAAAAAAAAAAAAAGGGGGCGGGGGGTGGGGTGGGGGCGCAACCAGCCTTCTGGGTGTGCAGAAGCATGAGATACCTAGAGCAAGAATGTCTTCCACTTCTCAATCCTAAAAGTACTCAGAAATTAAAAGCTTACACAGTTAAGCTAAGGAGTCATCTGCACTCTCACATCATGTGTACCAGTGTTATGCACTTGTTTGGCTACAAGAGTTTCAGTAACTACCTGCTATCATGGGTGGGTGATTTAGTAGTTGGTGACACAGAAAAAATACCTAAGTCTTAGTACATTTTGACATTTAACAGGGTGAATAAGAAAAGGTGAGATATAAGCTGTCCTCATGCACAAGTCAGTAGTAAATCTCCATGACAACTGTTCTTACACATGCACGGAAAAATTGGACACAAAAGGCTCACCTTCAACAGTAGAGTACCCAACTCTGGAGTGGCCTCTTTCCCCTCACTCTAGTGCACATGGACTACCAAAGCCTGTCTCAAAGTCCCCTAGGGTTACGTTTGCTCAGTTCCTTAGTCACACCACTGGAATGTAAGGTAGGAGTCAGGTAAACGAGATTTAGAAAAACCCAACCCGCACGTCATTCACAGGATACTACCAGACCAACTTTTCTTCACAGGCTGGCTGGGCTTCTGCACCAAGGATCTAGGATTCTCTCAAATAAGCTGAGATGGAGGTGGAGGCAGAAGCCACCCCGCTTAGATCCAGCAGGAGATGGCTGGCCTCCAAGAAGTATGCTTGTCCCTGCAGTGTTCAATGCCCTGAACAAGCTTTCTTGACTACTTTTAGAAAATAAACTATCCACCTAGGTCTTCCAGGCAAGGTCTCACAAAACCATCTCAAGAAGACAAGGAATCCACTGGAGAAGGCTGCCTTTGACCACCTCTCCTCTTTCCCTAATTCAATCACACTTCAGTAATGGGTAAAAATCTAATTTAACTGATTGTAGATGACATTCTTTGGATGACTTTTTAAAACTAGTAGGCCCACTATATTGTCTCTCTAATATAGCTGCTATCCATTCAGCAGAGTGGTTGGGTGGAATCAGGATCTGGATTCAAGATTACAAAGTTGGGGGTGAGAAGGCAAATTGGATTCTGTTTTCTAGTAACTTTCTCAGACGTTTGTAATGGGGAAGAGGACATTTGCCAGTATTCTTACATGACTATTTCCCTTCTCAGTCAATTTCCACCAAGCAACCACTGATCCTTCAATCTGATTACTATCATCATGGATAAATTTTGCCTAGTCTAGATTATATAAATAGAATCATACAATATAGACTCCTCTGTCTGCCTTTTTAACTTTTTTTTTTCCCTCTGAGACAGCGTCTCGCTCTGTCACCAGGCTGGAGTACAGTGATGCAATCTCGGCTCAGTGCAACCTCTACCCCTCAGGTTCAAGCGATTCCCATGTCTCAGCCTCCTGAATAGCTGAGATTACAGGTGTGCGCCACCCTCGGCTAATTTTTGTATTTTTTTGTAGAGACGGTGTTTCGCCATGTTGGCCAGGCTGGTCTCGAACTCCTGACCTGAAGTGATCCACCCGCCTTGGCCTCCCAGAGTGCTTGGATTACAGGCATGCACCAACCGCACCTGGCCCTTAACCATGTTTTTAAGATTCATCCATGTTGTTGAATACATAAGTAGTTCCCTTCTTAACTGCTGATAAATATAGTATATTCTATGACTATACCATAATGTGTTATCTATTCTGGGATGTTTCCAGTTTTGCACTCTTATGAATAGAGCACTGCTATGAACATTCTTGTACAAGTTTTTTCATGGATAAATGTTTTTATTTCACTTGAGGTAAAAATACCTAGAACTGGAATTCGTATCTCCCTGTGGTTAAATCTTCACTCCACTGATAATTAGTGATGTCGAGCACTCTTTCATTTGCTTATTTATTGACCATTCCTGTATCTTCTTTTGTATAGTATATGTTCAAGTCTTTTGCTCTTTTTATTATGCGGATGGGATGTCTGTTTTTTTATTATGGAGCTACAGGAATTCTTTGTATAGTCTGGATATAAGCCCTTTCAGATAAACATGTTGCAAATATTTTCTTTTAGTCTGTAAATTCTGTATTTATTTTAGCAGTGTCTTTTGTTGAACATAAATTTTTAATTTTAATGAAGTCCATTTAGTCAATTGTTTCTCTTGTTGGTGTTTTTCTGTCCTAAGGAATCTACTCTAAGGTCATATTCAACCATGATATCACCTACAAGCTTTAATATTTTAGTCTTCACACTTAGGTCTATGTTAGTCTTACTAATAAATAGATTTAAAACGTTTTGAATTTTATACCAAGATGCCAGGCTCAGAATATATATATATTTTTAATGAGCTTGTGTCTTATTTTCTCTAATAGAACTCACCAAAATGAGAGCTTCCCAAGATGAATATTGTAAAGATACTTTCCTTCACATTTAGCCCTTTAATCCCTAGGTGGTTACATATAAAAGGTTGTAAGCACATACATTTTTGGAACCCCACAGAATTCTAGACTCTAAAGAGAAAAAAGGCAGAAGTGTGTATTTGGCACTGAGAGTATTTTAACAGGACTAAACGCAATACGATGTCAACATTGATCCTAAAGTTTGCTGTACTGCATTTGAAAGAAAAATCATGATGATAAATTCTGTTTGTAAGGTTAAGGCTGGTTTGAAAAAACCTGAATTTTACTAAGGGCTACTTTCCCTGGGTTGTGAGAGCAGGTAATGCTTCCAAACTTGGCAGTGGATTGTACTTAGCAGTGAGTACCCATAAGCAGCCTTTTTGTAAACTCCTAGATTATGCAGGATAAGAAACTCCTGGGTTATCTGGAATCAGAGTTTCTTTGGTTGAAACTGCAGGTTCCAGAAGGCTAGCTGTCATTCCAATGCTATTTCAGATCCTACGGGCACCAGGCACAGAGTGGGAGAGAAAGAATGGAAATATGCTTGCAAGATGTCTGTGTAATCAAAATCCTGGGGGGAAAAGCAAAAACAAACTGGGATGAACATAAAAAGATATGAATGAGTTCAGGACAACCTTTTCAGTACCTAGAGCAAGTGTTATTGTGGTTCTCAAAAATCCCAATCCTTTCAATGACCTTTGAGGCTAGAAGTAGTGTAACTGTGACAGTGACTGCAAGTAGGCCAATCCAAGTTTCCAGAAAGGGGGCAAAGACAGGATACATAAAAAGAACACACTTCAGCTGTTCTACAACTTTGTGCTTTTTACCCCTGAATGATTCCTTTAATTTTTTAAATTGTCGAAAATTCATAGTTCACATCATGCTTGTGCTACATTTCTTGATAGAGCACAGATGGGATACAATGATACACTATTATGTGAGGGAATTAAGTAAGTAAAATATAGACACAAGAGTAAACAAAGACGACTCTTAGAATAGGAGACATCTCTGGAGGCTGAGCAGAAATGTGTAGAACAAAAGCATCATGATGGCAGCTTCCCATATAGCCGACCTAAAGCCCTCCATGAAGTAAAACCACCAGTTACCACCCTTCAACATTCTATTACAAAAACATATCTGTTATTGACTGCTGGGTCACAGTAAGTCATACTTTAATTATGTTTGCTCCAAATATGTAGCAATGTAAGTGCTCTAGGCTGGATGTGGTGGCTCACGCCTACCCAGCACTTTGGGAGGCTGAGACAGGAGGATCACTTCTTGCTCCATGCAAGAAGGGGGGACTTGAAGTCAGGGGCCTTATTAGCTTGGGCTGAGCTGGGCTAAGAGACTCCCTCCAAGACAAAAAGTAATGAACAGAGAAGGAGAAGAAGGGAAAGAAAAGAGAACAGTACATAAGCAAAAAACACCTCCCAGTTAAAAGGGCTTACAAACAGAAATTTCAAAAGACACAAGGAAAATGGCTCAGAAAAACTGCCAACAGTAATTAGCACATGAATTCACTTCAGGTAACATTTTATAGAACAATCTTACAAAGACTTTCAAGTGAGTATGTTTAGTATGCATAAAAAGATGTAAAATCTAGAAAGAACATGAAATTATAAAACAAAAATGAAACAAAATCAGATATAAAATTAGAAATTTTGAAAACAAAAAGTGGTAATTGAAATAAATTATAGATGGAATAACTTGTAGATTAAATATAATTAGAATTAGTGAATTGGAAGTGAGTGCTACAACTCACCCAAAATGAAATATTCCCCTGAACTTAAAAAATCAGACCTAAAGAGACAAAGAGTATGAAAATATAGTTTAAAAAAGATGTCTAGATTGAAAAGTGTCAACACTCATCTAATAGGACTCTAAAAAAGAAGTACAAAAGGAATGGTCTAGAAGTTATGGAAGAAATAATGATTGGTAATACTGTAGGATAAAATACATTAGTCCTCAGATTAAAAGTCTATCTATAAATACATATATATCCCTGGATACAGCATAGTGAAACCAGAATCTTCCCTATAAGACACTTCCTTGACTGGAGAAAAGACAGACTATGAATTAAGATGAAAATAAAGAAATTTTCAGGTAAACAAAGGTGAGTGAGTGCCACTGTTGGGTCTTCACTAAAGAAACATTAAAGGGTGTATTTCAACAAGACAAGAAACCCCAGAAGGTATGAGATACAAGAAACACTGAGTATAGCAATTAATAAAACATTTGGCTGTGACTGCTGTTGACTAGGGAAAGGGTTAGGGTTTTATGGATAATTGTGTTTAAAAATAAAAATTAAAACTTAAAGAAATATGAAATATATGAACTGAAAATGAAGAACTGTTTTTATAGATAATTAAATTATCTACATAGAAACCCCAAATGACAGACACTTTTAGAACTAAGAGTTCAGCAACCCTGAACAACTCTGAGCACCTCTTGTATCTGCTGCCAGATACAAGACCAACACCCCAAAATTATAAGCATTACCACTTCAGGAATAACCAACAGAAACATAATGGAAAAAAATCTCATTCACATTAGCAATAAAAACTATAAGATCACTTAAAAATAAGAATTTTTTAAATGTAAAACCTTTATGAAGAAAATTACAAAACCATATTGGTGGATACATTCAAAAGACATGAATTAATGGAGAGGTATAACATGTTCGTGAATTGGAAACTCAATTGTATTGTCAATATCTTTCTCCGTTAATCTATAAATGTATTGCAATTCCAATAAAAATCTCAACAGTTTTTATTAGAATTTGTTAATCAACAAGTTTATCAACAGTTTTCATTAGAATTTGACAAGTTTATCTGAAAGTTAATATGAAACAGCAGAGGGCCAAGAATAGCCAAAGCAATTTTGAAGAATGAAACAAACTTGTCCTACTCAATAGACTTTATAAAGCTACAGTAGTTAAGACAGTATGCTACTGATGCAGAAACAGATACACGAACTAATTAAAGAGGACAGACAGCCCAGAAACAGTCTGACATATATGTAGATATATCTGATATACAAGAGAGGAGGTAATACAACTAAATAGTTCTGTGACAACAGTTTACTCATTTGGAAAATATATTAGGTTTCAACTTCATCCCAATGCAAAAATACATTCTAGTGGATCTAAGACCCAAATGTAAAAAGCAAAACTTTAGAAACATTAGCAAGGATATGGAAAAAGAGGAATACTGTTGTGGGTGGGGGTGGGAGGGGAGGGAGGAGGAGAGTAATGATGTAAACTGAAGTACTTAAGAGAACAATTTGGAAATATCTAATGTATAAAACAAATTTTCATTCATATACACAAGAAACATGTGTTTCTTCCAGCACTGTTTATGAGGGCAAGAGACTGTATAACCATGCTAAATGCCTCTTAACAAGAGAATAGAGGCAGGGTATGGTGGCTAACACCTGTAATCCCAGCACTTTGTGCAGCTGAGGTGAGCAGATCACTTGAGGTCAGTTCAAGACCAGCCTGGCCAACATGGTGAAATCCCGTCTCTATTAAAAATACAAAAATTAGCTGGGCATGGTGGCACACGCCTATAATCCCAGCTACTCAGGAGGCTGAGGCACCAAAACCACTTGAATCCGGGAGGCAGAGGTCACAGTGAGCCAAGATCACGCCACTGTACTCCAGCCTGGGTGACAGAGCGAAGACATG
Source organism: Homo sapiens (assembly GCF_000001405.40). Lineage (NCBI taxonomy): Eukaryota > Metazoa > Chordata > Mammalia > Primates > Hominidae > Homo > Homo sapiens. Next base: position 41,105,519 of record NC_000020.11, on the reverse strand, counting down.
GTCTCAAATGACCAACAACAAAAACCAACAGAATAGATAAGTTTTTATGATATAATAGAATACCATGTAACAAATAAAATGGATTAATTAAAAGTGTAGGTTAAGATAATAAAACCACAAAATCAAAGCTGGAGAGGAATAAACAAGTTGCAGAATGATCCCAGTAACATACCTAATTTAAAACTAAAACCTGTTTTTATTTTACAATAGGTTGTACAATATGTCTTTAGCTTACAATAGTTTACAACATATTGTAAACTAAAAACAAGTTTTAAATTAGTATGTTACTAGTGTGTTACATATTGTAAAATTACATATTGTTTATGAACACATAAATATACTGCAAAAATACAAAAAATATGTATGAGAATAAAAAGACCGAGTTCATAGTAATCTACAGGGAAGAAGGTGAATGGTATACAAGTGACTTCAGCTATGTTTATCAGTATCTTTTATGAAATAAAACAATTGAGCACATAAGACATAATTTTAAGATTTTACAAAGCCAGATGGTGGACATACGAGTGTTCATTACATAATTATCTATTCCTGTATGTTTGAAATGTTTCACTAAAAATAAAACCCCTAATATTTGTATCTACATTTTTTAAATCTAAAAAGAGAATGCTTCTTCCGCTGGCAATATAAAGTTAAAAATTATTCAAGGCACTATCAAACCCCAACCTTTGAAGATCTCACTATTCTGCTGAGTACAAGACAGCCTAAAAGAGAACTGAGAGCAAGCTCAAGAAATCATTTCTTTTTCTCCTAATGGCACCACTTTTCCAGGCCTTTAATGACTCCTATTGGGATCCCATTGCAGTTCAAGTCAGGCACTTTCTCCTGAGCATAAGGTTCAGAGTCTAACTCTGGGTGACTTTTAGGTTCACTACCATGATCATCATCCAGAAACTTGCACAAATGTCTATTGTGTATAGCAGTTAGCTGGATATTGTCTGGAATAAAATTGACTGGCTCTCTGCTCTTGAGGCATTTCACCTGGTCTATCTAACAAGGATCTCAGCCCTCAGAGAGGCTCCAACAATTAATTAACTCTAATCCTTACCTGTACAAGTACTCAGCATACATTATGTATCTGTCACCTCTCTCCATCCCCATTGCCATCATTTGTCTTAAGTCATCGCTGTTTCTTGCCTGGAGTATGCAACAGCTTCCCATTGATCTCTCTACTTCTTGTTTGTGTCCAATCCAGTCTCCGCAGAGCAGCAGTCAGAATGATCAATTATGTAACGAGTTTCCAAAATACAAATCTGGTGTCATTTCCCTCTTTAAATCCCAGGTTGGTGGCTTCCTTTTAAACTTAAAGGCCCTAAAACTTGCCCAAGATCCAACAGCTAGTAACTCTTCAATCTTCTTAGAGCGTATGCTCCTCATGCTCTCCTGTGACATCCACTGCTAAATGTGGCCAGCTTTAAATGCCATGTTAAAGAGACTGAGCCCTTAAAGGACTTTGAACAGTGGAGTTGTCTTGAACATAGCTTCATTTCAGCAAGATTTACAGGCATTATATGTAAATCACACCAGTAGATTTACACTGCTGTAAATGCTGCAAAGGAAAAGTACAGGGTGCCATCTGAGAGTATACCGGGGTACCTGATCCAGCCTCTAGGATTCAGGGATGGCCTTTCTGAAGAGTTAACATTTAAGATGAGATTTACAGGATGAATAGGATTGTATCCCTGGAAAGAATAGGAGAATGGGTGTTTCTAATAGAGAAAATAAAGTAGCCTTTTGAAATCCCAGAGGTGAGCAAGAGCTTGGTCGTTCTGAGGGAAGAAAGAGGCAGGAGAGGAAGCTATATAGTGAGGCCAGCCAGATCTTCAGGTACTAATTTAAAAAAATTTTTTCTTTACATTATCCTTTAAATGTTACCTCTTCAGAAAGGCCATCCCTGAACCCCAGAGGCTGGATCAGGTACCCTGGTATACTCTCAGATGGCACCCTGTACTTTTTCCTTTGCAGCATTTATAACAGTTCATATTTACTGATGTGATTTACATATAATGCCTGTAAATCTTGCTGAAGTGAAGCTGTGTTCAAGACACTCCACTGTTCAAAGTCCTTTAAGGGCTCAGTCTCTTTAACATGGCATTTAAAGCTGGCCACATTTAGCAGTGGATGTCACAGGAAAGCATGCAGAGACTGAAGATCTAAGTTACATTCTAAGAAGATCTAAGTTAGAGTTACTAGCCACTGAATCTTGGGCAAATTTTTGGGCCTCCCAGAGACTAAATTTACTCATCTATAAATGGTGGCATTAGTATATGTATGTGCGGTATGCTTAGAAGATCCAAATGTTAACTTATGTGCAAATGTTTTTAATAGTAACTCTGTTATTTTGATCATTTTTAAGTTGTGGTAAAATATGCATTGATACCATTTACCACTAGTGACATTTAGTAGTATATCCACAATGTTGTGCAACTGTCACCACTTGATAATTCTTTTTATCACACCTTTTCTCAACCCCTATCCTCAACATACTCTGCTTACCACCCTCCCCTTTGTCCACGACACAGTTCTCTCTTGTTTGAAATACTACTTTTAAGACCCAACCATAACCTACTTTTCTTCATAAAGTTATTGTTGATCTCTAAGGTGCTGCAAATAACTCCTCTGTTTATCTAATGCATTTTACTTTTATCTTTCTTCTAATACAACTGAATTCTTACCTGATTTGCCCACCAGCCTATAAGTTCCTTAAGGGCTAAAACTATTATTTTTCTGCTTTTGTAGCCATATATACAGCTTTGCGATACTTCAGAAGAGGAATACATGTTTCTTTAAATGACTAGTCTGCTCAACATAAGTGTTCGCTTTCTGATTTTGTACTTATCTAAACTACAAAAACTACATTTTATTTTTATTTATGTATTTAGTTATTTATTTGAGACAGAGTCTAAGTCTCTTGCCCAGGCTGGAGTGCAGTGGCGTGATCTCAGCTCACTGCGACCTCTGCCTCCCAGGTTCAAGCGATTCTCCTGCCTCCGCCTCCCAAGTAGATGGGATTACAGGCACCCACTACCACGCCTGGCTAATTTTTGTATTTTTAGTAGAGACAGGGTTTCGCCATGTTGTCCAGGCTGGTCTCGAACTCCTGACCTCAGGTGATCCGCCCATCTCGGCCTCCCAAAGTGCTGGGATTACAGGCTTGAGCCACCACACCCAGCCAGAAAAGTATATTTTATAATTGGAGAAAATATATAAACAGGTATTTTTCATTAGAAAAGTAGTGATATACAGAAGAACACAGGGCTACAAGCCAGAAAATGTACAGTTTAGTCTTGCCTATTCACATAGCCTTTTCAGCTGTGGCTTTCACATTTTAACAGATGTTATAACCTATGAACGAGGATCAAGAAGGTCTTTAGTCCCAGGTCTCCTGCACATAAAACAGTTAACAGTCTACATAGAACTAATTCCTTGACTGTGTTTTTGTCTCTGTTAGGTTTATATTTCATAGTATGTTGGAGGGAAGAAGTTCGTGGGACTCTCCAAAGCTAGATATACATAGCTATCTGGCAAACAAAAACTGATTTCCCCCAAGGCAGTTATCTCCTTGCAATAACACTATCAATAAATAACAGTGCATAGGTATGTAACACAGTTTTATGATGTGCTTTCACACACATTTCATTTGGCCCTGGTGAACCTACCCAGATGAGACTGCAGGAAGCCAGAAGTATGTAAGACATTAGATTTTACAACTTGTTTCAGGATATACAGAAACTACATTCCCTTCTCATAACCAAGAGAGGTGAGGAAGTAGAAGACATCTGCAGAGGCCAATATACAATCACCATACTTCAACACATTCTGACCACTGGACGTTAAGCAATATGAAGGCAGGGCCTACGTCTATCTTGTTTACCAACATAATTCCTAGCATCAAATGTATACTGTGTGGGGCACATTTGGGATTTCAGTAAATATTTGTGAATTAATAAATAAGATTACAATGTGACCAAAAAAATGGAGGCACTGTAGGAAGATCACCATAATGCTAACTATGAAAGTACTTGCCTTCTTTCAATGGGGAGGATTTTTAATTTGTCAAAGTGATTCTAGAGGACGAGAACGTTACATTTCAACAAAAAAAGGTTATCAGCACCATGAACCAGTGCAGCTCTCAACTATCCCCTTACCTTGATTCGTGAACTAGGGTTAAGCATGATGTATTTAATGGAACCTTGGATGTTCTCTGTCCAGGAAACCAGCCAAGTAACCTTGTTATCATGCCGGACTTCTTTCCACTTATGTCCTGGAGGAGGAGAAGGAACCTTGGCATCTCTGGAAATAACAGAGCACGAGGATAGTGAAATAAGATGTGAGGAATAATTTCACCTTTCATGACCCCAAGTGGACCTATCTGCTGAGCATAATTTTCCAAGTTTCCTTCTTAACAGTCAATACAGTAGTCCCACCTTATGCATGGTTTTACTTACCCTCAGCCAACTGTCATCCGAAAATATTCAATACAAAATTCCAGAAATAAACATTTTGTAAGTTTTAAATTGCACATCATTCTGAGGAGCATGATGAAATCTCTTGTAGTCCCACCTGGGATGCGTGAACCATATATACAACATACCATGCTGTATATGTCACTTGCCCATGGGTAACCTAGTAGCTGCCTTATTTATCAGGTTGACTTTAATGGTTTTACATTGCTTGTGTTCAAGTAATCCTTCTTTTACTTAATAAAGGCCCCAAAGTGTGAAAGTGGTGATGTTGGCAATTTGGATATGCCATACAGAAGCTGCACAGAGTGCTTTAAATGAAAAGGTGGAAATTATCGACTTAATAAAAAAAACTGTATGGTGAAGTTGCTAAGATCTAAGGTAAGAATTAACCTTCCATCTGTGAAATTGTGAAGAAGGAAAAAGAAAGTCGTGCTAGTTTTGCTGTTGTGCCTCAGACTGCAAAAGTTATAGCCACTCTATGTGATAAGTACTTAATAAACATGGAAAAGACATTAAATTTGGGGGTGGAAGACATCAACAGAAATGTGTTCCAAGTGACAGCAATTGGGTCGAAGTTGCAGGCATCCACTGGGGGTCTTGGAACATATCCCCTGTGGATGAGGGGAGACAACTGTACCTCAAAAACATCTGGAGACCTACGCATGAAATACTGTCCTGCTCTTAAGTATCTCCCTTCCCAAACAGTCCTGTGTAACCTGGGAAATATTCCCAAGTACAATAAAGGACGCCCTCCACCCCCTTTTTGGCCCATAGGATGAAGTGCGAGCTCACTTGCTACAGTTGATGATTATATCCTCGGGCATGATTCGTCTCTTCAGCATGCCCATCTTGGGGTGGTTGCCGCGGCCACGGAAAAGTCCAGGAGGCTCTATCTTGAAGTTAGCAATCCTCTCTTTGTGGTTATCCATAATACAGAATCCATATTCTTTCAGTAATTTTTCATTCTCCTCTTTGATTTTCTGGAAGACAGCAAGAAAGTACTCAAAATAGATTCAGATTGCTGTTCTCTACTAATGCATTTTATCTCTTGTGGGAGACTAAGTCAAGGTAGAGGAAAGTCTGAAAAATCACTAAAAAATAAATTCAAATAAAGGAAAACCTCTAGTGGTTTTCTCAAACTTAAATATCATAAAATTCCCCAAAAAGATCTGCCTATAAGGATTGATTTCAACTAGATTCAAAACTGATTCTTGTGTCTTAAAGGATATATGTTTGTAAATGTTATTTGGGTGTTTTTAAATGTACTTTAAAAATTCATACTGTTTTACTGAGTACTATCAAAACAGGAAATGGAGAAGAGTCTCTGATAGAGCCTCATAAAAGAATAGCTCAAGCCATTTAATTAAACAGCAGTTAAACAGCTTAAAAACGTGGGTTTTTAAGCTCAGACAGATCTGTCACTAATTTTTTTGTAGGTATACAGGTATATACACTCTATACTATGATCCTTGCTCCAAAAAGGTGAGGGATGGTGGGGGAGATTTTGAGCCTCCTTACCCTCTATTGACTCTGCGTTTTATATACTTATTGATTCAGTTTAACTAAGTTGTGCTGCCTTGTGGGTGGGAACAGATTCAGACCTTGCTGGCAGCAGGTGTCCTTGGCAGAGGCTCTGACAAGGGGATGTTTATAAAATCTATCTTTGGATCAATATTCTAAGAACAAAGCTCCAAAGTGATCTTTTAAGTTTCAAAATGCCCCTGAAGTAAATAATATACTAAATTTCACTAACTTGGAATATTGAGGATAAGATTTACCTGAGACACAAAGTCTGATGCAATTAACATTCTTATAGTAATGCATTAATTTTTAAACTAGTGACCAAATAAGTACCATGAAACAATGAGTTATATCAATACAATGGTCTGAATTACGTAAACACGCAAGTCCTTTAAAATACTGAAACTACAGGAATTTGAAGTGCAAAGAATTCCTTAAAATCCTTAACTTCTGGACTTCCGATTGGTAAAAATGAAATTCTAGCCTGGATTCCTTTAGTTCAGGGGCTGACAACTTTTTCTAGATAGAAAATATTTTAGGCTTGAGTGCCACACAGTCTCTTTTGCAACTACTCTCTTTTGCAACTACTCATCTCTGTCATTGTTGCATAAACACAGCCGTAGATAATATGTAGACAAGTAGAGGCAGCTGGTTCCAATAAATTTTTTTTTTTTTTTTTTACAAAAACAGGCAGCCTGTAGAAGAAAAATGACATCCCAGCTGGATACCAGAAAGATCCTTCAGTAATGAGGATGGCCAAGGCTGGAAGATGGAGATGGATGAGCATCACAAGATTCCAGAGTAAAATAGATCAAAGAGCAGGGAGGTACATGGCCAATATGATTTCATCTGTCTTAAATCCTTAATATCCAGTAGCCACTGTGGGACAGGTCTGCCCATCCTTAATTACTATATTATTGGCTGGAGTTACTGACTGGTTTTTAGGTCACTGAAGCACCAAGATTCCTGTACAGAGCTACTGAGCAAAGTACTTGTTCACAATTTTCAGTCTAACTAAAACCTTTAAGAAAATTTAGACTTTGAGAACTCTAAGTCTTTAGCATAGAATGATGTGAAATTACTGATGTTAATGTTGTGTCATAAGAACCAAGAAGAAAGTTAAATGAACCAATCACAATTCCAGAATTCTCCAGAGGTTTAATAAATTCTGTAGTACCAGTTTCTCTTCCTTGCTCATCTGTTTCCGAGCTTCCGTCTGGGCTTTGAAATACTGGCTCATCTGGGTAAAATCACATTTGCTTAGGTTGGTGATAATATTCTTCTCTTCATTAGTCATTTCCTAGTCAAAAGAAAATGGGGAGATGAAAGAAAAACAACGAAAATACACTAATAAGTCCTTGGGTTTCTTTGCAAATACACCCAAGCACCATTTTTTCAGTCAAAGGTTTCTGGAAGTAGCCAATCTCAATTAATGAATTTTGAAAAAACAAAAAAATACAGTTGTATTACTTTATTATAAAATATGTACTTACTAATATTAAAATGTTTTAAAATGACTTATCATGGAAAAAAATGAATTCTTATGTGGTTTCTTAGACTCCGTGGCACACAGCCCCCAGGCATTATGAATACAAGTTTGAAATCCCATACTGATTCTCTCTTGGAAACATTACCCCTATTCTATTCATTTATTAAGTCTGCTTTTTCTGAGCTAGTTCAGGAAGTAAACTTTACTGCTGCCTCTGTCCACATTATCCAAATTGAGAATAATGAGATTTTAAAAAATCACCTAGGCAAATATAGTATATGTGGTTTCAAGAGTAGAAAGTACCTAAAATAAATGAGCAAGAATTAACAGCGAGAGGGACATCAGATTAACATTTCTCTTTGCAACAGCAGACACGGGGCAGTCCTGCAGCGACAAACTTTCCTGTGCGCAACTGGAGTTGAGGTTTTCTGTTTGGCCTAATCTGATAACCCCCACCTACCTGCCATCACATGAGAGCCAATAGCAAAGATATACAAGTACTCTTGTTGGACAGAAACCCTACATAATATAGTAAATGAAGACAAAAAATACGCAAGTTTAAATACAACAAAATCCATACAACTCAAATTTTACATCAGGAAATGTTTTGCAAAATGATAATTTATTACTTAGTACTTGATTGTTTTGCAAGGTACTAGGATATTAACACATGGGCTACAGTACCTTTCTCCAGTCTTTAAAGAAATTTTTCCTAAATATTTCCTTGGTAGTATATTCATGGTCGAGCATTTTTGCAAAGAACGTAGCTACTTCCTCTGCTTTGGGGCTCAGCTTCATGACTTTACCTAGAGAAAAAAGTGGTTCCAAAAAGTGAGGTATAGTATTCATGTTCTAAGCATAAATACCCAGGGCTAGCGAATTCTCTTTAATAATGGTTTGCCTTCTCATGGTATATAAAGGTCTGGTGACACATAGTAGCAACAACAACAAAGACAACATACTGATTTATATCTACTTGTACAAATTCTCCTTCTCTTTAGCATATATTTACCTGGGTCATTCTCTGGAGACTATGCCAGTTAATTGTTCCCAGGTGCCTGCTCAGGACAGGGATGACCTGGGGGAGGCCCAGTCACTCTTCCTTTTCCTTTCAGCAAGCAGGGTCCTTTACACCTCTTCAATGGTTTTTAAAAATCAAATCCTCAGAGGGACTCCTGCCACTGCTAAGCTAAGCAGCCTCTGTTCAAGAAGGGGAGGAAGGGATAGGGCAGGGAGTGGAAGAAAGGAATTGTGGGGAAAAGAAATAGGCATCTTTCTTCTTCAAAGTTAGGTGGGTGGAATATGAATAAAAAAATATATATCCATACTAGGCAAGCCCAGATTTCCCATATGAAAAGCCTAATAAGACCTTCTTCTAGAACTTTGCTATTCAACAAGTGGTTCACAGACCAGCAGCATTGGCATCATGTGGGAGTTTAGAAATGCAGAATCCCAGGCCCCCTCCTAGACCTACTGAATCCTATACAGAAATTGCATTTTTAACAAGACTTGGATGCACACTAGAGTTTGCGACACACTGCTCTGGAACATGGGTACCATGATGCTGCCTCTTTCAGGGAACCAGGATGCATCCACAGCACAAGGGATGACTGGGGTTCCTGGTGTATCCAATTGTTTATGTAAAAGCTGTCTAAAGGGGCTGGGAGCAGTGGCTCATGCCTGTAATCCCAGCACTTTGGGAGGCTGAGGCAGGCAGATCACTTGAGGTCAGGAGTTCCAGATCAGCCTGGCCAACATGGCGAAAACCCATCTCTACTAAAAATATAAAAAATTAGCCGGGCGTGGTGGTGGGAGCCTGTAACTCCAGCTACTCAGGAGGCTGAGGCATGAGAATCGCTTGAACCCAGGAGGCAGGGGTTGCAGTGAGCCAAGATCACGCCACTGCACTTCAGCCTGGGCAACAGACTGAGACTGTCTCAAATAAACAAAAAGCTGTCTAAAGGGACTCAGATGTTTTCACAATGAAAGCTGCTAACTGGTAAAGAAAATCTGAATAGGGCCTATGGGTTTTATATACCTGATTTAGTTAATAAAGCAATGAAAGAAAAGTACTTGGGAATTTAATCCACTTTTCAAACAAATGCTTTTGACAGTACTCTTAGTGCCAATTTCCATTCTTTCTTAAAAATCCAACTTTACAACATCACCTCGAACCAATCCATGCTATACTAAGAGCATTTGGCTATACTTAAAATGAGGTTAACTATAATTCCACCACCTTACTATTACACAGGTATTAATAATTCACCAAGGCTGCCCACATTCTTTATAGAAAACTAAAATTTAACCAGAAATCCATTTATTTCAAAACTCAGAAGACATCTTATCTCATAATGATATGCAATCTGACTTTGCAGGGGTGTAGAGAACTGTAGCACAATATTGAAACAGTTATAATAGAAAGAACCCACTTTGGACGCCATTAACTTAAAAGGCCAACAGGTGGCGCAGCTGCCCCCATCAACCCCCAAGCTTCTGCTTTGGAAGAAAGACACTTCGGGGAAGATAGGCTGTGTATTAAAAGATTCCCTGAACTTCTTTAGAAAACTGTAACATGTTTCCAATATAAAGGAAAACATTAAGTCATTAGGAATAAAATAAATGAAATAAAATGGCAAGAAAAAAATGTAAACTGTTAACACCATTTAAAAAAAAATGTGGCTGAGCATGGTGGTTCACATCTGTAATCCCAGCACTTTAGGAGGCGGTGCAAGGATCACTTCAGGTCAGGAGTTCCAGACCAGCTTGACCAACATGGTAAAACCCTGTCTCTATTAAAAATACAAAACTTAGGTGTGGTGGCACGTGCCTGTTAATTTCAGCTACTTGGGAGGCTGAGGCATGAGAATCGTTTGAACCTTGGAGGTGGAGGCTGCAGTGAGCCAAGATTGTGCCACTGCACTCCAGCCTGGGTGACAGAGTGTGACTCTGTCTCAAATAAATAAATATAAAAATAAATTTAAAAAAAATGAGATTTTGGGCTGTTTTACTGAATTCTGTCCTAATAGAGGGAGAAGCAACTGTGACTCCTCCTATTTTAGATGAGCTGTCAAAAGATGAAATGATGGCTCCCTGCATCAGAGTAGTGGGAGGATGACTGGAAGGTTCCTGGCAATGTTAACACTTTGTGGAAAAGGCTGAGCTCCAGGAAAAGGAAACTGCTGAATCAAAGCTGTAAACTGAAGGTCCTCAGAGAAGGCAGTAATTCACTGCTTCAGCTAGCCCATGCCCCACCTCCCTGGCAAGTTCTAAAGGAGTCTAAGAATTCTCCTCCCCAGAGAGTAGGCAGCACTTACTGTATCAGTTTGAAGTAAAGTCAAATATGACTTCTTGACTTACTGCAGAGTAAGAGTTCACACAATCAAAGAGAAGAAATCCCAGCAGAGGACCAGCTGAGAAAATGCTGGAGCCCTAAAGCAGGATCCTGTAAAGGAGGACTGGGCAAGAATGGGAGGAAAGGACTATGGCAACCTGTGAACTAGACCAGGCCTCTGCTTCCTATCTTGAAAAGGAAGAGAAACCACAGGACTAGGGAATCTAGCTTTCCCTCCCATCACTTTGAACCTCAAAGTGAGGCTTTACCAGCTGAGCATCCTAAAGCTCTTGGTAAGTCCAGACCAGGCCTACGGAATACCTACGCTTTGAGATGGTGCTCTTCAAGGTTCTAGGCCCTTTCTCTTAATTAGGAGTTTTGGCTTTGAGTTATAGTTAAGAGTCTCCAGGAATGACCAGCGTGAGGGCTGAAAGAACTGTCTTAGGCTCTCTGGTCAACAGGTCAAAATGTTTACATAACATAAGCATTTGCCTCTGAGATTATGGAGTCCTGTTAGGCTGCAAACTCCCCAAGATCAGGGTCTAAGTCAGTAGTACTATCCACTGCTGGGTCTTGGTGTCTGACCACAAATACATTCAATAAATATGTTTTATTTATTTATTTATTATTTTATTTTTTGAGACAGGGTCTCACTCTGTCACACAGGCTGGAGGGGAGTGGCACGATCTAGGCTCACTGCAATCTCTGCCTCCTGGACTCAAGCAATCCTCCCACCTTAGCCTCCCGAGTAGCTGGGACTACAGGCGTGCACCACCACACTTGGCTAATAAATATGGCATTTTAAAAAACAAATTTCAGCTTGCCAAGTTTGGCACTTTCTTCAGTTGCAGACCCAGCCCTTTAGTGTAAACTACTACCTAGGCCTACAAGCATTGGTGGACCTAAGGCCACTACTGGTGGGAAGAGAGATGCACCAGAATGCCTGAGTGTTCACCACTGATGCTTTTCAGCAGTTATCCTGCCCAGTGTTTCTCAAAGTTTGGTCAGCAGACCACTTGGTTCAGAAGTACTCAATCCCACCCCAGAACTTTTTCTTTTCAGTGCGGGCGGTGGGATGGGTGAGAAGAAAACAGTGGGGGGCTGAGGGTGGGAAAAATGGTGGAGAAATGGGGTGGTGAAATAACAGTGGCCAAAAGACGGTGGTAAGACAAGTGGAGGTGGAAGAGGAATGCTGGGGAAAGGAGAAGGGGGACTGTCAGGAAAGGGGACAGAAGAGGGAAGGATGGTTGGGAAAGGGGAAAGAAGAAGAGGGACGGTGGGGAAAGGGAAAAGAAGCCCACCCCACAACTGTTAAATGGGCTCAGATCCACTTTGGTGAGTCATAAGCACATAAGGGTATGAGGAACAATGCTCTAACCATTTCTGGATAAAACTCATGGAATGAAGAAAATCAGTTATTACCATCTACATACTGCTACACTGCCAACAGGAGGCATGTCAAAGGCTACCCTCAAATCCTTCAAACCCAAGGATACAAATACCAACGACAGATAAGGGACAATTCTGAGGGTTCTAAGAGACCCAGGCAGGGCATTTCTTTAAAGCAGCTCATCAGACTTGATTGCACATATATCAAAGGCATAGTGTTATGCTACACAGAATAGGTGACAGATGCCTACCAGCCCTATCTAGAGATGGATGGCAGACTATTAATCCTCGACCATATACTAATACTGTTTCTAGTGATGAGCAGCTTGTCCGATTGCATTGTTATATTGCTAACATAAAATACTACCATTCAAGTGAGGCTTTTCTAATAACTCTTGCGAAGAGTTGCTCCCTAGAAATGAAGTTCAGATCAAAACCTTCAGCTTGTGGACCACACACTGTTAGCCATGTTGACAAACCTTTTTTGGACTATGTAGGGAAGACATGAATAGCCCCTTTTCCATGGCACTTTTTCAGCAGCAAATGAGCCTTTAAGAGTTAACACCTGATGCCCCTTCCTCAAAATTGCATGGCAATAAAACAAAATGAAATAAAAAGGATTATCTATTACATAGGATCCTTCCTTGTTTTCTATCCCTAAATAGAAGCAGATTTCTTTTCCTGGCCAAGAATCAAGAACCTTGAAACAACTCACCATCATAATAAAACTTGACATTCTCTGGAAGAGGCTCATATGGTGGGGCAAATACTGGACCTTTATGTTCTAGGAATTTCCACTTGATGCCTTCAGGATAGCGCTCTTCTTCCCACCTTTAAAAGACAAAGCACAGCCTCATTTAGTGATCGCCTTGTCTAACATGGGGATCATCACTGATTAAATGCCAAATAATTATCCGCTCAACTGATTAGTGCTCTGGAATGACTTCTGGGCCTCACATTCAAGGCCTGGATCAAAAGAACCAGTGTCTCTCATTTTGAAAAAGCCAACGCTCACAAGTAAGATGAAATACTGTGGTGAATAAAGGAAAATACATTTCAACAGCTCAGTTTAAGAATACTGGACAGAAGAGATCAACAATGAAGGAGCTCAGTAACAAGTGAGGGACTTGAAAATGTAAACAGTTGTTTTACCACAATGGCATACATGACAGAGGGATTGTTTACATTGTTTGTAAGGAAAAGGCCTCCTCAGAGTGGTGACGTCAGATGGAAGGTAGAGGAGAAAACAACCCTATGAGAAAGGACATAAAGGAAGACGACTAGGAAATGATAGCTTAACTGGGGCATGTTGAGTTTAAGGTACTTACGCATTACCTGGAACTATCTAGCAAACACTGATAAGTGAATCTAAAGCTCAGTGGGAACAACTTTTTGAAAATGTATTTTTAAAATGGTCGAACATAAGAAAAAAATGAGTAATACAATAAACACCATATACGCCTGTAATCCCAGCACTTTGGGAGGCCGAGGCGGGCAGATCACGAGGTCAGGAGGTCGTGATCCAGGTCAGGAGCCTGGGCAATGTGGTGAAACTCCGTCTCTACTAAAAATACAAAAATTAGCTGGGCATGGTGGCGCGCACCTGTAGTCCCAGCTGCTCAGGAGGCTGAGGCACGAGAATTGCTTGAACCCAGGAGGCAGAGGTTGCAGTGAGCCAAGATTGTGCCACTGCACTCCAGCCTGGGCAACAGAGTGAGACTCCATCTCAAAAAAAAAAAAAAAAAAAAAAGGTTAATAATTTGCTACATTTCCTATTTTGGCCGAACCATTTTCAAAGTTGGTTGCAGATTTGATACTTCACCACTAAATATTTCAGCAAGTATCTCTATAAAAATAATATTCTTCCACATAACCACAAAACTATTATCACATCTAACAAAATAATCTCCTAGTATAATTCTAATTCCCAGTCCATATTAAAAACTTCCCTATTTTATCTAAATTTATTTTATAGACCAGGATCCAACTCAGGCTCACAAATTGCAACTGGCTATGCCTCAAGTTTCTTTTACTCGAATAGATAACTAACTTACTACCCTCATATTTACTTTCCAAGTACAATATTTTATTTATTATTTTATTATCAATCATTCAGCCATGGAACAAGTCCAATATTTTAAACAAAGTTCAGAAACATCAAATAAAAATTACATGTATCAAACCATATTGTAACAATGGTATTACTATAAAACCAAAGTCAACATATATGGTCAAATGATTTACAACAAGATGCTTAAGACCATTCAATGGAGAAAGAACAGTTTTTTCAACAATAGTGTTGGCAAAATAATCAAACTGGGTCTTTACATTATACACAAAAATTAATTCAAAATGGATCAAAGACCTAAATATAAGAGCAAAAATATAAAACTCTTAGAAGACAACATAGGGGAAAAGCTTCACAATATTGGATTTGACAGTGATTTATTGGATATGACACGTAAAACACAGGTAACAAAAAGAATAAATGAATTGCAGCTGGGCAGAGTACCTCACACCTGTAATCTCCGCACTTTGGGAGGCTGGGGTGGGCGGATCACTTGAGGACAAGAGTTCGAGACCAGCCTGGCCAACATGGCGAGACCCCCCCGTCTCTACTAAAAATACAAAAATTATCCAGGCATGGGGGCATACGCCTGTAATCCCAGCTACTCAGGAGACTGAGACACAAGAATCGTTTGAACCTGGGAGGTGAAGGTTGCAGTGAGCCGAGATCACGTGACTGCACTCCAGCCTGGGCAACAGAGAGACACTCTGTCTCAATAAATAAATAAACTGAACTTCACTGAACTTAAAAACTTCTGTGCATCAAAGGACACTTCAAGAGAGTGAAAGACAACTCACAGAATAGGAGAAAATATTTGTAAATCATGTATCTGATAAAGGGTTAACATACAAAATATATAAACAGCTCCTACATCTCAATAAACAACCCAATTAAAAAAATGGGCAAAGTCTCAGTCTTAAGGTGGAGGGGAAAAAAAAGATAAAATTAAAAATAGGGGCTGGGCGCAGTGGCTCACGCCTGTAATCCCAATACTTTGGGAGGCCAAAGCGGGCGGAGGGATCACTTGAGGTCAGGAGTTCGAGACCAGCCTGGCCAACATGGCAAAACTCTGTATCTATTAAAAATTCAAAAAATTAGCCAGGCGTGGTGGTGCACGCCTGTAATCTCAGCTACTCAGGAGGCTGAGGCATGAGAATCACTTGAACCTGGGAGGCAGATGTTGCAGTGAGCCAAGATTGCGCCACTGCACTCCAGCCTGGGCGACAGAGCAAGACTCCATCTCAAAAACAAAAAAAAACACGTGGGGGTGGGGCAAAGAACTTGAATGGTCATTTTTCTAAAGAAGATATACAAGTGGCCAATAAGCACCTGCAAAAATATGCAACATCAATAATCATTAGGAAAATACCAATCAAAACCACAATGAGATACCATTCATACTCATAAGGATGGCAATAAAACAAAAAATAACAAGTGTTGGTGAAGGTGTAGGGAAGCTAGCACCCTCGTGTGGTCCTGGTAGGAACGTAAAAAGGTGCAGCCAATGTGGAAAAGATAGTATGGCAGTTCCTCAAAAAGTTAAGCACAGAAATGCCACATGACCCAGCAATTCCATTCCCAGGAATATACTCAATATTCAAACAAATACTTGTACACGAATGTTTCACAGCAGCACTATCTGCAACAGCCAAAGGCAGAAATAACCCATGTCCATCAAAAGATGAATGAATAAACAAAATGCAGGACAAACAATGGAATATTATTTAGCCTTTAAAAGTCAGAAAATTCTGAAACATGCTACAATATGGACGAGCGTTGACATTCTGTTAAGTGAAATGAGTCAGTCACAAAGGACAAATACTGTATGACTATTAATACAAGGTACCTAAAGTAGTCAAATTCATAGAGACAGAAAGTAGAATGGTGCTTACCAAGAACTGGGGGAATAGGCTGGGCACGGTGGCTCACGCCTGTAATCCCAGCACTTTGGGAGGCCAAGGCGGGCAGATCATCTGAGGTCTGGAGTTTGAGACCAGCCTGGCCAACATGGCGAAACCCCGTCTCTACCAAAAATATAAAAAATTAGCCGGGAATGGTGGTGGGAGCCTGTAATCCCAGCTACTTGGGAGGCTGAGGCAGGAGAATTGCTTGAACCCAGGAGGCGAAGGTTGCAGTGAACTGAGATCACACCACTGCACTCCAACCTGGGCGACAGAGCGAGACTCTGTCTCAAAAAAAAAAAAAAAAAAAAAAGAACTGGGGCAACAGAGAAGTGGGGAATTGTTAATAACTACAGAGTTTCAGTTTTGCAAGATGTAGAGTTCTGGAGATGGTGATGGTGCACAACAATATGAATGTACTTAATGCCACCGAATTGTACACTTAAAAATGGTTAAGATGATAAATGTTATGTCATATGTATTTTACACAATTTAAACAAAAATATTTAACAGAATCTTAGACCTCAAAGGAATATTAAAGATCTTCTATAACTAACCTACCACTTTTTCAGGTATGAAATTGGCAGAGTCATTGATATATTAATAGAAGGATCTCAATGCAGGAAACCACCCAATCCTACAGTCTATTACTCTCCAAATAGAGAAAATATATATATATGTAGGTGTATGAGAGCATCTGCAAGGAGCCTGTCTGCAGCAGTCACAGAGTAACCGTGAGGAGATTCCGAACGCCACCCTTTCCCTTATCCTGGGACTTTGGCACCATTCTTCTCATCGACTACAGTGTTTTTATTTATTTATTTATTTTTTGAGACAGAGTCTCGCTCTGTCGCCCAGGCTGGAGTGCAGTCGCGTGATCTCCGCTCACTGCAAGCTCCACCTCCAGGGTTCACACCATTCTCGCGCCTCAGCCTCCTGAGTACCTGGGGACGACAGGTGCCCGCCACCACGCCCAGCTAATTTTGTTTTTGTATTTTTAGCAGAGACAGGGTTTCACCATGTTAGCCAGGATGGTCTCGATCTACTGACCTCGTGATCTGCCCGCTTCGGCCTTCCAAAGTGCTGGGATTACAGGCGTGAGCCACCACGCCCGGCCCTACAGTGTTTTTAAATCAAGACTCCAAACTGTTTTTACGACTCCTATTTCAACATGTGTATCCTGAAGACCCACAGCAACTTCTTTACCATTTAAGCAAATTAAGAGATTCAGCAAATCACAACACTAAACTTCAGTTTAAACAGAAAGACAGAATATCTGTTTCAGTAAGCTCATGTGACTGGGCTGACAGCTATTATTATACAAATAAAAGCAAACAGTTCTGTCCTTTTAGCCTCCCCATGAGTGCATATATCCGCCCCCCGCAATTTAAAAACAAATAAACAAACAAAAACATGTACTTAGACATCGAAATGGCTTCCCTTTGGCAGCTTGACTTGAATAATCAAGTACCAATTTAATAATAAAATTTGCTTGAAGGGGGAAAGGTGGAAAAGTGCTAGAAATATAAAGACAGGAAAGTAAACTCCATGTGCTGTTTGATATCAAGTTCCCTTGCAGTTAACAAGCACTTCACAGTATGCTATAAAACTCATATTTAATTTTTTTAAATTTAGAAATAAAGGTCAGATGCTGTAGCTTCTGAATGCTAATCCTTGAAATTAAGGGAAGTTTTTCTGGTTTGAGCAAAATGTCAATAATCCATATTCCATAAATTTCTTACCACTATCATTGACCATATATTTATGAGTCTTGGTCTTGCAACACTAATTCCTTAAAACATTATAGTCCTGACTCATCACAGCATTTTACCTTTGCTAAGAGATTGAAAACTCCATTTAAAGTCACACCTAACACCTGCAATAAACTCGCCAGGTAATTCTTTATGAAGAATCATCTGTTGAGAATTAACTGGCAACTTATATTCCCAGGTCAGCCCTGACACAAAAGTGTACTTAATTAACCCAACAGTGCTGAAACCCTGTTCAGCTACAATGGCCAACAGTTAAAAATCAGGACATCTGGGATAAACAGGATTTCATGTATGAACCCAAGCACACTGCCACCACTTATAACAATGTTTCTATGGAGATAACGTGATATAGCAAAGAAACCCTGAGGGACCTGGACCTTTTCCAACTGAACAATTACCAAAGGAGGGAGATAAAGATCAGAGTAAGTGGTTTTTTCTGGTAAAGACAAACAGGTCTGCGGACTTACGAGGGAAGAAAAAGATCTGCAAATTTGTCAAGCTTGTAAAGTGTGTACTTCTTTTAGTAGGATAGCATAAGGAATAGTAAAAATAAGGGTATCTGCCATTTAACTCCCCGACTAGGTCATCAGTGGCAGTCACTGAGGACTGGATAACTGACTTCAGAGTATGATACACAGCCTCTAGCTATCAGTTAAGAGGCTCTTCATTCATATTTTCAACACCAAAAACTCGGTGTGCCATTCAAGCACTGTGCTTGAAAAGAATGTGCAAGGTTTAACCATCACACCTGAGAAATGCATGCGTTAGAAGCTGTAGCAAAGTCTGCTCATTCCTCAAAAAACAACTTTTAGTTAAAGACTAGCCAGTTCCCCTTTAACCCAAAATAAGAATAAAAACCAAAAGTCATGGTCTGTCAGAGTGAATGTGTGGCAACACTGATAAGGATTTCAACCACAAAAGCAAAATTAGGCTCCTAAACCCCTCAAGGGCACCTAATTCTACACATACAAGGCTGGACCCAGCGCACTTGCCTGGATCCCAAAAAGAGCCAAAGCTCCGAAGTAAAGGGGAGACAGCAGGGAGCTCCTGATAAGGAAATGTATTTGTTCATTTAACAAGCATTTATTGAGTAACTACCACAGAACCCTGACTGATGAATTACTAACCTACCATTCTCTTAACTCCCAATAATAACCTCTAATTTACACAATCACTTTATTTCTAAAAATCATTTTCTTAAAGGTCAAGATCACTGAAAATGTATTAGTTCTTAAGAAAAGTGAAATAAAAATGAGGAAAATAAACCCATGTGGGGTTTTTTTTCTTTTTTTTTTTTTTGAGACAGAGTCTCGCTCTGTCGCCCAGGCTGGAGTGCGGTGGCGTGATCTCAGCTCACTGCAACCTCCGCCTCCCAGGTTCAAGCAATTCTCCTGCCTCAACTTCCCAAGTAGCTGGGACTACAGGTGCGCACCACCACGCCCGGCTAATTTTTGTAATTTTAGCAGAGATGAGGTTTCGCCATGTTGGCCAGGTTGGTCTCGAACTCCTGACCTCAGGTGATCCACCAGCCTCGGCCTCCCAAAGTGCTGGGATTACAGATACGAGCCACTGTGCCTGGCCTTTTACTTTCTGACTCTGACCTCTAGAAAGAGGCAGGGTTGCTCTGCTCTGTGATATTCCTTTTCTATACTTCCCATTTAATCCCATGATGCCATAGCAACATGCGAATCACATAGCTGTCACCGTGTGGCCACATTTCTGCCACTGTGGCTCTCCTTCCCTCTGCCACCTTCCTGGTCAGTGCTCTTTCTCCCTTTCCTCAGAGGTGCTGTGGACATCAAAGTTCTAAATTACAAAAGCCATAAAGGCACATAAACAGGTTTGGAAGGCTATACATCAAATTATGAACAGTGATTACCTCAAAGCTGGAAAGCTGGAAAGGAAAATGAGAATGGGAGAAGACAGGTAAAGGTGACTTTGATTTTTATTCTAACTATTAAATCTGTCAATCATTTGAGTTTTTTCATCATAAACACAAAATCATGTACTGCTGGTATAGTAGTTAAATAGAACATGTTAACAGAAATAAGTATTTTTTAAAAACATGTTTATTTCAAGATTCTAAACAGCAAAAGTAGAAAAGTTCTCCACCTAAATACACTTCTCAAGAGCAACCAGCTATGACTAAACTGTCCTTCATAAAGACTGAATTTTCACTCCTATAGGGAAGGCGAATGCCTGTTTTCTTACATTTGCAACTCTAGATATTTTCACTTATTAATCTTTCCCAATCTGAGAGGCATTAAACAAAAAGATTTATCATTTTTTTTGCATCTTTGATTACTTATGAAGTTGATCACATTTTTAGATGCTTATTAACTATTTTACTAAACTGACTGTTCCTCACATTCTGATTAGATCATTCCTTTCATATTTGTTTTAAAAGAGCTTTTTTTCATATTAGGAATATCAGCCCTTTGTATTGCAAATATTTTGCCTTGAGTTTTTTTTTTTTTTTTAAATGGCATGAAGGTGTCCACCTGCCATAAATTGAACTTTGATGTATCAAATGTAAAACACCTTTCCTTATGGCTCTGGTTATGTCTTGCTTCAAAGGATCTTCACTACTGCACAATTATAAAAATATTCACCCACGTTTTCTTGTTGAGGTTTCTTCTGTTGTTGAACAGGCAGTTTTCCCAACACGACTTACATAATAATCTGTCCTTTCCGTATGGTTTTAAATGCATCTGTACTCTCTTCGTATGCTAAATTCCCACCTATACATAGGTCTGCTTCTACAGTCCATTCTGTTCACAGTGGTGGAAACCAGTTTGAGATCCAATAGATTTAGAACCAGTTAATGATTTCACTAGAAGTTGGAAAACTTACTTCAGAAAGTTACTCTAGAGAAATTGTTTAAAGTATTTCCCCCCAAATATCAGGATATTAATTTTAATAACTCAATACTCTTGCTTCGTAAGGATATGCAATAAAAAAGGTGGCATTTTAACCCAGTGCTGAGATGTTACCATTTCCACTTCTGTTCCTCTTCTTTCTTCGGCTTCTTTTTCTTGTTATCTGGCTCAGGAACTTTTTTATCTTTATCTTTATTCTTGGGTTTTTTCAATTTACCATCCTACAAAGAAACATGGTGAGAAAGCACTTAAATAAAGACTGATCACACTTCTGGAGGCAGTTTTTGGGAGCCATGAGGAAGAAAAATTGTAATCATAGAGTATTAGAACTAAAGAAGATCTTAGTACTCCTCTCATTTGACAGATGAATAACAATGTACTGGTGCTCTGTTCTACAGCAGTATTTCCTAAAATTTCCTGACAAACAACTACTTGAGAAAGTAGTTAAAAAACACTCTGCAGGGGAAGAGACTGGGAAACTTTTTTTTTTTTAACCTCAAAGGAGTTTGGAAAAGTACTGCTCTAGAGAGTAATCCGAGTGTATTTTCCTCACTTATGTTTAATCCTACTCATCTTTAAACCTCTTCCAGTACAATCAAATAACGGCTAGACGGGGCTTTGCATTAGATATTTAGTATTCAGGATGAAAGAAAATTCCCAGTTGATTTAGTGGAGTATAGTACTATCGCTGCTGCTTGTATACACAAAGTCATGATGCAGTAAGCAAGTATTTGATAGGTTCTAAAATGACACCAATTCCTATGGTGGTATTTCTTTATGGCTCTTCTTTGAACTCTGAATGTAAATGAGCTGATCACAGTGACACAATAAACGGGCATCAAACCTAAACAGGCACAATTCACCAATACAGGAGATGAATCTCAAAACATACACACAAAACCCAAACAAAAATGTAATATTCAACAAGTGAAGATCCCACTCAGAATCTGAACTCTTTTGAAGAATATTTTCCTTTGTCCTGCCTATTCAACATAATTTAACTACTTATTCAGTCTTTATTCAACAAGTTTTATATAGCAATGAAAGGTGGTTTTGAACCATCTTAAAATCAATTAAAGAGTGGCACAGCTGGAAAGTGTATGGATGGGTTCATTTAACCACTTCCAGTTACAATCAAGGACTTTGAAACATATTTTGTCACTTGATCAAGGTCATATAGCTGTTATTAACTATGATAAGAGCCTAACTTTATGAGAAAAATAACAGAATGTGACTTATGGGAATAACTGGAATAAACATTTTAGATCCTCATAATAGGATGGCAATCAAGATAGGAATAGAAAAAAGAGGAAAGCTTACAGTACCATCCATATTTTAAAACAGGCACGGAGAATATAAATATGTGGGTATGTTTGGGAGAAGGTACTACAGGATCACATTAATTCAGATAATGTTTACTATTTAGGGTGAAACACACCACAGGAAAGGGAAATGTTTTTCAGTGAAGATACTCTAAACAGCTTCTGAGCAGGCATCCAGCTGGTCCCATCAGGAAACTACTGGCTACATTGTATGTTTTCAAGCCTCAAATTGGGGTGTCAGTCACTAAGAGACCTCAGAACAATTCTCAAAAACAAGAGAAAAAAACAAAAAACAAAAAAACTATAGTTGGCGAGTGAGGTTTAATGACAGATTCTGCCATCTGGGGTCCCTGCCACAGTAAGATTGTATTAATTCAGTCTTTCAGCCAGCATTTTTCCCCCTATGTGGTAGGGCTGCTAAATAGAATAATAACAAATGAAGTCAACTGTTCTTTTTTCCCAATGGTTTAACAAACTCAGAGTATTATTTTTGCATAAATGCAATATAAACATAAAAAAAAAACACTTGGAGAACTCAAGTTTTATATTCCTTTACTGACTAGTCTGTACTGATTTGGTATATGCAAGTGGAGTGATTGGCTACCATAATCACTACTTAACATTTCACTCTCAATTCCTTGAATTAGTGCTTATTAATTTGAACTTCGGCCAAGAATAGACTAGTTGTCAAAAAAACGGCAACCTTCTAAATTCAGGACCTGATCATCTCTCTATGGCTCAACTCACTCACTAATGGTCTTCATATGATTTCATTAAAGACCTTTCTTCTCCCTCCTTGCAGAATTAGAGCATCAGCAAAGTCCCAGGGGAGGTAGGATAATATAGTAGCTGGTGTGCTGGCACTGAAGTCAGACTGCATGGGATCAAATGCTGGCTTTTCCACCTTAGTAGCTATGTGACCTCAGGCAAATGATTAAATATTTCTATACTCTATTTCTGCATCTGCAAAATGGAGATGATAATAGGGATGTAACAACCTATTCAGGTTGTAAGGATTAAATGAAATGATACATATATAGAAGAGTGCCTGGCACATGGTAAGCACCTATTACATTTAATTGTGATTATTAACATCATTCTATTATGATAGATTATCCTCTTAAGACTCCCTGCCCCTTCACTATCATTCTCTTTACTGCTGGTACTTCAAACTGTCCACTTTACATTTGTGATCCCATTTTGCCCATGACAGTGGCTAACCTCAAATGTAGCATAAGAGCTAAGAACTCACCCAACCCCTTCTTGTCTTAGGGGAGGGCATCATTAAGACCCCTGTGAATTTCTGACATCTTTTCTTGAATTACCTGCTAACAATTTTTTGGTACAAGAACTCAAAAGTGTCAAAAGGAGGAAGCATATGATTCTATTTTCAATCTACCACAAGCATCAACAAGAACATTTAGGAAAGCATTTAAACGGAACTGAGTTTTTTGAGGAAGGTTATAGGCCAAAAGGATAAAGAAGGGAGCATGTGTGTTCCAGATAGAGGAACAGCAGGTGCTACGTAAAGCTCGGAAGTTTGAAAGAATCTGGTGTGGAAAAGAAACAAAGGAGGCTAGTGTGACTGGTACAAGTAAGCTAGAGAAGAGGCACAAGATGAAGAGAGACACAAGATGCAGGGGCCAGATTGGGAGGAGCTGCAGTAAAGAGTTTGGGTGTCAATTATATGTCAAAGGGGTACCCATTAAAGAACTTTAGATAGGAATGGTTACCTAAAGTGAATGATCAGCAAAAAATTCTTAGGGAAATTTCTTCAGGGTTATAAGCCAAAATGTGGTTTCTTGTTAACACTGCCTCTGTATATATGAAGATGACATAGTTTTTGGAAGAACATCTGTTGGCAGCCTAGCTGTGGGTAGACAGACACCCAGGAAGGCTGAGAGCAGAATCACTGCTGGTTGTGGTTAACTTAAGACACTGTGGGGATTCACAGAGATCTTAAAACTACCAGTGCCACAGCCACCACTTATTAAATTTGTTTTCCCTAATGTTATAACAAGCCAATAAATATCTAAAACTCATTTGTCTTAAGAAGTTGCTTACTGGAAAACTCCCACTTCCAAACTCAAGCCCCAAAGGACCTAAGTCTCTTTACTAACCTCTTCTTCTTCTAGTTTTCTTTTCTTCTCCTTCTTGGTATCTTCTGTTTTAATTTTCTTAGGTTTATAATCAGCACTAGAAAGGGGAACATGAATACACAGTTAACATAATTATGATTCAGGAGTTCTCACTCATAGGAGACCTACAAACTCTTGGATGCCTCCATGGCAAGAGTAATCACTGTTATTCTTGGCTGGGCATTCTACGGTCAAGACTAACAGAAATAGAGAAAATAATGAAGGTCAGACCAAAGAGTAATAGTTATAGCCCTATATAGAACAAAACAAACCACTTACACCGGCCTGGAAGCAAAATAGGGTGGGGGGATATATGCAGAAATAAATATCATTATCAGATGAAAGTCTGGGAAAAAAAATAAAATAAAATAAATAAAAATAAAAGATGAAAGTTTGGGAACCAAACACACAGCACACTAGCTACCACATAGCAGTAACTCACTGGAATGTGGAGGAAAGAAATTCTATATTGAATGAATACAAATGAGTTCACTAAGTATTTCCCTTCTCCCTTTCCATCCAATTTCTACTATAACAATAGCATAGTAAGCTATATAAGAGTGAAAATAATGAATATAATTTAATCTCATTGAATCTGGGGAAAGAGATACATGTAAGCCTCGACCGTTTTATGAGCAGTTTTATTATTTTTACACACTGAAACTTCACTTAGAATGTCTGACAGGAATAGGTCTAAGAGAAACTGCTTTAAGTTATCTGTGGTAGGCAATAAGAAATTTTAAGTAACTTAAATAATTTATTCTTCATGAATTCTGTATTATTTGAAATTTCTACAATAAATATCTATTGCCTTTTCAGTAATAAAAATTTATATAATCTTCATGTAAGCCTTGGGTATACTACTTGTTTAGCAAACTCTACTTCTCATAGTTCAGAGAAATCAGTCCATTAATCACAAATTCCAAATGAGTAAAAGCCAATTAATGCAGTTTCTATATGTATTATAAAGAAACACATCACATTTATTCTTTAAACTCCTCCTTTTTGTTTTCAAAAGTCAAAGTTTTAAGAAAATACTCACTCATCCTCATCTCGAGGTCTCTTTAATGGCTTTATATCCTCTTTAGGAGGAACAAAATAGCCATCATCTTCAGGTTCATCTTTAATTTGTGGTGGACTAAAGAGAAAAAAAATTGCTGGTCAGAGTGCTAGAACATCTGTATTCTATTAATACAAAGAAGGAATATGTCATTTCGTTGAAAAGAAGCTAACAGAAATAAGGATAACCACGTACATATCATGAAGATGTTCTGTGAGCACTTTTTCTCACTTCAATCCTGTGAAGTAGATAGTATTTGTCCTCATTGTACAGGTGAATGGGCAATATCAGGATTTGGGATCAAGACTCTTTATTCTAAGTCAGAATTCTTTCTCACTATTTCTTAGCTATCTTTGCCAGCATGGCACGAACCACTCCAGAAATAAACCTAAGGTGTTTTCTTGCCTTACATGGAAACCTACCATATATTTGACCCCACAATCTGAACTGATTGTTCCAGTACTCTAAAAGCTAAAGTACAGCTTTTACAAGGAAAGGAATAAACATTGATTTCCCCAACTTAGTACCTTAAAGTTCTAAAAATGTGGCAATAACGTACATGTATATCTAGCTACATGGAAAAATAACCAAGCTGACAACATTACAACAAAAGTAGGGCACGTGTTAAACCAGAATAAACAGAAGGTATCCTATGCCAAATCTATTCATTGTTCAACGTCCTAACTTAGGTTTACTTTATATACAGAAGAGTGTCTCACTACTATTTGTTAAGATCTTACCTTCAAAATATAAATATAAAAAGACAATCCTTTGAGACAAACATCTTGAACCAAAACAGAGAAGGAACAAGTAAAAAACACCATAGAGCCCAGCAATCACTGCAGCCATGGGATGCTCCCTGGCCTGGCACATCTCTTCAGAACCTCACTGCCTTAACTTAGTACAAGAAATGGCCTCCTTACATGCAGCTGCCCCCTGTGGAGGGATCCAAGGATTAAGAATCCCGACCCCACTGCAAAGTATATTCACAGGGTTTCAAGAGTACCTCCGACCAAAAAAAGCATACTGGGTCCCCTTGCTTGTGATAGAATTTGAATGTTTAAAGAACTTATTTTAGCACCCTAACCAAATGCCAGCTTCTACAGCTGTTCCCCCTCCTGCCTGAATACTGACACAGACCCTAGGGTCCAGAAGGAAAGAAAGCCTATCATTTACCCAACTAGTTAAGTAAATGCTAGATCCTAAGTTTGTCACACTGAAGACAAAAACTGTGGGAAGGGTTACTTAGGTCTGAAGGAAGAAGTCCTAAAACAATTTACCTGAAAACTGTATTCCAGTGAAGCATCTGGATTCTCTACAAAGACATATACACAAGCCAGCAAGGAGTCCAGCAAAGTGAACATAGAGACCACTGCCTCAAAGAAGGCTGTGTTCCTAATCTTCTAACCCAAAAAGTCTGAAAATGAATTCATGACTATGCACCAAGTCCAAAAAATTTATTCATATCAGTTTAATAAAAATCCAAGGCAGTCTCTTGGCAGAGATTAGCCCAGCAGTGCCTCCTCAGTCACTTTATCTCAGAAATCAAAATTCCTAGGGCAGCTTGCAGCTCTAATGCTTCCTGAATTGTATTATTCTGCATTCCTAGAACAATTATGAAACATGCCTGAAGAGGGCACCTGCTTTTCTCCTTGTCTAAAGGACCCCAGAGTACCAGGCACAATTGTCAAAAATTTTAACAAATGAAACTGAAAGTTCAAAGATTCAAGGAAGCAAAACTCTCAAAGTGTTTTGTCCCAGTCAATAATGCAAACACTTACAACCATTTCTAATAAATCCTTTCTGTCATTCAGTGAAGTGAGAATATGTAACAATAAACATCTAGTTGTTTCGAAACTAGAGGGGACCTCTGGGCTTATTTTAGGAAATTGAGGCTGAGGAAAACAAAATTATAAAGGTAAAAACAGTATAGGAAGTAACCTCTAGATTTTGCGCATTTTCCTCTCCTTCTAGAAAAGAGATAACATAATTCTACCCAAATCTACACTCATCCCTAACATGTAGGTCAAATGATCTTTTATATATAAGCCTCCCAATATTACTAATGATGAAATCAGACTAAGTGATTTTTCAGAAAACTCCATAATCGCTACTGAATATGAAGTTTCTTTTTAGAGAAATGAAAATGTTCTGGAATTAGTGAAGAGGCTGCAATACCTTGTGAATATACTAAAAAAAAAAAAAAAAAAAAAATGGTACACTGTATACCATTAAAATACAAATTTTGTGATATGCAAGTCAAATCTCAATTTTTAAAAATCTCTCCTGTCAACCTTCTCTATTCGAAATAACCTTCTGGAAAATGTGCTGGTCAGTCTCACTATATGGCACTGTAGAAAGGCTCAGGTTGGCTTAGACCGAGTCTTCTCACTGCTGAGCTTCTGGGAACCATCAAGATGGCCAGGTCAGTGGGTTTTGGGTTAACTCAGACAACACTACAACACAGGCAGCTGGCCTGCTGTCCACCCAGAGAAAGGGAAGCCCACGCAGCAGCAAAGTCTTACCTAGAGAAGCCATTTTCCTTCTCCTTCTTTATTTTTGCATCCCCAGAGGCTCGAACCTGAAAAGTAAAACAACAGTAACTAGTACCTTGAAAGGACTAAATTTGAAGAAACCTCTTTTTGAGAATATGTAGCATCAGTTCCTGGGACATCATGATCACAAGCTGGCTCTTATGTTACCAAAACTGAACAGATGAACTAAAGGTCCTGAAATGTGTCCAAAACTCGTTTTTAACAATTCTTCTGGGTGAAACTGTCCAACTCACTGAGAAAGGTTTCCCTTAAAAATGGCAGCTTTTTACTTTTAAGTGGTGGCAGGTCTCTTTTCCCCAATAAATACATTCCACTACTCAAGAATTTGCCATTGGCAGTGCAGAGAGGAAACAAAAGCAAAAACCAAACAAACAAAACATATAAACTGGGCCAGATGTGATGGCTCATGCCTGTAATCCCAACACTTTGGGAAGATGAGGTTGGAGGACTGCTTGAGGCCAGGAGTTCGAGACTAGCCCCGCCAACACAGTGAGACCCCCATCTTTATTTAAAAAACAAACAAACAAAAAAGTAGTCTATGCCCTGTCTTCTATTACTTAGGCAAAGTATACTCATGACCCCCTCCCCTTTGACTTCCTGCTTTCTAGATTCGTCAGAAAATTTATCTTTCAAAAAAATCTTCATATATACACACAAAGGGATACACACACACATACAGATATACAGAGTATCTATGGAAGAATACAAAACATAATCAGTATAGCGGTTGCCTCTGAGAAGGATGGGAGACAGTGAGTCAGGGGTGAAGAGATGTCTTCTTCACCATATTCCTTATTTCATAGTATCTGAATTTACCAAGTACAAAAATTACTTTTTCAAAGCTAAAATAAAAACAATCTCTTTTTAAAACTATACAGAGTACTATTCATTCTCAGCTGGGTGAGCCTAGTCATTTTTAGAAGGCTTGCACTGGTTATGCTGGAACCAAATGCCACAAAAGACACCAGCATCACTAAATTTTCACTCGGGAAGAACCTTTAATGAACAGAAGACCATCAAGGCATTAGGCCTTCTCCCAAAAACAATTAATTTTCCCTAATGCATTCTCAATGTATTCATTGGCAATATAAAGTAAAAAAGGTAATGATATGGACAGATCTGCCACTGTGAAACATATGGTGGTAAAAGGCTTAGTTTTTATAGTTTAAGACTACAGTTTGCTCTAAATTCTCCTGACAAGAAACCTTTCACTTCAAGACCAAGGGATCTTACTATGCAATTAAGATATCTGCTTTCAAAGGTAAACAAAAGTGCATCCACGTTCCTTCCTCCCCTACTAGAAAACTCTGTACCTTTTCCTCTTTTCGTTTTTCCTTGTCTCTGTCTTTATGTTTGTCTTTATGCTTTTCTGAGCTTCCATCTTTGTGTTTGGTCTTCTCCTTCTCTTTGTGTTTCTTTTCAGAATCTTTATGTTCACTGTAAAAAGTTAAGTCACAAAGCGTTAGCCCAGAGTAGGGACCACAAGGATTCGTTTCACAAGATATCCTAAGATAACATGAACCGTGGAAACTTACAGTACTTAAACAAACAGTACCGACAGAAGGTTCAAGTAGAGGGTCTTGGCTACATCGGACTTTATCTTGTTTGATGTTTTTATTTTTGCAAAGAACAGAAACCATCATTCTAGACACACCAGGACATTTTTTTTAAAGTGACTAAGAATACACAGCCAGCCCTGTGTATTTCTGCAACATTCTACCAGCACAAAAACAATAATGAAAGCTCCAACTTCAGCATTCATATCTGATGTGAGCAGGTTAAAACCAACTCACCAAAAATGTGTTTGGTGGCTTTGTGCCAGACTTGAAACATACCACACATGTAGCCAAGCCAGGGTTTATGGAGTAAACAGCCCAATACAGTGGATATTTCCTTCTAGTTTTAACTAGGCAAGTTAGTCACTTCTAGATGGGACTTACGTTAGCCCTTTCCTCACAATAAGAAAAGACCCATCTGAAAGCAAGGGCATAGGAATGTTCTTTGTTAAAGGTTAAAAAGCAAAATATGACATTATAAGGCAAGAGCCATGAAAATGTTCATAGCTTCTTACCCTGGGATCAAGCTCCTGGAAATTTATCTTAGGGAAATAACATTACATATAAAGATGTTTATTTTGGGCTGGGCGCGGTGGCTCACGCCTGTAATCCCAGCACTTTGGAAGGCCGAGGCAGGCGGATCACGAGGTCAGGAGACTGAGACCATCCCGGCTAACACAGTGAAACCCCGTTTCTACTAAAAATACAAAAAATTAGCCGGGCGTGGTGGCAGGCGCCTGTAGTCCCAGCTACTCGGGAGGCTGAGGCAGGAGAATGGCATGAACCCAGGAGGCGGAGCTTGCAGTGAGCCGAGATAGTGCCACTGCACTCCAGCCTGGGCGAAAGAGCGAGACTCTGCCTCAAAAAAATTAATTAATTAATTTTAAAAAGAGGTTTATTTTGGTGCTTCCCTTAAACAACAACAACAACAACAGAAAAAAACAAAAACGAACAAACAAACCCCAAAATTGGATACACCTAACAAGAGGGGAAACTGTAATATATCAAATTATTTAACTGCTAAGCTATAATTTGAGTACCACAAACACATTTGGAAAGTGTTTATGACAGAAAAAGGAATATAATAAAATAACTGCAACTATGTAAAAACATGCATGTGGTCAAAGACTAAAGAAGCAATAAGCAAAAACCACAAGTTGTAGTTTAAGGTGAGAGAACACTATTATTTTTCAGTACACTGGGACAGGCAGTTAAGGAGCCTTGCTTACTGCACTAACCAATGCACAGGAAAAAAAGACTTCATCAGCAATGAGCTCATTAGGCTATGTCCATCCCATGAAGTTTGTTCTAAAGGGACACTTGACTACAGTAGAAGATCACAAAGGGAGAAACAAATGATGGCATGCAGTTAGGCAGAGCAACAAAATCTAGATCAGGAGAACATCTGCTATTACACCCTGCACACAAAAGTAGCTACAACTTGAGATAGGTACTTGAGTGATGAATAGGCAGAAACTTTAAGAAATCTAGCCAGGGAGAAACAGGACACACTATAGGTTAGGAAAGACCCAAGTATTGAAATAGATGGAGAAAAAAAAAAACAAAACAATGCCCACTTTCCCTTGCTTACATATTTCTCCCTCTATATTGCTCTCATTAGACTGTTATTTACATGTGACACACATTTAAATAACAAGTTTCTATAGGAGGAAAATTCTTTTTAACTCATGAGAACAGAGCACACTGGATTTGCATGGTTACAAAATTTCTCCACCATGCTTTTTG
Organism: Homo sapiens; assembly: GCF_000001405.40. NCBI lineage: Eukaryota > Metazoa > Chordata > Mammalia > Primates > Hominidae > Homo > Homo sapiens. The sequence continues at coordinate 41,074,305 of NC_000020.11, read as the reverse complement.
TTCTTGGAATCAATATGATGTTCCTCTAACTCAATGTGTTCTCATAATCTGTGTTTTTTACCAAAATGCAATGTTTTATTTAAAAATGTATCCCTTCCTTACTTTGTTTAAAAAAAAAAAAGTCTTCCAATTGCATTAGCACTCCTATTATCTGTTCTCATTAACTTCGCCAAGCTTTAGAATGAATGGTCAAAGAGCAAGGTTGCTGAGATTATAATTGATTCTTCAGGAGTTAATGTATAGGTAATCACAGGCACTTGGTTTTTATACTACCAGCAAAATGTTTGAGCTTACCATTCCATTATAAAACCATGGTAGTTTTGTTTTATTAAGCATCAACTGTAAGAGGGTATACAGTCATCTATACAAGGTTTTGCCTAAAAGCAAAACATCTGGGAACAATTGCATCTATAATATTGATGGATGAATATACTGCCTCCCCCTGCCCTGCCAACTATAGTGGGGGAGGGGATGGCAAAACAAAATTCTACTTTCTAAGCAAGCATTGTACTTGGTATTTTCACATACATTATTTCACTCAATTCTCACAACACTCCTGTGAGGCAGGTTTTATTATCTATCCCCTCATGCTGATACAAACAGGAGACAATGGTTAAAAGACTTCTCAAAGTTGCAATGTTAAAAGAAAAGCTGGGATTTAAACTTAGTATTTCCACCTCCAAGTTCAGAGCAGCCTCCACTACATATCAATACCCTTATATTTCCACTAAATTGATACCTACTGCTTAAGGTATACTGGTGTTAAGAAACAGCCATGGTGAGTCTGAGACTTGCTATAAGGTCCTAGCTTTATTTTACCATCGAGGAGAAACTTTCTAGAATAAAGATGTTTGGATACCTGAAAGGATAAAAACCTTTGGGGTTGCTTGTTTCTTTTCTTTTCTTTTCTTTCTTTCTTTTTTTTTTTTTTCATTGTCTTCCCATGAAACTATAAATGGCTAATTCAGGAATCTGAATTCAGGAACACTCCATCTTCCTTTAAGTTCCACCTTCCCCTGACCCGTTCTCTTTCTCAGTGAAAGCATTTCTTAGAATGTTAGCCATTTTCACTAGAAAACTGGCTTTCTGAGCCTTTTGGCAATCACAACATAGGTACCTACAAGTGTACATGTAGCCCTGCGGTTTTCAGCTTTGCTGTACATTATCACACCAAACAGAGATCAGGGAAAAGGAATCAACAAATGACAAGGCAAATGAGACATTTGCCAGGAAGCCAAAAGTCAACGATATTTCCTCTGCCTGCTAACCAGAAAGAGATGTATATAGGAAATTCAAAGTTCCTGCTAGAGTAGTAAACCCCTTTGTAGGTCACAATTAATCACAAAAACCAGAATGGGATGAAGCTATCATCCTGACTTTCCAAAGGAAGCCAAGTCTCCTCTACTCCTAACTGTTTAGGCATAAGAGCAGATTTGCATTTTTATACTAGCTGAATACAGATGATTGAGGGTTAAGGACAGCTTCTATTACAGGGCATTACATTGGAGACTGTTAGAAATTTGGGTTTATAGAGCTCCACCAGGCTTCTGAATACAATGTGATCATCCCTACTTGTCAGGTGCTGTTACCGTCCCTGCCTCCACAAATGGAGAGCAGAGTGCCTGGAGCCCAACCTGGCATCCATAACCCCCAAACCGGCAGGAGTGCTGGCAAAGAGCAAACCCCACTGCCAATCTTTCCTAGGAATGTGCCTGAAGGAAGTAGCAAAGGCGCTGGGGAACAAGTCCTATGATACAGAAGCATGTCCAGGGCTGTGCCAGGAAAGTCAGAAACAGGATTTGGCCAGCATATAAAATGGAGTCAATGTGGGGTCAGTCAGGCTGACTCATCCATTTGAGATTTTCTAACATGTATGTCTTTTTCCAAAAGGCTTAGGATATGTTTGACTTTCATGGTAGCTAAAGAACTGTACTTTCCTCATTAACAGTGAAATGATGGAAATTCTGACCAATGCAGAAAGTTCATTTGCTGGCTGCCTGTTTTAAGAGATACTGTATTATCTTCATACTGATCCTGCTACTTTTCCATACACAATAGACACAATATGTCAAAGTCACAAAAGGGCTTTAAAAGTACAATTGTAGGCTATAATATTAGCCAGGTTAGAGGCTGAAAAACAGATGATTAATTACTGAAGAAACTTCAGTAGGGCTAAATTAGAAAAATGCTAGATACCCTGAAAGGATAAAAACCTTCAGGGTTGCCTTTTTTGTCTCCCCATTTTGTCTTCTAAGAGTAGAAGAAAGGCTTAATATCAACCATAGGAAGGAAACCAAAGGTTGGACAAACATATTTTAAGAGTAAGTTTAGTCTGGGATATGCTGAAGGACAAAAATACAGACAGTAGCAGTCCTAGAACTTCTGCAATGGTCACACTTATGGATGAAATATGAATTTACCCCATGGGCATGAGGAACTCTGAACGAGAAAACAACCAATTATTGGCTAGGCATAGATGCTGACTTCTTGGTTCATAGTTTGCATCTGTATGGGGTAAGATTCCAACACACTAGCAGGGACTAGAAAGCAAAAGTCAGCGCTAAAGAGAACAAATGGAAAGATCCAAAGCCACCTTTCCAGAGTGTTCATGCCATGTGTTATGCTTCAATTGGCTGAATTCCACTAAAGAAAAAATAATCTGGCTGGGCGTGGTGGCTCATGCCTGTAATCCTAGCACTTCAGGAGGCCGAGGCGGGCAGATCACCTGAGGTCAGGAGTTCGAGACCAGCCTGGGCAACACAGTGAAACCCCATTTCTACTAAAAATACAAAAATTAGCTGGGCGTGGTGGCACATGCCTGTAATCCCAGCTACTGGGGAGGCTGAGGCAGGAGAATCACTTGAACCAGGGAGACAGAGGCTGCAGTGAGCCGAGATCACGCCACTGCACTCCAGCCTGGCGATAGACTGAGGCTCCATCTCAAAAAAAAAAAAATTTAAAAAAAGGAAAGAAAAAAATAACTTACACTATTTTTAAAGTGATGACAGCAAAACCTTTGGTCTATGATTCTTGTTGGAGCTAAGCAGACCACAGAAAAGGGTGACCAGAGTTTCTCTAAGGCACTTATATAGAAGAGTGGGAGAAACGGTGGAAGTAGGGAGCCAGTAGGGAACAATGTCTCCCTTCTGGCGAAGCACTGTTTCTTTAGGAAAAAAGACCACCGCTACCACAACAAAATACTGATATTCTGGAAAGCTAGAATGTTGGCTATGGGAAACCATTTAAATCTGTCCTCTATCCCCCATAAAAGTATTTAACAGATACTTGAGTAGCACCCAGTGCCAAGCACTCATCTAAGCACATTTGATATCGGTAACAAAACTCAGGTAACTACTGGTATCTTCATTTCACAGATGTGGAAACTGAAGCACAGACAAGTTAAGTAACTCACCCAAGGAACTACCTCTAAAGAGAGAAACAGGATTTAAACTCAGGCAGTCTGGCTCCAGGGTCATGCACTTGACTACTCTGTTACTTCCCAAACAAAGCAAAAAAGCACTGTTAAAGGTAGAAGGAGCCTCCACATATTCTGAGAAAAGGACTTAGCCACTAACAGCCCAGCTACCTGTCTACTCCTCAAGGCAGCAGACCTCTGCAGGTCACATGAAGTTGGATCATGGGGATTCCTGTGAGACAGCACAGAGAGCTTCAAAGTCTTGGTTTAGGAGGGAAACTCATGACCCTTTCAAGGATAGTAGACAGTTAAATCTTAAATGATATTTGTTAAATTAAATATTTAAGTAACTTCAAAAGTTGCCTCTGGGAAAAGAGCGCAGCTTCTGAAATGAGCCAGTTTCCAAAAGGCACTAAGAAACAAGGGTTCCTTAATGTCCATCATCATTACACACTACAATGCCGATTATATATCTCTAAACAAAATCACAAGGACTCCGGCGTTTTATATTATAGAAGTATCAAAACTTCAAGGTAAATGTAATTTCCTAGAAATTATTTAATCCTTTGTTTTCAGGCCAGAGAGGATAAAAGGATGTGCCCAAAGATGGCAAAACCGATACCCATTCTAACTCCCATTCCTCCCTTAAGTTCTTTGTCTCTATTAATAGCGTGAACAGCCACCCAGTTATCCAAGACAGGAACCCTTTTTCTTAGACCCTTCATGTCATTTGTAGCTAAGTCTTATATCCACTTTGCTCAAGTATTTCCAGTGGCTTCTTGCTCAGCTCAGAATCGAGTCCCAACATTTCCCCCCGATTTTTAGTTAGTGTAAGTAACAAGTTCCAACTTTTTGAAATGGCATTTAATAGTTTTGCCTCAAGCCACTTTTTTGGGTCTCATTTTCTACTATTCCACCCTGTGTAACCCACCTAACTAGATTCCTCCCAGAACAAAGCATATACTACAATGCCTCTATGTTTTGCTTATGTTTTTCTTTCTAACCATTACTTTCCGTTAGCAAAATTTTAACCATCTTTGAATGGCTAGCTCAAATGCTGTCTCCACCATGAAATCTTAAAAACAATGATTATGGCGTACTATGATAGGGATAAATATAATATTGAAAATATCAGGGCTCCAAATTGAATGCTATCAATAACTACTGAATTAGATTCAACTACCAAACTCAAGAGCTCCAATTTATCTGCATGATATTATACTAGGCTTTGCGGTAATTATCATCATCACCATCATTATCTCAATTATTTAGTATGTTACAGTTCCCAAAGAGCTGTCATGTGCATAAACAAACTTGAAAGATTGATAAAGCAGGTACTGTTATCAACCCTTGACCAAAACAGAAAATGAGACCCAGAGAAGTTAAGCACCTTGGATCACGACACGTAGCTTATAAATGACAGAACCCAGCCTCTTAACTTTTATCTTAGTGTGCTATTCAATATATCATACTGACTCCCATGTGAATGGTGGTGGTACTGAGTTTCCTCATTTCCAAACTGTTCAATCTTCTCTGCCTACCCATGTTAGTTGTCCATTTCCCACAGACAGGATGATATAGTGATGTGTAGACAAAGGGAGGGCTTTGGCAAACCACTCACAAGGAAAGCAGCAAACATATCTTTTAAATTTTATTAATTTCAGAAAAATCTCCCCTAATCTGAGAACTAGATGCGTAATTCAAGTGCATATTCCTAAAATCCTACATTCTCTCAATTACAATTCAGGTAGGATTTGGAACTAAAAGGAAAGCAGAAGCCAAAAGCATCCTTATTCTCAGATGTTTCTCACACTGACAGTACAGAATAGCACTGCCAATATGGCTGGAAAAGTACTTCCCTTGCTATTTTACAGCAGTTTTCTGTCTTCCCTTGCTTTCCACAAATTTGTCACTCCAGTGTGAATGCCAGGTTTAAAATTGGCAAGAGATGCACAGAGTCGAAAACTAGGAGGAATTTCATTTCACACGATTCTCTTATTTTCTAAAATCAAGCCCCCCTCCCAAATTGCTTTTAATAATATTCTGTTTATACAAGAGATCTACTATTAAAGATAAACAATGGATAAGAATGTAACCCTTTAAGAAAGGTAGCTCGTGAGATCCTACAAGCTACGTAATTCCTTGGCATCTAGAAGAGTATTCCTTTTGAGATTATTTATGTATTTTTTAAAAGAGGGCCGGCCATGGTGGCTCATGCCTGTAACCCCAACACTATGGGATGCCAATGTGGGAGCCCAGAAGTTCCAGACCACCCTGGGCAACATAGCAAGACCGCCATCTCTATTAAAAACAAAAAAGTTAATTAACCAAGCATGGTGGTGCATGCCTATTGTCCCAGCTATTCAAGAGGCTGAGGTGGGAGGACCCCTTGGGCCCAGGGAGGCTGCAGTGAGCTATAATCACACCACCGCGCCCAAGCTTAGCAGTCAATGAGACCCTGACTCCAAAAAAAAAGAAAAAGGATCTGAGGAGCAAAATATTAACGCTAACAGAAAGAAGCAGTGTCAAGAGATAAGTGATGACTGATGAAATTATCTTCTAACTTTGGTGTGAGCTGTTCTTGTCATGTTACAGGCCAGACAAGAGAAAGACAGAGATGAAGTTTTCATAGGTTCAGAATTTGATGACATTAATACTTTCAGTGCCAAAGATTTCAGGGATTTGGGGACAAAGAGAGATAAAGGCAGTGCCTGAGGTGATCTGACATTTTTAAACCTGAGCTGCCTACCATATGCATACAAGTAAGGGGTGCTTGTATTTAAACAGACAGTTTAGCTACAAAACTAACTCTTTTTACACAGGGAGGTATTTTTCACTGGAAGGAATAATGTAGTGGGGACTCAGGATCCTTGGTCTCACATCCTCTTCTTTCTGCTACCACATCACTGTGGGACTTAGAGCATGTGACCTCAGACTCCTGTCCACACAAAGAGAAGACAAGATGAAATGATTCTTAATACCTACTCCCTTGTTTTGCACCTTGCATGAGGACAATAAAGAGGAAACCAAATGGCATCTTCTGGGATGTGGATCCATAGCCCCATTTTGTTTCTGCACATAATGGCTACTCTCCCACTCCAAGTCTGCAGTATTGCTACTGCACAGGACAGTAAATGCCTCCTGGGCTTGGGTCCTAAGTATAGCCTGATGACAAATGATTGGTGCTAATATCTAGCAGAGAAGGAAGGGACACAGAAACACATCTGAAACACTTGTTTTCTCCTAACAAATGGCCACAAAATTAGCTACAATTGATTAGCAAGGATTGGAATAAATGAAAGCATTTTGGAACAGAACATGCTAAATACTAATTATTCTGGGGTTCAGATGTGATTAAATAATCCCCCAGATTTCTTTAATCTGCTACAGAAGAAATCGAAGAAACCCTAAACTATTTAAAAAGATCAGAGGTACTTTAAAAGGATCACAGTGTATATAAAATTTTACTGGAGGCCGGGTGTGGTGGCTCAAGCCTGTAATCCCAGCACCTTGGGAGGCTGAGGCAGGAGGATCACAAGGCCAGGAGTTCGAGACCAGCCTGGCCAATATGGTGAAACCTCGTCTCTACCAAAAATACAAAAATTAGCTCGGCGTGGTGGCAGGCGCCTGTAAGTCCCAGCTACTCGGGAGGCTGAGGCAGGAGAATCGCTTGAACCCAGGAGGCAGAGGTTGCAGTGAGCCGAGATCACACCACTGCACTCCAGCCTGGGTGACAAAGTGAGACTCCATCTCAAAAAAAATAATAAAATAATTTTACTGGAATATAACCAATATCCTTGCTTTGTTGCAAAGAGGTACTGTGTCAGTAGACATCAAAACAAGAAGTACTTAAAAGTTTGCTTACAACAGATCATCTGATTAAACTGTTAAAATTTACTCATGTGAATAAGAAACCAAGGGCTAGATTTAGTCATGTCATATGTAAACAGAAACTCGGGCCAGGTTTTTCCAATAGCTCTTGGCAAAAAGGCTTCTATTTTTATAGGAATGAAGAAAATATTAAAAGGCACAGAAGTGGCCAGGCGCGGTGGCTCACGCCTGTAATCCCAAGACTTTGGGAGGCCGAGGCAGGTGGATCACGAGGTCAGGAGATTGAGACCATCCTGGTTAACACAGTAAAACCCCGTCTCTACTAAAAATATAAAAAATTAGCGGGGCATGGTGGCGGGCACCTGTAGTCCCAGCTACTCGGGAGGCTGAGGCAGGAGAATGGCATGAACCCGGGAGGCGGAGGATGCAGTGAGCCGAGATTGTGTCACTGCACTCCAGCCTGGGCGACAGAGCAAGACTGTCTCAAAAAAAAAAAAAAAAAGAAAAGAAAAGAGGCACAAAAGTACATACAACAAATTATTGAATTTACCTACAATATGATCTTGGAAAAGTATGCTTTTAAATAGATGTAAAAGTGTCATCTCTGCACATCTGTAGAGCAGTTCACAACTGAAGAGCTTCTATATTTATTGACTCCCATGGTTCCCCTGTGAAGCATGTATCAAGATGAAGATGAAGAAACTGAGTTGAAGAAGGTTAAGTAACCTAGCCAAGATCACGAGACTTAAATGGATGTACAAGGATGAGGATTTCTTCTAAAAAAATCACATCCCTTTTTTTTTTTTAAGAGAAGATTTTTGTAAAACAGGACAGGGCCAAACTTATATGTCTCAAAGCCCTTTATGTCACTTTTACTGTATCTTTCCTCCCAAAACAAAGTAGAATGTGTTAGAGAAGATAAGTTTTCAAAAGCTTATGTTTTAAATATTAACCTCTTTCTTCTTAAAGTCTTTTGGAATTTCTTCTTACAGCCTAGTAATATAAAAATCAACATTCTTCATCTGATCTGTAAGCAGGTCTCTCACCTCCTCAGATGATACTGTTCACGGTCAAAGGTTATCTAATTTTTTTTTTCACACCACATCAATTAGCACAGTAAAAACATAGCAGGCAGCCACCCATTGTTGGACATGATCTAGCAATTCTACTCCTAGGTATACACCCCGGAGAATGAAAGTGGAACTCAAACATGTATTTGTAGCCAAAGGGTGGAAACAACCCAAGTGTCCATCAACAGATGGATTTTTTTAAATGTGATTACAGGCATACAATGGAATATAATTCAGTCATAAAAAAGAATGAATTTCTGATACGCTACAATACGGATAAACCTTGAAAACATATTAAGGGAATATAGAACAGATTTAAAAAAGATAAATATTGTATTATTCCACTTATATGAAGTACTTAGAATAGGCAAATTCATAAAGATAAAAGGTAGAAGGGAAAGAGAAAAAAAGACAAAGTAGAAAGATATTGGGACAGGGGAACAGAATGAAAAGTTATTATTTAGTGAATTCAAAGACTGGGATGATGAAAAGTTCTGGAGATAGTGGTGACAGTTGCATACTATTGTCAATGTACTAAATGCTACTTTAAAACAGTAAATTTTGTTATGTTTATTTTACCACACACAATTGTGTGAAAAATGAGATAAGCCAAAGTGACTTAATAACTATCCTATAGAAGATTAAGAGTACGTGAGAAGAAAGAGAGATGGGAATTAATGTACCCATAGATCATCCACTCATTAATTCAATAAATATAGACTAGTAAGTGCCAGCTATCTGCCAGGTACCATACTAAGCCTGAAGGATGCAAAATGAATACAAAAGGCTGGGCGTGGTGGCTCACACCTGTAATCCTAGCACTTTGGGAGGCCAAGGTGGGCAGATCACTTGAGGTCAGGAGTTTGAGACCAGCCTAGTCAACATGGTGAAACCCTGTCTCTACTAAAAATACAAAAAATTAGCTGGGTGTCGGGGCACGCACCTTAATCCCAGCTACTTGGGAGGCAGAGGCAGGAGAATCACTTGAACCTGGGAGGTGGAGATAGCAGTGAGCTGAGATGGCACCACTGCACTCCAGCCTGGGCAACAGAGTAAGACTCCGTCTCAAAAAACAAACAAACAAACAAACAAAAAACCAGCCCCCCGCCCCACCCCAGAAAAAACAAAAAAGATCCCAATTCTGCTTTCAGGGACTTTAGAGTCCAGGAGGCCATAGGGAAAAGTAAAGACACAATTAAATATAATAATTATTACACTAGGAATATATTCAAGGCACCAGAGAGCACACAAAAGTGGCATTTAATATGAGAAGGAGGGTAGAAAGGATACCTGGAACAAGTCAAGTCTGAGCTGCAACTAAAAGAATGACAGCAAAGGGGCAAGAGAGTATTACAGAACCAACAGCATGTTTAAAGGCTTAGCGGCATCAGAAAACATGCTATGTTTAAGGAACTGAAAAGAAGTTCACAAGACCAAATATGGAATGTGAAATAAGGATAAACAGCAAAACAGGTAGCAGAGAAAAGACAGCCAAAAACTGTTAAGGAATGACTGTGCATTAGAAAGAGGTGAAAAAGGTGGCCAGAAAGATGGAGAGGCATGGAAGCATTAAAGCCAAAGAAGATGGTTTAAGGAGAGTGGGGTCCAAAGTATGAGCTATTTTGGCACATTTCGTGTGCACTTAAAAAGAATGTATTCTAACATCATGGTAATGGTACAGAAACACTAACAGCATGGTAATGGTACAAAAACAGACACATAGACCAAATGGAACAGAACAGAGAACCCAGAAATAAAACCACACACCGACAGCAATCTAATCTTCAAGAAAGTCAACCAAAATAAGCAATGGGGAAAAGACTCCCTATTCAATAAATGATGCTAGGATAACTGGCTAGCCATACGCAGAAAACTGAAACTGGACCCCTTCCTTACACCACATACAAAAATCAATTCAAGATGAATCAAATACTTAAATGTAAAACTTAAAACTGTTAAAAACCCTAGACGACAACCTAGGCAATACCATTCTGGACATAGGAACGAGCAAAGATTTCATAGCAAAGATGCCAAAAGCAATTGCAGCAAAAGCAAAAATTGACAAATGGGATCTAATTAAACTATCAACAGAGTTAACAGACAACTTACAGAATGGGAGAAAATATTCACTAACTATGCGTCTAACAGGTATAATATCCAGAATCTATAAGGAACCTAAATGATTCAACAAGCAAAAAACAAGTAACCCCATTAAAAAACAAGCAAAAGACATGAACAGACATTTCTCAAAAGATGACATACAAATGGCCAACAAATGTATGAAAAAATGCTCCACGTCCCTAATCATCAGAGAAATGCAAATCAAAACCACAATGAGATATCATCTCACACCAGCCACAATGGCTATTAAAAATCAAAAACCAGCAGATGGCTCACAAGGCTGCAGAAAAAAGGGAACACTTATACACTGTTGATGAGAATGTAAATTAGTCCAGCCACTAGGGAAAGCAGTTTGGAGATTTCTCAAAGAACTTAAAAAAACAACTACCTTCTGATCCAGCAATCCCATTACTTGGTATGTATCCAAAAGAAAACAAATCATTTTACTAAAAAGACACATGTACACACATGTTCACTGCAGCTCTGTTCTCAATAGGGAAGACATGGAATCAACCTAGGTACCCAGCAATGATGGATTGGATAAAGAAAATGTTGTACATATCTACCACGGAATACTATACGGTCATAAAAAAAGAACTGAATCATGTCCTTTGTAGCAACATGGATGCAACTGGAGGCTATTATCCTGAGCAAATTAAGGCAAGAACAGAATACCAAATACCACATGGTCTCATTTTTAAGCAGGAGCTAAACATCGGGTGCTCATGGACATAAAGATGGCAATAATAGACACTGGAGACTACTAGAGCAGAGAGGGCGGTAAGGGTTGAAAAACTAATTGTTGGGTTCTATGCTCAGTACCTGGGTGACAGGATCATTTGTACCCAAACCTCAGCATCACAGCTATATACCCAGGTAACAAAGTTGCCTATATGTACCCACTGAATCTAAAATAAAACCTGAAAAAAATTAAAAGCGGAAAAGTAGACAGAAAGAAAAGAGAAAATTCTAATATTGTTGGATGGGAAAAACCTATAAATGTCGATTAGATCAAGTTGGTTGATACTGTTCAAGTCTTCCATATCCTTAATTATTTTCTATTTGGACTAAAAATTATTGAGAAAGATAGTAAAATCTCTGACCATAATTATGAATGTTTATTTCTCTTTGCAGCTCTATCAGATTTACTTCATGTATTTTGAGGCTGTGACGTTAGTGGATAAACATTTATAACTGCTATGTTCTCCTAATGGGTCCCTTTTATCATTATGCAATGAACTTCTTTATCCTTGGCAATATTCTTTGCTGTACGGTAGATATTAACATAAGCTAGACAACTATAAACTAGAAAAGATGTAGAGTAGATTCAACTACTGAGATTAAATTTACCAGAATAATGAAAATGGAAACTAGATGATCAAGTGATAAGAGATAAGTGAGGGATAGGGAAAAAAGGCCACAGGCATGATACATGATTCCCAAAGAAATGTCCCCAATAGAGAAAATTAAATCTGGTTATTTTAATGATTCGCGAAAAAGAACAGACTTAGAAAGCAATTCTCACTTTAACTTGTCTACAGACAATCAGACAAGTTAATAAAGAAGTTCTAAGAACTCTACAATGGAGACACTTGTTCTAATGTGTGACAGATCTTTACATTCCCTAACCTAGCTCAGGCCACTATGGGAATGGGAATACCATATGGCTTTCTCACCAACAACTGTCTTTAAATCAGAATGGAAGTACAAGTCCTCATTTTCAATAACTAGATTTAACCACTTGCCTCCTACACCAAAAAAATGGGAGCAAAATGAACAAAAGAAACATCTTCTTGAGGCTTGCATCCCAAAAGGCAGCACTATTGAGTTTCATTCATATTGGTGATTGTAGGCTTTTGTGGGAGCCGAACTCCTCTGATAACATGATGAAAGCTACAAATAGTCTCTCCAGGAAATCTCATATACTCAACCATTTGCATATAATTTCAGGGGCTAACAGACCATGGAAGCCCAAGTTAAGAATTTTTAATGTAAACTCTTTAAAATATAGAAAGAAGAAAAAAAATCAGGTCTCCAATCCAGTTACCTTTTATCAAGGCAAGCTTGCTACAGACTTGATTAAATGCCATCATGTGTCACAATGAATCCTTACCTATCTTAGTGAACAACTGTATTTTTAATGAGGTATATATTAAAAGAAAATTAAACATACTTGCTTTATACATCTTGATCTGAACAATGGCATCCCATTTAAGGCCTAAATCATGGCCATCCTCATAGCAACTCTAGGATCAAATACAGTTTCTACTTACTTTGCTATCTTTACATGTAGCTCAAGTTAAGACCTATTCCAGGTAAGCCAAGCAATGGCCAACCCACTGCTGAATGATGAGGGACTTGCTTGATTCCACCCTTACCTGTTGCTATGCTTGGACTTTTCCCGGTCCTTCTCCTTCTTGTGTTCTTTGTGCCGGTGTTCTCGATCTTTGTGTTTATCTTTGTGTTTATGAGAATCTGCAACCATAAGAGATGAGTCAGTTAACAGGAGTCATGAGCTATCTTCTGTATGCCTACCTTGACAAGCTGGTCAAGAAGTACAATGACAGGATTCAAATGGCATGGTAGGCATAATAGCACATGCCACTGAAAAAAAAAGCTTTCACAAAGAAGCCCAGACAAAGCTCCCATTAGCCTGCTTCTACAATCAAGACAAGTTACTAATATGGGGAGGATAAGGAAATGAGAGCCAATTATTCTGTGGAAAGAAGCCACAGTTTGGCGTTTTTCTCCCTAGACATAATACTATTAAGCCTGACCTATAAATGATAACAAAGGGATAGTATTGAACACTGACTCTAAAGATCAGATGTTATAACTTCTGAAAAATCCAAACCTCAACAGATGTTTTTAAATGAATGTTAATAAGGTGTAATGTCTAAACAATAAAATACAATCAGCCCTCCATATCTACAGGTTCAGCACCATAGATTCAACCATTTGCAGACTGAAAATATTCAAGGAAAAATAAAAATAGTAATAACAATACAACCAAAAAAATACAAATCCCCCCACAATATAACAACTATTTATATAGTTACACTGTATTAGGTAATCTAAGTAATGTGGTGGTGAGTTAAAGTATATATAAGGATTGTGTAGGTTATATGCAAATACTGTGCCATTTTATATACAAAAAAACTTGAACATCTGCAAATTTTGGTATACTAGGGACAGGGGGTGGGGTGGTCCTGGAACCAATCCCCTACAAATATTAAGAAATAACTGTAATAATAAACATTTCAAAGACACCCACAGGTGCAATCCCCACTACAATAAAGATTTAGAACAAGTCCATCATCTCAGAAAGTTTCCCTCGTGCTCCTTCCCAGTCATTCCCCATCTTCCACCCCTTGCCCAAAGGAAGCACTGATCTGATCGTGCTGTATATTAGATTTGTCTAGATTTCTAGATTTCATGTAAATAACATCATATAGGATTTATTCTTTTTGTGTCTGATGTCTTTCTCTCAGCATAACATTTGTGACATTCATCCACATTGTTGGATATATCAGTTGTTGGTTCCATTTTATTGCTGAGTGGTGTTACATTGTGTGGATATACTGTAACTTACCCATTCACCTGCTGGACAATTTAGTTGTTTCCAGGCATTGGTTATTATTTATCTGCTACAAACATTCATATACAAATATTTCTATAGACATGTTTTCATTTCTCTTGGGTACATACTTAGGAGAAAAGTTACTGGGTAATATAAAAAATGTATGTTTAACTTTACAGGAAATTGCCAAATTGTACCATTGTATATCTCCATCAAAAATTCATTAGCATTCCAATTGCTACAAATTTTCACCAATATCTGCTATCAGTCTTTAATTTTAGCCATTCTAGCACGTGTGGAGTGGTACCTCACTGTGGTTTCAATTCACATATTTCTGATGATTAAATGATGTTTAATGACAAGCATCTTTTGGTGTGCTTGTTGGCCTCTCATATACCTTCTTTGGTGAAGTATCTGCTCAAATCTTTCTTGGTCTTCTTACTACCTAGTTGTAAGAGCTCTTTATACATTCTGGATTACCAATTTTTTGTTAGCTATACGAACTGTGAATATTTTCTCCCCATCATTTTCTTGTTTTTATTTCTTAATGGTGTCTTTCAAAGAGCAAAAGTTTTAAATTTTGATCAAGTCCACTTCATCAATTTTCTCTTTTAGGGTCTGTATGTTTTGTGCCCCAAGATATCGTTGCCTACTCAAGGGCTACACAGATTTTCTCTCTCTCTCTTTTGCAGGGAAAGGCAGGGAAAGAGTCTCATTTTCTTATATCACGATGTTACGCAGGCTCCTCTCGAACTCCTGGGCTCAAGCAATCCTCCTGCCACAGCCCTTGGAATGGCTGGGATTACAAGGGCATATCACCACCACCACCTTATTTATTTATTTATTTATTTATTTATTTATTTATTTATTTATTTATTTTCTAGCAGTTTTGCAGAGTTAAGGGCCAGTGTTCATTTTTTTCTAATCAATAAAGACGTCAAGTTGTTCTAACACCATTTTTTTTTAACTTTTAAGTTCAGGGGTATATGTGCAGGTTTGTTATATAGGTAAACTCGTGTCATGGAGGTTTGTTGTACAGATTATTTCATCACCCAGGAATTAAGCCTAGTACCCACTAATTATGTTTCCTGATTTTCTCCCTCCTCTCACCCTCCACCCTCCAAAAGGCCCCTGTATCTGCTGTTCCCCTACATGTGTCCATGTGTTCTCATCATTTAGCTCCCACTTATAAGTGAGAACATGCAATACTTGGTTTTCTGTTCCTCTGTTACGTTTGCTAAGGGTAATGGCCTCTAGTTCCATCCATGTTCCTGCAAAGGACACAATCTCGTTCTTCTTATGGCTGCACAGTATTCCGTGGTGTACATGCGCCACATTCTTTTTTTTAATCCAGTCTACCATTAATGAAAATTGAGGTTGATTCCATGTTTCTGCTACTGTGAATAGCCTAGCATTATTTTTTAAAAGATGGCCCTTTCCCCATTAAATTGTCTTGGCGTTTTCGAGCGGTCATATAATTATAGGTCTATTTCCGGACCCTCTATTCTAACCTTACACAAACACAATCTTGACTATAAGATTGTTTGTTACTCCGCTTTTCAAGAGGTATAGCCTAATTCCCCTCCCCTTGAGTGTGGGCTGGACACTGTGACTCACTCCTAACAAACAAGATGAAGTGGAATTGTGAGGGGGCAACTTCCGACACTAGGCCATAAAAGGTATTAGATCTTCCTTCCTGCTCTCTCCTTGCTCTGGGGGAGGCCAGTGACACACTGTCATGTACTCACTCAGAAGCCCTCTGGAAAGGCCCATGTAGTAAGAAACTTAAGCTTCCTGCCAATTAGCCATGTGAATGAGCCATCCTGGAAGTGGACCTTCTAGCCTAAATTAAGTTTTCAAATGACTGCAGCCCTGGCTGACATACTGACTGCAATCTACAGATGGTAAGCCAAAGCCACCCAGATAAACTATGTCTGGATTCCTGACTCACAGGAACTACATGAGAAAATAAGTGTCTGTTGTTTTAAGCTATTATATTTTGAGGCAACATGTTTTATAGCAATCAATTAATAATGCATAGGCAATGTGTCTTCATCCCATGACTGGCTCACAGCAAAAGAAGCCACATGTGTCATAATCTGCTGAGCATCTATTCTGTGTCAGGCCCTGGGAAAATAGAAATCTGCATGACCGTAGTACTAACTGTAAGAAATTCCCATCCTACAGAGATGGGAAAAATAATATCATATGGTGTCAGAAGTAGGATTTGAACTCAATCTTCCATGCAGCATACAGAACCCTTCAGCTTCTTCTAAAAACCTCGAGTCTATAATTTTAAAATGCTAAGTTGATTCCCACAAGGTTAGTGGCCCCAGTTTACTTGACAGCAATATCCCACTACTTCTGCCTCAAACCAAACACTTATGGCTAAAATCATAATAATGACAATACATGTAATAGCACCACAATCTGGAATAAAGCATGTGTGTCAATTAATTTTGTTTGCAGGCCAGATGCAATAAACAAGCTTCAGAACATCAAGATCTGCTAATACAGCCCTAGAGTATGGAAAGGACATCACATTAAAAAAAACTACTCTGTGTATAATTCAACAAACGCATAAATACATATGAAGAAGACTGGAATACAGACATCAAAATATTAAAAGCAGTTATCTTAGGGTAGTCAATTTATGAGTAACTTGAGTTTTTGTGCATATACTTCATCTTGTTTTCTAGTTTTCCCCACAATTACTTTTATAGTAAAAAATGGACCAAGCTTTAAAAATTTATCTTGACAAATACTAGTGTACATAGGAAAATTTGCTTAAATCACTAAAAAGCTCTAAACTTAAAAAGGAAATTAAGTAAAGGATAAATTGAAAGTAATTCCAGGCAGGTTTCAGATAACAGTCTGCCAATAACTTTTTTTTTTTTATTTTTTTTGGAGACAGAGTCTCACTCTGTCACCCAGGCTGGAGTGCAGTGGTGTGATCTCGGCTCACTGCAACCTCAGCCTCCCGGGTTCAAGCAATTCTCCTGCCTCAGCCTCCTGAGTAGCTGAGACTACAGGTGCACTCTGTCACCCAGGCTGGAGTGCAGTGGTGTGATCTCGGCTCACTGCAACCTCAGCCTCCCGGGTTCAAGCAATTCTCCTGCCTCAGCCTCCCGAGTAGCTGAGACTACAGGTGCATGCCGCCATGCCCGGCTAATTTTTTGTATTTTAGTAGAGATGGGGTTTCACCGTGTTGCCGAGGCTGGTCTCGAACTCCTGAGCTCAGGCAATCCATCTGCCTCAGCCTCCCAAAGTCTGGTGCTGGGATCACAGGCGTGAGCCACTGCGCCCGGCCACATTTTTTTTTTAATGCACAAAATTTCAAAATTGATTTTAAGCCAGGTCCCCAAGTTTTTTAAAGCAACTGCTGTCTAAAAATGCAAATCAAAAATGTCTGGTGAGAAACTCGGGGCTGTGGCTCATTAATCTCATTGATACAAATAAGACCTAGGTCAAAGATCTGAACCCCAAGTATTCCTATTTTAAAGGAATGGCTGAGCACGGTGGCTCATGTTTACAATCCCAACACTTTGGGAGGCCAAGGTGGGAGGCTTACTTGAGGCCAGGAGTTTGAGACCAGCCTGGGCAACATAGCAAGACCTTGTCTCTACGAAAACTGTTTAAAAAATTAATTGGGCATCTTGGTGCACCTGTAATACTGGCTGCTCTGAGGGTGAGGTGGGAAGACTGCTTGGGCACAGGAGTTCAAGGATGGAGCTATGATTACATCACCACACTCCACTTGGGCTACAGAGCAAGACCCTCTCTCTAAAACACAAATAAAAGTTATTACATGTGCTATGTGTGCTGTGAAAGGTGTGTCAAAAAGTGTATTACATGGCAACTTCTTCAAATATCTTAATGACTATTATATTGTATTATATAAATTTACTCAGTAAATTTGTAATTTCTGAGTAAATATAAATTTATATTACTGCTGAGAAATGATAGGGAGGCAAATTGAGGTCAGTACAAAAGAACTAACCACTAAAAGAATGGGATGCCTTCTGAACGCCAAAAGCATTTAAACAAACTAAATAACCAACTGAAAGGGAAACTGTAGAGATATTCTGCAGTAGGTAAACTGACAGATTAAAGAATCTCTAAAGATGAATACTGAAGTACTTCCATGTAAGCGATGCCTGGAATTTGCTTATAATACTCTCTGGTGGTGGTGGTTGGGGGAGCACCAAGGGATACGGGGATAGACAAAATTCAACTGGCAAAAGGTTGGTAATTACTGAAGCTGAGTGACAGACACATGGGAGTTCATTATATTTCTCTATGTGTATGCTTGAAACTTTTCATAAGTTAAACATTATCTTTAAGCTTCTTCCTTTCCAACCCTTCATTTTTGTGTTATTATGTGAGGGCATGGCAAGAAGACTGGCCTAGTTCCAAGAGAGGGTTTGTGTTAAGGCATAGTAAGAGATAAAAGTAAAAGCAAAATAAATAGTTAGAGGTTTCTGAAGCAATCTACAAAAAAAGTGACAGCAAAGGAACTAAGAAGGAAGGAAAAAATGTAAAAGCACATTTGGGAAAATGGAAGTAGAACCCAGTTCCAGGAACTCACTACTATGTGTAATAAATGCAGTGTAATAAAGAGTCAGAGAAAGTCTTTACGTCCAGGTGACTGGGGGAACAAGGGGCCTTGGCAAAAACAAGAAACTTGTACAGAATAAAGATGGTGAAAAATACTGGAGAAATGATGGACCAGCCTGAGCCATATTGTATCTAAGGTAACAGTGGGACATCTGACTAAAGATGTTGGTCAGAAGAGATGCCAGTAAGTGAAAAAGTAAAGCCAATAAGGGCACACAGATCTACATCCCTCGTGGTGAAAACATGTGTTTGGAGAGAACATACTGTGGCCTTGAAGATTACTTTCAGCACATACCTTTTCCCCTTAACTGGAATTCATCTACTAGTGTTATTTAAAATGTTTTAGAGGAAGGACCCTGCCACTTCAAGCACCTGTTAAGTGCAAAAAGAAATGTGTTGAATTTAACTGACAGATATGAAAGATGCAAACCAGTGCACATTAAATCATCAGAAAACCTAATTCACTGTGAATTCAGGCCAACTAATGCTTTCTAGTAACAAATATTTTAATTCCTAGTGAAAATTCTAGATGAAGACATGGGAGGAAGCCCCCTGCAATAAAGCAATCTTGATAAAACAGAAGACTTATGGCAACTAACTCCTTTCACTGTAATTTAACTGGAGTTACTCCCTAAGGACAGATAAGTTAAACAGATAGAACAGGAATCAACATCTTTTGCTATTGTTACCTAACGTATTCCCTGGGGTTTAAAAAGCTTTTAAGTAAAGAAGCTTCCGACAGACAAAAGGAAAGTGTCTCTGTCTTTTCCTACTGTAGGAATAGATGTTAGGTAGCATTACACAGGAGTTGAGGGCTAATGTGTAAAAAAAAGAAAGAAAAAAAAGAAATCCTTTTCCTACTGTTTCAGAAATATATTCTGAAGACTAATTCAATTTAAAACCAAATATATTCAAGTCCAAAGCTTCCTGCTAAAGACTCACCAGACAAGGACTCTGCCCTCAAGGAGTTTACAATCCATTAAGGTAATTAAGATATAATCTCAAGTAGCTGGCTGCCCAAGGCACACAAGAGAAAAGGGCACTAATACGGGTGCCAGCACCATGCTAGCGTGCTTTCAAACACTATCTCAACTCAAGTTTCTTACCACTCTTACGATAGAGAAATAGTCCCAGTTCACAAAAGATAATAATGGGTATCTAGGTATCTGTATTAGTCCATTCTCACGCTGCTAATAAAGACATACCCAAGACTGGGTAATTTATAAAGAGGTTTAATTGACTCACAGTTCTGCAGAGCTGGGAAGGCCTCAGGAAACTTACAATCATGGTGGAAGGGGAAGCAAACACGTCCTTCTTCAAATGATGGCAGCAAGGAGAAGTGTGAAGCAAAGTGGGGCAGGTGCGGGGGCGGGGTGGGGAAGCCCCTTATAAAACCATCGGACCTCATGAGAACTCACTATCACAAGAACAGCATGGAGGTAACTGCCCGGGTGATTCAATCACCTCCCACCGGGTCCCTCCCACAACACAGGAAGATTATGAGAGCTACAATTCAACATGAGATTTGGGTGGGGACACAGCCAAACCATATCAGTATCCTTTACTAAATGTATATTTTGTGCAAGGCAGTATTACATATATCACCTCTAAGTTTCACAACTCTGGGTGGTAACGATTTCCTCAAATCTAAGATACTTTTTGCCTCATTTTACCATCTCTGAAAATAAGGTGCATCTAGTTGGTATAACCCCCATGAAGGAAGAATTTGGCAAAATCAAACAAACTCACACACTCCCTCTTTAAACCCAGCAATCCCATGCCTAACAATTCAGCCTGAAAAAACACTCCAAGGTGTATCTAGAGAAATAAGTGGATGACAACAAAGTTAAGAGGCAGTATTTTTAATAAGTGACAGGGAAACAAAGGAGGCAGAATGTAGAATGGCAGATCAATGGAATAGCAAAAGGGTTAAGAAAAAATGTTTTAGGAAACATTTGAAACTCAAATTTTCGAACGTCAATTAACATTAAAGTAACAGTTTCTATCGCATCATAATGCTCCTGTATTTAGAAACTATACAAACTCTTTATAAAGGTAATAGACATTTTCCAAATGAAGCATGTGGGCACCATTACTTCCACATCTCTTACATGATAGCAAGATTTTCTATTTTTCTGCTGTGCTGCTATTTTTCAGTAAGCGCAGTAAGGCAGTAAGATTGCTTAATTTATGGGCATTTTGGGGGAAAAAAAGTCTAAGAGTAAAAATACTGAATCTAGGTTAACTGCCTCCTTGTTTCAAAGTGAAGAGTAATATAATGAGATAAAACAGCCCGGTTCCACCAGCGAACAAGATGAAATAAAAACCCTGGATCCAAGAGTGGCAGTTAGGAGTTAACATAGGCTTCCTGGAGGATGCAGTTTGAGCCAAGTCTTACTGAAAGCTAAGAGGGAGTTGGCAAGACAAAGGAAGGTGAAAGGGCATTCTTGGTGGATGTGCTACGCTGCAGCAAGAAATGAGTTGCAACAGCCAGCTATTACTATCATTGCTGAAAAATTCATCCTCTCCTGAATGAGCAAAATTAAGTGAGACATACTTCTCCCAGCTAGGAAATGGGAGAGTTGACTGTTTTCAGGAGCATATTAAAAAATAAAATCCCAGAGTTATGTTTATCTCCCTAAAGTCATGTGTCCAAAACAGAGTTTTTTTTTGTTGTTTGTTTAGACAGAGTCTCACTCTACTGTCCAGGCTGGAGTGCAGTGGTGCAATCTCAGCTCCCTGCAACCTCCGCCTCCCAGGTTCAAGAGATTCTCCTGCCTCAGGCTCCCGAGTAGCTGGGATTACAGGTGCATACCATCATGGCCAGCTAATTTTTGTATTTTTGTAGAGATAGGGTTTCAGCATGTTTACCAGGCTGGTCTCGAACTCCTGACCTCAAGTGATATACCTGCCTTGGCCTCCCAAAGTGCTGGGATTACAGGAGTGAGCCACCATGCCTGGTCCTTTTTTTTTCTTTTAAAAAAGTTATAGATATACTCTAACTTCTTGTAACTCTAGAGTCCTAGTTCTCTGCTTAGATAGAAAGGAAACAAAATATACAGGAATAAGAAACTCAGTATCAAATGAATCCAACAAAATTTGATCCAACTGTTAAAAAGTTCCTGAAAGCTGGCCTAAACCCAAAATGACAATGAAGCTGCAGATATGGAAACCAAGTACAAGGTCAACCCCAAGTGGCCAAATCAATGTCACATCAGGCATATATAAGATAAAAAGTTCATTCTCCATAGGGAAAACAGACAAATACACAAATTACATGAGGGGAAGAAATAACCAAGTCTGTAAAATACTTTGATAAACATGTTCAAACATGATGAGCACAAAAGACCATGACCAAACCCTAATGTGATAGAGGCACTGCAGAGCAGCACAGAGGTCCCCTTTAGGGACCTCTGAAGGAAGCTGGAGAAAGCAGACCAGTGCAACAGTGAAAAATATCTTATTCAAAATCCTTGTTCTATCACTCAGTGTATGACCTTGGGTAAAAGTCACTTAACTACTAGATCTATGAGAAGGTAGCATAAATCAGTGGTAAAGAGCTTCAAATCTCTGTCCATCATGTACTAGATACCCATGACCTTAGTAAATTTGCTTATCTTACAGATGAAGAAACTTGGGCTCAGAAAATTTCAGTGATTTTAAAGAATTTTATTTTGAAAGTCAATCAATATTTGTGTGTAGTTGTAACAGAATTCCTGGCTAATCTCCAAGAAATTATAAACATGTTAACAACTGTCAATGCGGTACAACCATTCCTAAACCTTCTCCTTGATTAATTTACATAGAACTGAAGTCAGCCTACTCAATCATTTCATACAACTTAGCTCAGGTTGTATATGTGCATTTGAGGCAGCAACCATACCCATTCACAATGCCCACCGAGCCAACAACTGAGAAATGCTGTCTGATTTTCCTTCCTATACTGAGATCCAGGAAAGAAAAGCACTTATGAAAAAGGAAGTAAACTGTGGCCTACTCTAACAACCCTGGTACCCGGAAGCCTAACGAACTTACAGGTTTTAAGGAAGGCACTGTTAACGCCATAGCATTCCCCATGCAGAAGCACATATGCCTGTTTAGCTGTGGTCAGCAGGTGGCTAACAGTGTTGCCAATCTTATTCTATCTGGTGTCTCTAAACTCAATCCAAGCAAAAACATTTACTCTTTCTTAAGGGAGAAAAGGATAAGTCATCAGCACAGAATACTGACTGTTTTATCAACTATTCCATGATCTTAAAGCTTTTAGGGTAATCAGATCAGGGCAGGAAGAAGAGTCCTTTGCTGCCTTATAAGCAAAGGCAGAGAGCTTTCTGATATAAAGGAGACTCTTTGCCATGTTTTGAGCCAGTCCCCTTTACACTGCCTTTTGATGATAGATTTGAGACTTAGGGCAGCTGTATAATATGATGGGCTCCTCCTTCAAAGATAATCATCAAGTCAAGTGTATGGGGAATGGAGGTGTGGCATAGTTACACAATCAAAACCTACCTTCTCCAAAAAGACACTCACAATATAACTTCTGTCAAAGATAATCTCTGCTCTTCTCTGACATACAAATATACAACTAGCGCATAAGGAAAGTGAACACTAGAACCACTTGAGTGAACACAATGGGTGAATAAATTATTTAAAGAAAATATTTATCACCTCATTATTAAAACTCTTGTACTGGGGCAAACCCTTACATCTTCTACTTCCTCCCTGACTTTCAAACCCATATCACATCCCCAAAAGCAGAAGTTTTAAAAAAATCAACATTCTCTTTAACACTCTATACCCAGTATGTTCTAATACTTTTAAAAGAAGATGGCTTCTGTCTAGGACAGATAACAAGCTGGTCTTGAGTGATAAAAAACTGGCATCCAGGAGTGCAGTAAATATCAGGGGTGTGTGAATCTCCCAGGAACTTAATGCAAAACTAAAGGCAGTGAAAAAGCCTGAAAACTTGTCATCATTAAAAGGGGAATGGTTGAGGAGTAAAAACAAGTATTCCCCAACTGTTAGGGGAGAGGGAAGGGCATATTTCTTTTTACTCCTCAAATTCAGACTATACCAACGTTGGTCCAGTTTCAATCCAGGACACCCTGTCTGTGAGCCATCTTAATGGTGGCTGGTTTCAATTTGTAGCCTACAGAAGAGTCCTTATCACTACTTTACAGCAATTCTCAAGGAGAACATTTCCAAAATTCCAGGGCATAGTTAACAGCCTTTCAAAGTAAGCAGGACAGAGACTGTTTCTGGCTAAAGGCCCAAAGAGCTCTGGAATTCAAAAGGAAAGAAAACTGCTGGGAGGATTCAGCTCTAAAGAAACCCTTAAAAAACTGATGAATGAGGGCTGGGAGCAGTGGCTCATGCCTGTAATCCCAGCACTTTGGGAGGCCAAGGCAGGTGGATCACCTGAGTTCAGGAGTTCAAGACCAGCCTGACCAACACGGTGAAAGCCCATCTCTACTAAAAAATACAAAAATTAGCCGGGCATGGTGATGCACACCTGTAATCCCAGCTACTTGGGAGGCTGAGGCAGGAGAATCACTTGAACCCGGAGGCGGAGGTTGCAGTGAGCCAAGATCGTGCCATTGCACTCCAGCCTAAGCAACAAGAGTGAAACTCTGCCTCAACATAAAACAAAACAAAAGAATGAGAGAAGAGACTAGTAACATTTCCAATTTTTAAAGTCCACATGACCATTTATTCTCCCTAAATGTGTATTGCATATAAACAAGAATTTTTGTCATGGACCTGTTCATCATTGAAACTATGGGATTCCCCTGTTAGGGACCTCAACTTGAAAGCTAACAAAACAAACAAAAAAAAAATCTCTAGCTAAGAAGATGGCAGACAAGTATAAATAGTTCTTCTGTCCTTAAGGAAGTT
Source organism: Homo sapiens (assembly GCF_000001405.40). Taxonomy (NCBI): domain Eukaryota; kingdom Metazoa; phylum Chordata; class Mammalia; order Primates; family Hominidae; genus Homo; species Homo sapiens. Next base: position 41,049,776 of record NC_000020.11, on the reverse strand, counting down.
GGGATTCACAATATTCATTTGTTCAAGTATTTACTGAGTGCCACTTAAGTGTTGAAATACAACTCAGCCCCAAAACTGAGTCCCTGCCCTCATCAAGTTTCATAATAAGCATAATACCCACCTGACCGCGCCATCCCAACAGTAGCAGCTGCTGACTGAGTAACTTTGAAAAGGGAGAGGGAAAGGGTCCCCCTAACTGCCCAAGTTTCACTGGACTTGCCTCCATGAAGTTCCAGAATCAGCCTCTAATGTTACCGTTGGAAAAGACCCTCATAAGAAGTTACAAAGACCAAGTTCAAGACAGGGTCAAACTGAATTAAATGAAAGTTGCCAATTATTTTGCAAAGTGTGGTCTTTCTTTTCAATATTCAAAACTTGGGGAAATACCATCGGAAACTTAGAAGTGCACTGCATTAAAAGACTCAGAGTTGCTCAAAGACCCAATTTTGTTATCACCTCTGCAACACAACTTCAAATTTCTAAAACCTGTCACTACAATTTCCAAAGTGCCCAAGTGTTCAGAAGAAATGCCACAAACTGACTTAAAAACACTTCAAGAATTAGGTTCTTAAACATCAGCAGCTGTGTGAGATTAGTGGTCAGCTATTATCCTTAAAGGCTTTGCCATGGAAAAGACACACAAGAAGGAGGCTATTCGTCTACTTTACGCCTCAAACTGACACACACACAAAAGGGTTAAATGATCAGAGAATGTTTTCTCTTCCAGGCCACTTCCGCATTTAAATTTCTTTTATGGCTTTACAACACCACAATTACCTTAATCTGTCTCTCCACAACCCCTTCCTGTCTTATTTTACAACCTTCTCTCCTTACCTTAATCTGTCTCTCCACAACCACTGTCTTATTTTACAGCCTTCTTTCCCATCCCACTCCTTCCATTATGGTCCTTAAATTCAAGTTCATCTTCTTATCTTCCTCTGGTTCTCATTTCCAGGGACCAATTAATTATATTTAAAAATCAAAAAAATAATTCAGACTTCAGTGATAGGACCGACAAACTGTCTTTCAGAGAAGTATGTTACTTGATCTACAAGAAGGTCTTCTGATCTGGAGATTCTAGGCGCAATTAGAGCCAGAACAGACTGTTCATTGTTTTATTATTATGCCAAAAACTAAGTGACAGATTTAAAAGTCAATTTCACTTTCTAATAGTAAGAAGACACGCTTAGAGCAACTCCTTTAATGCAATGTCCTGGTGGGGTTTTAGATAACTTATTTCTCAGCTTTGGGTCTCAGTTTTCTGATCTATAAAATGACCTTTATTGACCCCTTACGTCTGGTCACATGAATTCTATGAATTTTAAAAATTGTCTTGGCCCATGTGGATTTAGGTAAAAGGAAAATTTTAAATGCTTGAGTGCAGTGGTTCTCAAGTATTCCTGTGTATAAGCCCTGGTACTTGGAATCATCCTCAGATATTTTAACACAAGCTCTCCAGGTAACTATAATCCACTGTCCAGAACCATATTTTGAAGAAACCCTGCATTATTATTTCTTATTCCTGAGTCTTCTGAGCAATATTAATAGCAAATACGAGCCACCTACAAAAATTCATGTGCTGCTGATTTTATTTTCAGTTTCTATTCCAATTGGGTCTCTCTGTTCCTTTAAAAGGCAGGCATGTGCTGAGTCAGCCTCTGGGGAATTTTTTTTTTTTTTTTTTAATTTATAGCCTAGACTATTGAGTCTCTACAATTGAGGAAGAAAGAGGTTGTTCTCACCTGCTACTCTTCCAACCCCTATTTGAAAGGAAGAAGGAAAAGCTACTTAAGGGGTGGCACAGCTACTCTAACTTAGATAATAAGGAGGGGGTTAGTCAAGCTCTTTAAAATAGAAGTTTTCTTCGTTGTCTGGACGCTAATGGGTGGAGTCATGCTTAGACAGAGACAGGTAACTGAGTCCTGCCAGTGGGGCTCAGATGCCTTTGGGAGCTAGAGGCTACATACCAAGAGTCCTGGTGAGCTTCCTGTGATACACACAAGCACATTCAATCAGGTCAGCAAACTTTTTCTGTGAAGGGCCAGGTACTAAATACACCTTGTAGCCCATTCAAGTTCCACTGCAAGTATTCAATTCTGCCACAGTAGCACAAAAACTACCACAGATTACATGTAAATGAATGAGCATGGCCACATTCTAGTGAACTTTATTTATGGACACTGGAATTTGTATTTCAAATGATTTTCCTGTGTCATGAAGTAATACTCTCCTTTCAATTTTTTTCCTCCAACTACATTCTGAGAAATGTGTCATTAGGCGATTTTGTCATGCAAACATCATAGTGTGCTTACACAAACCTAGATGGTATAGCCTACTACCGCCTAGGCTATATGGTATAGCCTGTTGCTCCTAGGCTACAAACCTGTACAGCATGTTACAGTACTGTAGGAAACTGTAACACAGTGTTAAGTATTTGTGTATCTGAACGTATCTGCAACACAGAAAAGAGGCAGTAAAAATACCACCTTCTATCTTATGGGACCATCATTATATAAGTGGTCTATTGTTGACAGAAATCTTGTTATGTGGCACATGCCTAAATTTAAAAATACAAAACCATTCTTAGTTCGTGGACCACACAAAAGCAGGTGTAGTTTGCAGAACACTGCGCTAGTACTAACTAGAAAGTATCCGCAATGTCTCCTGTAGAAAGGTGTCTTACTCAAGCTCAGGGTCTAAATGAAGAATATCCTCCCTGACTTACCTACAACTCCCGTCTAACACACCTCAGCTTTCTGCTAACTTGTTCTCGTCTCTCTTCTCTCCCTGCACACAGCTCATGAATGGCCAATCAACTTGACTTGAAAGTGGTTAAAATCTACCTCACTCTGCAAAACTAAGTGAGTCACATGAGAACTCTGAAGAGAGGCCAATGACTGGCCCACTGCTAATTCTGCTTCTTAAGCAGCAAGCTGGTTAAATTTGTTATTTATTCCCCTTGAAGTGGGAACAACATCATACTTGTTCACAAAATGCTAACCACCTCTGATGAAATTCCTTAGTAAATAAGCAGACTTCAGGAACCCTTATAAAATAAGGTTTCTAGTTAATCCTTAGTTAACAAAAAGATCCTTTTTCTTGAATACTCAAATAGGTTTTACTGATTTCTGGAACAACTGGGTCCAAGCACAAGCTGAACTGCTAAAAAATAAACTATCCAGGGGGCTTTGCTGCAAAGGCAAGCAAGCTTCCCTTAATAGGGAAAGAATTACATTAAAGTGCAGCAGAGCCTGCATTTAGTCTGTTAAGGACACATCATAAGTGAAGAGATGGGCGCCCCCAGTCTGATGGGTAATTCCACCACAGCCCAGAATTCTCAGGAGGCAACTAAGTCACCCCAGGTCCCCCTTTACCTTGTTTTGTATCACAACTAAGAACTCAGGCTGTGGCATGAGGTAGGCCTAGATTAGCCTCCCTGCTCTGTGGCTTAGTTATAACTATATAGCCTTGAGCTAGTTACTTTACTTAAACCGTGAGATTCAATTTCTTCAAAAGTAAACTGGCCCAGTGAACATTACTGGAAATAGTAATGTTAACTACCTCAGGATTGATAAATGAAAGCTTAGAATTCTTAAGACGCTGCCTAGGGCATTAAAAATGTTCAAATATCAGCTATTTATTTCATTCCTATTCATTTTCTCCTTGCATCCCACGAAAACTGATCACAACTTGAAGCTAAACCTGGAGGAATCTGGATCTATTCCCAGTCCTTAAGCAATTTACTCAAGTTGGTATCTAAGACCTTATATGACAGTGGTCCTCATAGTGGTCAAAGCTACAATCGGATTTTGTTCCATCAGACTAATATATGTCTAGCTAACTGTGAGCCAGATTACTTATAAGATGCAGCCTACACTGGTCATGAGCGTGCAAGTGAGAAGATAACCCCAGATGGCATACAGCAGCTGAGTTCTGATCTGCTTTTACTATAAGCAACACCTTGCATGAATTAGCCTCTTGGGTGCTATTTGGTAGTCTACAATCTTTGATTCTCTACCACTTATAGTAGGATATTGACTTATTACTGATAACAATTTAACAAATAGAAATAAATTACCTTCTTGTTATAGGCAACATGCTAGAAACTTACAATTTCAAATGAAGTTGTGGGATAAAACTAACCATTTTAAAGGCTACTAATCCATAAAGGTGTACATAAATATAAGTTCATCTGTTTTGTCAACTACGCAACAGACATAACCTACCTCATAGGGTTGCTGAGATAAAATGAGAACTTACTTCATCCAAAGGACCTGAAATTTTCACCTGTTTAGCTCTAAGGGGTCAAATAAAACGTACAACTGCCTGAACTTCCAACTGCTTTGGTAAACACAACTTTACTTACCAGTTGTAAGTCCTCTTAGGACTTACAATGTCAGTCAGGATAAAACAATGTAGACATACTGAAGGAAGGCTGTTATTCAAACTCATAACATCAAATTCACACGTGTCTTTGGATTTTTAAATTCCAAGAGCCCCAATCACTCATATTCCAAGCAGAATCTAAACCACAATCTCTTGGGTCTTACCTAAATTTTATCTAGAGCTGTCCAATATGGTAGCCACTATTGGCTAGTTTATATTTAAATTAAAATAAAATAAAATAAAATAATTAAGTTCTTTGGTCCCACTTACCACATATTTCAAGGGGGCTCAAAACCTCATATAGGCCAGGTGCAGTGGCTCATGCTTGTAATCCCAGCACTTTGGGAGGCTGAGGCAGGTGAATCACTAGAGGCCAGGAGTTTGACACAAACCTGGTCAACATGGCAAAACCCCGTCTCTACTAAATACAAAAAAACTGGCTGAGCGTGGTGGCCCACGCCTGTAATCCTAGCTATCGGGAGGCTGAGGGTCGAATCACCTGAGCCTGGGAGGCAGAGGCTGCAGTAAGCTGAGATCGCGCCACTGCACTCCAGCCTGAATGACAGAGCAAGACTCTTGTCTCTCTCTCTCTCTCTCACTCACACACACACAGACACACCTCATATGGCTAATAGCTACCATATTGGACAGCACAAATATAGGACATTTCCATCATGACAAAAAGTTCTACTGGATGAAATTATCCAGGAAAATACTCTGCTTCCTAGCACTCTCCACTCTGCCTATTGCAGCCCAGTCAAGGACTTTTCCCTACATGGTACTGCACTATTCTGTGTGGTTCCCAGGCCTGGCTAAGCTGGCTATCTCAAAGCAGCCTGCTTCTGCACAGAACCTCTGGAGAATCAGGCCCTCAATGAACACCTGCCCAGAAAACATTTCAACTGAAGTTATTAGTCTGCCGAAGCATAAGACAAAACTGAGATAGAGCAATTATTTTAAGCTTCGGGAGCAGGGCAAACAAATCCCATTTTTACTAACTACCTTTGCTCTCTTAATAGAAGACAACACTGGAATTTTTTTACTTATCTCTGAAAGTAATTAACTAGTACAAGACCCTTAAGATGGGCAATTGCATTTCTTTTTTTCTTTTTTTTGAGAAGGAGTTTTGCTCTTGTTGCCCTGCTGGAGTGCAATGGCATGATCTTGGCTCACTGCAACCTCCGCCTCCAGGGTTCAAGCGATTCTCCTGCCTCAGCCTCCCGAGTAGCTGGGATTACAGGTGTCTGCCACCACGCCTGGCTAATTTTGTATTTTTAGTAGAGATGGGGTTTCTCCATGTTGGTCAGGCTGGTCTCAAACTCCCGACCTCAGGTGATCCGCCTGCCTCGGCCTCCCAAAGTGCTGGGATTACAGGCGTGAGCCACCACGCCCGGCTGGGCACTTGCATTTCAAATACTGCTCTATAACAAGTCACATTTTCACAAGGACATCCCTGCACTACAAATGCATCTTCTTTCCCAAGAGGCAGAACTTAAAAGGGAAAAAGGACTTGTCTAACCTGAAAATGTATCTTCTCAGGCCAGCTCAATTAGGGCAGGCCCATTCCTGTAGGCTTGTCCTCCTTTGCTTCCATTAAGGAACGCTTAATGCCTGGGAAGAGTGAGAGTGACTACAAACCTCTGGCCTACGTGCGGATCCACAGCTCAGCCTAAACTGCCTTTGTTTCCAATGGTCAGGGGCCTCCAAACACACTAAGACCATACTTTGTCTGGCCATAAAGACTTTAAGTGTGCTGACACATTGTTTCATGTATCCTATTACTAATTCAACCAAGGGACCTTCTTTGTCTAGACAATTCTCATTGACAGGGCTTGAAATGCGCAGGCCATTCTCTGGGCCACTAGCTGTAGAAAGAATAAGACTGAACACACCTCTCCTACTGAAGTGGCATATATTCAGTAGAAATACAAGAAACCTTTCTGGTGTTAATCATATAACTGCTCCTTAAATTTTTTTATACTCCAGAAGATCCTCCCCCGATTATGAATTACTCCAACTTCACAACTGTAAGAAAGCACAAGTAATGAACTCCATACATGGTTCCTTGTGAAAGAACAAGGAATACTGCTTAAGAGGTTGAATTACTACAAAACTGGTATCTTGCTCTATTCTATTGGTTCTGAAACTTCAGTGCACATCTGATCACCTGGTAGACACTCATTAAAACCCAAATGGCTAAGACCCTACTCCCAGAGTTTAAGAGTCAGTAGGTATGGGTGAGGCCCGAGAATCTGCATGTCCAACAAGTTTTCAAACAATGCAGTTCTGCTGATCAGGAAACCACACATTGAGAACCACAGATGACACCTGAACAATATGTGTTTGAAATGCTTGAGTCCACTTACATGAGGGTTTTCTTTCTCCTCTGCTACTCCTGAGACAGCAAGACCAAACTCTCCTCTTCCCCCTCAGCCTACTCAACAAGACAATGAGGATGAAGGCTTTTATGATGATCCATTTTCACTTAATAAATGGTAAATATATTTTCTCTTCCTTACAATTTTCTTAATATTTCCTTTTCTCTAGCTTACTTTATTGTGAGATCATAGTATATAATACATATAACATACAAAATGTGTGTTAATTGACTGTTTCTGTTATCAGTAAGGCTTCTGGTCAACAGTAGGCTATTAGTTAAGTTTTCGAGGAGTCAAAAGTTATAACTCGAATTTTTGACTGCATAGGAGTCAGCATCCCTAACCCTCGTGTTGTTCAAGCGTCAACTATACTGCTTTATTCAAATGCTTCCATTTCAATCAGTACCATCAGGAGCTGAAGTCCCCAACTAATTTAATCTAAAGGCAGTGAGCTCCACAGACTGGATTTTCAGTATTCCACTAAATTATTCCACTTACTTTCTAAAGTCCTGATTTAACCATCCTAGTATTAGTATGAAAACAAACCCTGCTCATTGTGCTCTGCTTGTCACCCAATCCGAAAAAGTAACATCAGAATTAAATGGCTTGTTAAACACTGAAGTAGGAGAAAGGATTAGGATTCTGACACACAGTAAAACAGCTGCAAAGGCAGTTAACTATATCTGCTATTTGGTAAATGCTCACTGAAAGGTAGAAACTATAACTTAGAGTGAAGTATCAAGCTTTTATAAACATATATTAAAAAATACTGTTCTGGTCCTTTAAAAATATCCTGTAATCTTGGCTGGGCACGGTGGCTCACTACTGTAATCTAAGCACTTTGGGAGGCTGAGGCAGCCGGATCACTTGAGGCCAGAAGTTTGGGACCATCGTGGCCAACATGGCAAAACTCCGTCTCCACTAAAAATACAAAAATTAGCCAGGTGTGGTGGTGGTGTGCCTGTAATCCCAGGTACTCAGGAGGATGAGGCAGGAGAATCGCTTGAACCCAGGAGGTGGGGGTTGCAGCAAGCCCAGATCGTGTCACTGCACCCCAGCCTGGGCGACAAAGGGAGACTCTGTCTCCAAATAATAATAATAATAATCATCATCATCATCATCATCACCCTGTAAGCTTTATACCTTAACCTGTGGAGTATCGTAATTGAATGAAGCAAAATATAGATCTTTAGCCAAATAAGATAGTAAAGTTCAGATAGATCAACTTCTCCAAAGGAGGTTATGGGTCACCTGCATTAGTCAGAATCATTTGGGATTGTTGAAGATACATTAAAAATGCAGATTTTCAGTACCTTCCACTATAGAATCAACTTCAAGGTGTACGAGTAGGAATATGTATTTTCACCAATCATCCCCAGGTGACTTTTAGGCATATCAGCTTGAGAAAAACAAGGAAAACTTACTGTTAAGCTCTCAAAAGTCTCCCACTTGATCTTCAACCAGCTGGGGGGAGAAAGGAGTTTGCACTTCACAACTGAAACATTTGGTAAAAGCATCTGTATTGACCATACAGGATGAAACAGTGCTCTTAATTTTTTTTTTTTTTTTTTTTTTGAGACAGGGTCTCGTTCTGGGGCACAGTAGGGCAAACATGGCTCCCTGCAGCCTCAACCTCCTAGGCTCAACTGATCCTCCTTCCTCAGCCTCCCAAGTAGCTGGGACTGTAGGTGCACACCACCATGCTTGGCTAATTTTTGTTATTTTTTTGTAGAGACGGGGTCCCGACATGTTGCCCAGGCTGCTTTAGAACTCCTGGGCTAAAGCAATTCACCCACTTTGGCCTCCCAAAGTGCTGGCCACTTCTTAATAAGGAAAACACATAAATACAGACTACTACAGAATGAAATATTAAAAGAGGATAACAAAAGCTCAATGCAAGTCAGAGAAAAGTGGTTACACTTCTGGCTTGGGGTTACGTGGTAATGCAGGCAGACTTCCCTAGAAAGGAAATGGAGTATCTGTGACTATGCCATCAATACTCAAACAGGCTCTGAGATGTTTAGAACTCTCAAGGAGTTCACAATACCTAGTGCCTTCCTAAAAATATGTAGTAAAATGGAGAAGTATTGAGTATACCTAGCTAAACCTTATGAAATTCTAAAGACTAAGAGGCATTCATTCATTCCAGGGTATAAGAAATACTACTTAAACAGAACCTAACATGGTCTTTTTTTTTTTTTTTTTTTTTGAGACGATGCCTCGCTGTCTCCCAGGCTGAAGTGCAGTGGTGCCATCTCGGCTCATTGCAACCTCTGCCTCCCAGGTTCAAGTGATTCTCCTGCTTCAGCCTCCTGAGTATCTAGGACTACAGGCATGCGCCACCAGGCCCAGCTAATCTTTTGTATTTTTAGTAGAGATGAGGTTTTTTTTAAAAATCAAATTTCCAATAAATGCACTTCTTAGGGACTTCTCAGTGTGGGGTGCCTGGCCCTGGAGCACTTGTGGTTTGGAAATCAAGTGTAACAAGCCAGTAGTTATAAAGACTAACAAATTTGTGTTCCTTCTCCTCCCTTTCCTCTCCTGGTTAAGTGGAAGCATTAAAAATTAAGAAATAGATCCTGAGCCACAATCAATTCCTAAGAAGCTACTGTTTCTTCATTTCTGGTATTAAATAGTAAGAACTACTTACATTGCATCCATTCCTGCAAAAATGCACTGACTGTATGATTAAGGCACAGTAAGTCTAACATTTTGTCCCGATCACTTTTCTAGTATTCAAACCACTGTAAGTAATACCACTATGTACTCTGCATCTTTCTCTGAAGAGCTTTAACAGCTTTTATGTATTACCCATATCAAGATACTTCATGGATTAGGAAGGGGCAATAATATTTCAATAGTTTCATAAAATTAGTTTCCCAGGACTTTAAGTAGAGTTTATTCTCTAAGATTTTAGTTCTTCAAATATGTGAAGATGGTGATTTTAAATACTTTATTTCAATCAATTCAGTTCAAGGATTTAAATTATTTCAAATACTTGAATTAGCTATTGTCACATGATTTCTCACACAGAATGTGACCATCTCTAGCCATTCCGACAACCTACCTGCTCAGGAAATGTGAAAACTATTTTTCTTTTTTTTTTGAGATGGAGTCTCGCTCTGACGCCCAGGCTGGAGTGCAGTGGCGCAATCTCGGCTCACTGCAAGCTCCGCCTCCTGGGTTCATGCCATTCTCCTGCCTCAGCCTCCCAAGTAGCTGGACTACAGGCGCCCGCCACCACGCCCGGCTAGTTTTTTGTATTTTTAGTAGAGACGGGGTTTCGCCGTGTTAGCCAGGATGGTCTCGATCTCCTGACCTCGTGATCCGCCCGCCTCGGCCTCCTAAAATGGTGGAATTACAGGCATGAGCCATTACCAAGCCCAGCTGAAAACTATTTTTCTAAAATTCATGCAACATGGATGTCTGATACAAAAAGATAACAGGAAATAAATACACAGAACTTAAATCTTTTTGCCTATTTCAGGCAAAAAAGTTTAATGGGTATATAGGTATACAAAAAAAAACCATTTTTTGTAACATTTTAAGAAATAAGAGTTTGGAAATCTTTGGAAATCCAAGGTCCTAGGTCTCCAATTTCTTTAAGGGGGGAAAAACTCACGATTAGGACTAAATGGAGACGTCACTCTCTTGCACTGATAGTGAAATATTAACTGCCAGAAAGTACCTCCAGTCCCCATTCATGTTGTATGACAGCAGCCTTTGTACTGAGGCCTAATGAAAAATCTCAACAGAGGAAGTGACTGTATATACCTACAACGTACTAATTTCAAAGTTCATCCTGATAGGCATGTGGGTTTGTCTTGTTCATCTGTGTCTAGTCACAATATTCACTTTCTGAATGTTTGTATGAATGAATATGGCAACTTAAACTTTTCCATTTACAATTAAACGTGAAAATTTTAGCTTCCTAAGTAGATGCCAAATATTGCACCATCCCAAGTGTGAAAGGAGAAAGTTAATCACTGCCAAAGATGATGATGATTTTTTTTTTTTTTTGAGACAGGGTCTCACTCTGTTGCCCAAAACGGGGTAGGTACAGTGGCATGCTCACGGCTCACTGCAACCTCCACCTCCCGGGGCTTAAGCAATCCTTCCACCTCAGCCTTCTAAGTAGCTGGGACTACAGGCATGCACCAACACACCTGGCTAATTTTTGTATTTTTTTTGTTGAGACAGGTTTTTCCCATGTTGCCCAGGCTGATCTTGAACTCCTGGGCTCAAGTGATCTGCCCATCTCGGCCTCCCAAAGTGCTGGGATTATAGGCATGAGCCTCCAGGCCTGCCCCAAAGATTTTTAATCCACAATTTAAGGTATGAGAAACAAACAAAGTGGTGTGTATGCAGCAAGCCTTGTCACTGGACAACTGAAGTTGCCGCAAAGTCAAAGCAAGTCAGTACCCTCCTGAGCCAGCCTTTCTATGATTTACAGCAATAGTATCATACTCAATGCTCCCTAGTGACCCCTCCAGCTTGGTTAAAATTTCACAATAGATATATGTGCAAATTTAAAGAAAGTAAAGATGTTCCCTTTGTACAAAAGCCTAATAAAGCAATTTCTGAAAAAGGTGTTGTTGTTGTTGTTTTTTAGCATTGGCAAGGAACTAAAAATTCTGTTCTAAGCTTCACCTTTCATAAAGTAATCCTCTCATGCTCTTTAATCCTCAATGTTGTAAGGTAAGTATTAAACCTACTTTATAGGTGAAGAACTAAGGCTCTGATATTAACTTGTTCAAAGACCTAGCCATTGAGCAGAAGCTCAAGAACTCGAATTTAAATTCCCTTTAAGTCTCTATTATGGGGTGGTGGGGATGTAGAGGGGGTTGGAGGCCGGGAGACTATTCGCATTCTGTATCAGAGGAAAACGAAAGAAAAAGAGACCAAAGCTTTGAAGACTTTTAAATCCAACCCTATTGTGGGCACATTCCTTGTATACTGAGGGCAATGGAGCTACAGAGCATTAACAAATACTCATCTTCCCAGATTTTTTTCCCCATATTTTATGAGCTATATTTTTCCTGATATGTTTATCTTTGAAGACTCTTTAAAATTAGGCCCTATTCCATAATTTCTATACAACAAAATTATGTCCTCCTGCCTACTTTTAATTGAATTTAAGTCTGCGCCTGTTGTGATGCTTCTGTGATAATCCTTTTGCTGAATGGCGTAAGATCTCTACTAAGATCCATTTGGCTTAAACCTAATGAACACTAGTGAACACATCCTTAAATGACTTTTGTTTATTTCCTTTAAGTAACACTTCCAAAAAAACAAATTCAAGGCAATTCAATATTCAGCATTAGCTAGACTTATGAGCCATTACTGAAATTTCTACTGACTTTATCAAATTTTTTCATGGAATCTCCCAAATGCCTATACTCACGCATAACTGTTAACACGGCATTTGGTACTAAATTCTCACACATAAGCTTTATTATATTATTTAAGGTATTCTTATTCCCAAGAATTACTATTTCAAAGAAAACCAAGTTGGTCACTTTAAGCAACTATTTGAATAAATGAAAAACTGAAGTAATTCTCAGGTGCTTTGAGAGTTCTCTGTTTAATTTAAAAACGTTTTGGGGGAGAAGTAAAATAGTGGCCTTTGAAAAAATATGCTGACACAAGACATATTGAATTTTGTGGTTTTAAAAAATTAACAAATAATGAACTTGGCATTTTATTAAATGCATCGAAAAGGGTCAAGTTATTTTTAATAGAAAATCCATAATTCTATTAAATGGTTGAGAAATTAGTCACATCAATAGACTTCTTTCATTTCTGAGCCCATCTTCTGTACTGCTACAAGTTCCTTTGGCAATGACCACTTTGCTGTAAACATTCTTAGAAAAGTAGGAATTAGGCTTGGCGCGGTGGCTCATGCATGTAATCCCAGCACTTTGGGAGGCCGAGGCTGGTGGATCACGAGGTCAGGAGATCGAGACCATCCTGGCTAACACGGTGAAACCCTGTATCTACTAAAAATACAAAAAATTAGCCAGGCGTGGTGGCGGGCGCCTGTAGTCCCAGCAACTTAGGAGGCTAAGGCAGGAGAATGGCGTGAACCTGGGAGGCGGAGCTTGCAGTGAGCCGAGATTGCGCCACTGCACTCCAGCCTGGGTAACAGAGTGAGACTCCATCTCAAAAAAAAAAAAAAAAGAAAAGTAGGAACTAGATATACAATTGGATCCTTCTCAGCCCAAACCTAGATATGAAGACACCTTTTACTTTACAGTGACCGCTTTGTAACTGGAAGACATCAGTGTAGGCTCTGCTGATTCAATTAGGTAAAGACTCAACAACACTAGTTACATGTTACAATTCACTGTGTAAATGTCAAGAAGATTTAAAACTTTAACAGGGAATACCAATGAAAGACAGACTCCCCAACATCAATCACTATTTCAAACCTAACATTCAAAATAAAGATCCAGTTGAGAATAGAGGCTGTCTCATCAAAGTTTACATTTTACAATGAGGACAGAGAGGCACCTTCATATACTTATCTAATTCTCAACAGTTTGTGAAACATAAATATTATCCTTGCTTATGGATAAGAAAACAAGGTTCAGTGGTCAGATCATGTTTCATAGGAAGAACAGGGACTTATCTCGATTTTTCGGAATCCTACACCAATTTTCTATTTTACCACAGCTGTCTCCTCACACCCCCACTCTTCCCCTAGACCTAACATTCCACATACAAAGGGTCCAAGCTATCTCTAACAGCAGATAATCAAGGGCAGGTTCTGACATCTGTACTAGAAGCTTACCAATTACAGCCTGAGTGGGGTTTCCAGAATCTGGACCAAGGCAGCATGTTATCAAAAAGGGGACATGAAAAGGCATAAAGGGTAAAAAGAAAAAAACGTTTCCTTTCCTGGTCTCTGGTTCTCCCCATAAGCCTATGCAATCTATATTATCTTTATTCAATTCAGATTTAATGCACATAAAAATGTGGTGCCTAATAAGTTTTCAAAATTAGTTCCCTTCATCCCACTTCTGCTGCTTGGCAAGAGCTCACATAGTCAACTACAAGGAAACAAAGGGGCTACCTTACTGGAGTCAGGTTAAGTAAAAGGTCTTAGCCAATGAGATCCACAAATGACAATGATCCTGAAGCCTCCTAGATTAGTCTCCTGCACAATCAGTAATATACCTACAAAGCTTTATAAATCTGGGCATTCATACATATATGATAGCAAGATTAACATTTGGACTTCTACTAAGGGGAAAAAGGGTGTATTATTCTGGTGGAGGACTAACCTTCAACAAAGAACTTTTTTTCTATAAACTCCAATAGCCAAGAAAAGTCCTAGGCATCTATCTTTGCTAGCGTGTGCTAAGAAAAACAATATAAAGAATAATGGGACCACAAGCTGGCTGGGTCGGTTTCGTTCTTAAAATATAGGAAAACGTCAGAATACCCAGGGATCTGTTAAATTCTTTTCCCAACATCATCATTTACAACAACAAATACAGGAGATCTGAAGTCCCTAAAAATACTGATTGCTTTAACATCTTTTGTTGGAGCTTACCTAGGTGTTTCTTAGGAATGCTAATGAACTGTGTTCTTTAGGCTCCTTGAATCCACAGAAACAAAAATGTTAATTTCAAAGGCTCAGAGGGGAATTAATTGCCTGGTAGAGATGCCTCCCCACCCCAAATCTGATGGGAAGGGTAGAAGGGAGATGGTAAATTAAAACATTTATTACACATTTCAGAAAAATTTAGCAGACAGGTAAGTGAGTGAAACTAGAAGCTTAAGACAACAAATGAAAAATGAATACCTACCAAAAAGAAATTAAGGGTCAGGCACAGTGGCTCATGCCCAGCACTTTGAGAGGCTGAGGTGGGCAGGCTGCTTGAGCCCAGGGGTTCAAGACCAGCCTGGGCAACATGGCGAGAAACCTCGTCTCTACAAAAAATGCAAAAATTAGCCCGGCGTGGTGACATGCACCTGTAGTTCCAGCTACTTGGGAGGGTGAGGTAGGAGGATCGCTTGAGCCCAGGAGGCAGAGGTTGCAGTGAGCTGCAATCACACTACTGCGCTCCAGCCCGGGCAACAAACAGAAACCCTGTCTGCCCCCCACCCCGCCCAAAAAAAAAGTAAAGGAAAGAAGTTAAAATTAAAAGTTGCCTACCTTCCTTGGAATTTCTTTCTTACTAAACGTTAAGAGACATAAATGACACACATAAAGACAGTTAATACAAACTTCGATACAGATAGCCAAAGTTGATATTACGATCTATATACTCCAGAGATATGCATGAGATACCAGTAACATCACTTCTCTCCCAGTGTGAAAAATATCTAGGATCTTTCCTATACACACAGAAAATGTTCAACAATATCTATTTACTATTAAATCATTTCAGCAAACTATCAGCCATTTCTCATAACGCCACCAAAATACCATCAATATCTAACAGACATTCCTCTACAAGCTTCCCCGCAACCCCCAATCAAACTTTGTCCACCCTGCCCTCATTTACATCCCTCTCCACCCTTCCCAGGCCCTATGCTATCAACACAGCACATACTGTCCACATCTAGATAGGCAGGTGGCAGGGAGGGTGGGGGTTGGCAAAATGCTAATTATTCCAACCCTGGCCTCTATTTTAGATTTTCTACTGCAGCTATTGGCCTGGAGCCATGGGGATGGAAAGCTGCTGCTCAAACTTGAGATGTATGAGGCATGGAAATAGGGAGAAAAGACAGTTCCAAATATTACTACTCGAAGTTTAAACACAATCTGAAAGCTTCCTTTAAACACAATACCCATTCGCCTCTTAAGGACTAGTTTGGAAGTCTCTAAACTTTTTACCTTAAGAAATCCATGTGTCAACTGTTTGCCTAAATGCCCTTATTATCCAAAGTTAATGGTTTCAAAATAATTAAGGGATAGTCAGATAATCTAAACCATACAACACAGAAAATTCACTCAACTGACTCTCACCTCCACATCCAATATATTTTACTATTCTTTCAATAGGGTTTTTTTTTTTAAACCTCCAGGTCCAATGTCAAAATACTCATTTCAAACATTTCCACAGCTTCATTCAAACTAATTACATTTGAATTCATTTTCCCAAGCAAACACAGTTTACTGGAGTTCGACACAGTTTCACATGGGAAAGATGCAATCCCTCACAAAACACACTTCTGAGGAAACGACTTTGGATTTGAAGAATATCAGTTTTACTTTGCACTAAAAAGATGGCAAAAGGCAAAAGTTGATAATGATGTGTCATATAAATATGCATTCATGTCCAACTAATATGAAATAACATGGTTTTAGTATAATCTGAAACTTCTAAAATGATATGTATTCAGAAAGCACAACAGAATCATTTTCCATACCATTAGCAGCAGGGACAACTGTTACTATATAATTAATATACAACAAAGCTGTATATTAGAAGGCAAACATTTTTTTGCACCTCCCCACCCCACACATGCACTGAAAACAAGCAAAACAAAAAAACCTCACAGCCCAATTTTGGAATATAAACTTTAAGACATGTTATTTAATAATCTGAACAAACTAATGAATGTCTTTCCAACTCTCTCAATTCCCCATCTTTATGCTGACAGCAAGGGGAAAAAGTCAGACTCAATTCCTTTTTTTTTTTTTTTTTTTTGCTGCTATTGGTTAAAATGAGATTTGGGGACTGACCTTGGTTTCCTATTTTCCATTTTACTCTATCTACTGAACCAAAGAAAAGCAGGAGTTGGTGACCGTTACTGCTAGCTATATTATTTAGTTTGCACCTTTCAAGCCACAACGTATTTCTGATTCTTTTAGTGATGCCTGGATTTTCTTGTTTTTACTAGAAACATCCAATCCGAGCCTAAAATTTGTTTGTGAGATCTGATATGCTGGTAAACTAAAAAAACACATATTGACAAGCAACTTTCTTTTATGTCAAAGCATAGTATAAAAATCCTAGCGGCTCACTAATTCTAAAAAGGTGCCTCAAGGAGTCCAGTTGCAATGTAAGGGAAGAAAACCACCCTGGAGCATAATGCTTAAGTATTTCCTGATTGAGTCTGAGGATGCTGCAGATTTCATTTGGCGGTACCATCACTTTTCAGTTTTAAAAATGTAGTGGCAATTTTCAGATAGCCACATCATCAGCTATCTGAAATTCCCCCACCGCAATCAGCTATGCTACCGCCCATCCCAACCCATACCCAACAGACAGAAGTACAACTATCTATTAGCATCAGAAACAATTCATATTTAATTACCTTCATCCAATTTGATTCCATTAAGCCAACCAGAATCAGCACAAGATGATGTCAAACCATGATCCTATATATCACTTCTTAGACTAAAGACTGATGGAGCCAAGTATTGTGCTTTGCTAAGGGGGTCAAATGGGGGAGAACTCCCTATCTCCATAGCAGACAGGCAAAAACTTCAAGACCTCTGAAACAGCAGAAGAATCGCTAACACTTTAACCTGGTATTACCATTATCAATTCTACAGATAGCTACGCAGCCTGTACAGTACTGTAATAATGACTCAGCCCCACTACAGTTAGTTCTACCAATACTTAGGAAGTCTTTTCACTTAGACTTAGATATGGTTTCTGCTCCAAATTCCTAACTCACTGTCAACATTTTAAATATAAATAACAGAGTCTCCCAGCAGTTGAGTATGGGTCAGAATGTTCTAAATTACATGCAAAGAGCTACAATTTTAAATATTGCGAAGAATGAGCTCCAAAGTGGGGGGACGGGGGGGAATCTTTTATATCTTAGGGGATGAGGGCAGGCAAAATGAGAGACGTTTGATTTTAATATATGAACTTGTACAGTTAATCTGTAAGATGGGTTAGGCCCTCTTAAAATCACGCTTAAACAATCTCTTAATACAAAGTTCAATAATGACATGTCTGGGCATAATTAAACATTGATTTCTACTTTTTTTAAAGTTTTTTTCATAGTTACATAAATCAATCACTGGTTAACAATGTATTACTTGAGATAGCAAGCATAGTTACCAACACCACATCTTCCAGACAATATTCACAAAGAATAATTACACCAATGTCAGAACTTTATGGTGGCAGATTCTCTTCAAAAAGCATGTTTAGATAAAAAGCAAATGACAAATTATCAAATCCTTCCTTCTCTCCTTTTTCAGCTCTGTAAGAAAATAGAGATTTGTGGCTTTTTATTTTTTCATGCTAGTATCATATAGTATCACTCTAGCATAGTGGCTCAGCTCATGGGATTTAGAGTGGCCAACTCACAGCCCTTGGGCAAGCTAGTAAATACACTGAAGCCTCAGTTTCCTCATCTACAAAACAGAAATAACAGGACCTAACTCACAAGGGTCCTTCCAAGGATTACATTTAATTAGATGATCCATGGAAAGAGCTGAGATTCATGCCTGGCAGTAAGTATTCAATAAATATTAGCTATTATTGCTATTAAATGTGAGCCAACACATTCTAAAAGTCAACATACGCAGATTACTTCAGCCTCTATAAAAATGTCAGTAAAGATCAATAACCTAGCCAGCTCACAATCATTCACGTGACTTAGGTGAGAACCATGTAAGTTAACTTTCTCACAAGAAAGGGCTAAACTTTGTTTCATTACTTACATTACCTACTCAGCCCAGCCTGACAGCCAAAAGAACACATTCCATATTAAAGATCCCACCTTCCTCTAGCAAGGTCAAAAGGACTTCTTACATCCTCACCTGCACATCCTTTCTTTGCTCCTGTATCCCAAAGAAACATGTCTATACTGTGGCTTTCTAAACTGCAGGCCTCACCTCCTCCCTCTTTTAAAATCGTGATAGGTTGGTTAAACGTACTTAAGAAACACTCCAACCCCTGACAATTCTCTGCGCCCAGTCTTCCACAACCCCCAGCTCAGAAGTCACCTCCTCTGAGAAATTTCCCCACCCTCAGACAAAATTAACTCCCCTATACTTCAAAGCATTTTGGGTACACATATGCCCCAGTAGTTACCTTATAATTAACTAATTATGTCTCCCCCAATAGACTGAATTGAGAGCAAGGGAGTGTTATGGTTACAGGATCAGCTCTAGCACCAAGCACAGTGGTTGGCACATATCTGGTGCTCAAGAAATGCCATACTTTAAACCAGATTCTCTCCTGGCTGAGTACCATCTCCTGCTGGATGCCCCACTTCAAACTCTGAACATAAGGTTGCTCTCAGTAGAGCAGGCTAACATGATGGACTGCTGATTACAACATTAGAAAACCTACTCATCAACTTCTCCCATTGGAGAGGTTCCCGGAACCCAAACTCAATTGAGCAGGATTATGTACCATCAAAATCAGTGGGAATTCCCAGCACACTACAGAAGGTAACTTCTCCTTCAACAGGGTTGTTCGAAAGCCTGCAAGGATGAGCTTTTTATTGGAGGACTCTTCCCTGGGTAACTGAAGTGGAAATACAGTAAGAATAAATGCCTTGATTTGGCTGAAAAGGGTTCAAAAACATAAAGAATTGGGAAAAAAAAAAAAAGCCAGTTCTTGATTCCTGAAAAACAGTGGCTCGTGAAAAAGAATGAACAGGAAGCAGGGGTGGGTACTGGACACTCTTTGCTTCAATAAATAAAATCTTTTTTTCCTCCTTACAACCCAAACGAAAAGGCCAACACACCAGGTCCACAAGAGATGCTCAACAATCTTTCCTTCCAACAAGTACACTAAACTGCGTTTCCAGAAAAACACTGCATTGGGAACCTCGACCACAATGAAAAGTTCCAGTGACTAACATAATTTTTTAAAAATCCAACATTTACATTGGGTGACCCACAGAGAACTTGCAAACTTTCTTTAGGGAGGTACTGCTACCTTTGCAAAGAACGTAACTTGGGAAAAACAACCTGGAAATATAAAGAACTCCACAAAGCGTGGCTTTAGTTTTAGAGCCATAATTCCTATCATAAACAGCCTATCAAAAAAAAAATTAACAGTTGCTTAAGGAAATCTTTCATTCTGGAAGCAGAAAAGGAAACAAACATGAAGCATAAAGGGAATAACCCCCAAAATAAAGTTTAAAAAATAATAATTCAGTCCCCCAGCCTTCCCTCTCTGGTGAAGTATGTGATTTATACGGCTTTGCTCTGCAGAAAGCTCATTCTGGGCAGCTCAAGGAAAGAGCCGAGGGAGGGAGAGAAAGAGACACAGGCACAGAAAGGAGAGGAGAGAGAAAAAGAAAATGGCGCAGAGACTAAGTCCCGACCGTCGACAAGGCGACTTTCCCGGGAGGAATCCCGGCCCGGAAAGACCGCCCGAGGCCCGGTGGCGGACGACACGGGGTCTCCGTTGTCCCCTCTTGGGAGGGCCGGGATCTGGAGGAGCTGGGGTCCCCGGAAAGGGGGTCAAGAGGCGGCCCGATGGGAACAATGGGGCCGGTGAGCGAGGAGCCGGGACTTAGTCTCTGGGACGCCATGTCTGTCCTCTGCCCGGCACCGGCAGGGCGCGGGGGAGGCGGCCGGCGGCTGGGGGGCCCCGGAGTCGGCGCAGGGGGCACACTCACCATTCAATCGGAAATCCGCTTCGATCTGGAAAAAGAAAAGGAGAGAATATCAAACAACAGCCACTTTAACCCCTCCGGCGGCGAGCGCGCGCGGCCGGGGTCTGGCTCACCCTGCGCCCCCGGGGAGGACGGGGACCCGGGGGTGGCCACAGAGGGCAGCCATCCCTGCCTCGAACTGTAACTTCGCGGCCCTCGCTCGCGGCCTAGCGAGCCGATCTACTCCGGCAGGCGGCCCCTCACCGGGGGCTCCGGCCTGTCAAAGCTGCCGGGCCGGGGCTGGGGTCGGGGCCTGCGCCGGGGGTCGCGGGACGGCCAGGCCGGGGTCCGGGGCCGCCAGGGTCAGGCCGGGCCGTACCTGGGAATCGTTGTGGAGGTGGTCCCCACTCATGTCGGCCCGGAGGGACGAGCGCGGCGGCAGGCGAGGCGGCGTGGGGGAGACGCAGACGGCGAACCGGCCTGTGCGGGCGGACGGGGACTCCGGAGGCTCGAGGAGGCGCAGGTAAGCGGCGGTGACTGTGGGCCCGAGACTCCAGAAACGGCTGAGGCTGCTACCACGGCGGCGACGCTGCCTGACTGCCGGGCGGGCGGCGAGAACAGACCCCAGCAGTTGTGTAACAGCCTAAGTTCGCATTTGGGCTCACTGCGCCTGCGCGGCCGCTTTTAAACAACACGTCGGCGACGTCAGCGCTCGCGGAAAGAGGCAGAGGGTTGCGGCCCGCCCCCTCGCTGTTCGCCAGACGGACCTGTCTTTGCATCGCAAGCCCCGCCTCCGGACCGTGCGCGCTCCGCTGTGATTTGCATAAGGAGCCGACTCCTCCCACGGCGTCCCACCCCAAGCAGCCTCCCCTTCCTCTCCAGACGCTTTTTCTCGGAACCCCAGCCCCTCTGCTAGGCAGTGCGCAGGCGCCACCCGGGCACCGCCTCCGGACCAGGGCTGGCCGCGCAGCCACGTGGTGGGCCTTTAAAGGCCGCGGCGGGACCCAGCAATCTTGGGCAGAGCTGGTATCCGGCGTCCGCATCTCCTTGGAGCGGCGAGTACCTTGGCAGCTGGGACCCCAGAGGTCTCCCCAGCGCCTCCTTTCTTGCTAAGCCGACCCTGAGGCCGCCTGGTGGGAGGAGTCCCCTCCCCAGCCTTTGTCCAGGCCCTCCAACTTCTGGATTATTTCACGCCCACTTTTTAAAAATTATTTTAATTTTTCAACCAACCAAGGGTCCGGTTTAACCCCAGTTTTCCGCCGAGTACATGTAGCCCTGGGTCACCAAGGGTCTGATTTCTTTGGTTCATTCTACAAATACTTATTGAGCATCCGCTATGAGCCCAGGAATTGTGCTGAGGGAAGGGGGAATGCAAGAGACCAAAGGGAACTGAACCTGTCTCTATCCGCCCCTGTATCCCTGGCATGCTGGGAGGACGGGGCAAATGGGGAATAGAACTACCGTTTATAGAGCATCTATTCTGTGCCCAGCTCTGAATTCTCACAATAGCTCTGTGAGGTCGCCTGTATTACAAAAGTCAAACTGTCCTAAAGACAAGGGACCAACAGCCAGCTACCTTGCATCTATAGTTGGATACCTCTCAAGCTTCTCTGGGAATGAACTGAACTCCACTCAGCTAGAAAAAGCCCCATCCTGACACCTTCCTTTCCCTCATTTCCCACTAGTCCCGCTGATTGCATCTCTTTGCTTCATCTACTTCTCTCTGCTGCCCATAAGCCTTTGAAGTCTGCGTTCTCCTGCTTGGATTAATACAATGTGCTGGCTGGGGGTGGTGTCTCACACTTGTAATCTTAGCACTTTGGGAGGCCGAGGCTGGCAGATCACTTGAACCCAGGAGTTCAAGACCAGCCTGGGCAACATGGCAGAACCCTGACTCTACAAAAAAATACAAAAACTGGCGGGGTGTGGTGGCATGTGCCTGTAGTCCCGGCTACTCGGGAGGCTGAGGTGGGAGGATCACCTGAGCCCGAGGAGGAGGTCGAGGCTGCACTGCACTCCAGCCTGGGCAACAGAGTGAGACCTGGTTTAAAAAAAACAAAAAACAAACCAACAAAAAACACCGCACTCCAAAACACTACACTTCTAACAGGGATTGCTGCTTCCATTCTTGGCCCTCTCGTAAACTGCATTCCAACAATTGCCAAAGTGATCTTCTCAATATGCTAATCTAACCATTACTCCTTTGTGGATATTGCCACATCTATTACCACTTTCACTATTATTATTTCATATTTTAATTGATCTCCTTTTTATTTACCTTCATCCTAAGTGTTATCTGTGAAATAATATCTATGAAATCATTTGGAAGTAAATATGAAAACTGTTCATCCAGTGGACCATCAGTATCTTTATCACATCTAATGTTTACCATCACATGTTTACCATTAGATGTGTTTACCACATCTTGTGAATGCTTCAAGATCAACCTAAATATCACTTTTTCAAAGTGACTCTCCGGCGCACTACTGACCCTGCTTCCACTGGCTGACCAAGGGTGCCTTATAGGCCAGGCGCGGTGGCTAACGCCTGTAATCACAGCACTTTGGGAGGTCAATGTGGATCAATCACTTGAGGTCAGGAGTTCAACAACAGCCTGGCCAACATGGTGAAACCCTGTCTCTACTAAAAATACAAAAATTAGCAGAGTGTGGTGGTTCACACCTGTAATCCCAGCTACTCGGGAGGCTGAGGCAGGAGAATCGCTTGAACCTGGGAGGCAGAGGTTGCAGTGAGCCGAGACCGCACCACTGTACCCCAGCCTGGGCAACAGAGCGAGTGAGTCTCAAAAAATAAATAAACAAATAAAAATAAAAGGTGCCTTATAGTATCTATCTCCTTTGTAACACTTATGACACTTGTTATTAAGTTACAAATGTAGTAATTGGTTTCCTGTCTATTTCCCCTATAGCAAGCAAGGTCTGTGAGAGGGGGGAATCTTGTCCATCTTGCCTACCACTGAATTCCCAGCACCCAGCAACAGGCCCTCCTACAGAAGAGGTGCTCAAGAAATGGGCAAATCAAAGCAGGTTACCCTGCTTTGGTTAGGAGCACACATTTGGAAGTCAAATCAACTTAGGTTTGAATTCTGCTCTGCTGTTTGTTACCTGTGTGATATCAGGCAAGTTGTTTAACTTCTCTGAGTCCCTGTTTCCTCATCCACTCCATGGTGATCATTGTGGGTATGTAATGACTATCAAAAAATAATGGTTTGAGGGCAGGCACCTAGTAAGTGCTGAGTCTTGGATTCATACTCAGGTCGGCCTGACTCCAAAGCTATACTCTTTCTCTGAAGCAAGCTGCCAGAGCCAGTTTTGCCTTGCTGTTGGTGTCTCTTCTCATACTCTTCCCATCTCAGGATCAATCCCTGGCCAGAAGATGAGGCATCTGCTTGCTGCAGTGAGTCCAAGATAATTTGAGGACGGCCTTCAGGAATAACAATGCATCCACACTACTCCACTCTCCCAACCCCCCGTTTCCCAGGGAGAATCTGCATTTGCTTTTTTTTCTTTTTTTTTTTTTTTTTGAGATGGAGTCTCTGTCACCCAGGCTGGAGTGCAGTGGTGCCATCTGGGCTTACTGCAACCTCCGCCTCCTGGGTTCAAGCAATTATCCTGCCTCAGCCTCCCGGGTAGCTGGGATTACAGCCACGTACCACCACACCCAGCTAATTTTTGCAATTTTAGTAGAGACAAGGTTTCACTATGTTGGTCAGGCTGGTCTCAAACTCCTGACCTCGTGATCTGCCCACCTTTGCCTCCCAAAGTGCTGGGATTACAGGCATGAGCCACTGTACCCAGCCTGCATTTGCTTTCCAGGCCCCTCCAAAGAAGACTAGGTAGGCATGAAAACAGCACAGACTTCACAATGGCAGACCGAGGACATCCCCGTGCACAGACATGGAAATATCCGGGCAGTCTTGTCACAGGCTGAACTTCTCTGCCAGCATGTGTGGCTGGCAGTGCTCAGAGGTTGACTGACTTACTCTGTCTTACAGAGACCACTCCTGACTCCTAACACTTCAAACACATGTCCCCACCATATGGTACTTGAGGAGATTATTGATAGTGCATGGACAAGCATTTTAATTCTAATAGATATGTATTTCGATGTGTATGAGAAAAAATAACCATTGTTTTAAGGATATAACTGGGATGAGGCTTTTTAAAAAAGTGATTGATTTACATAAAAACATATAGGAATAGTGCACAGAGCGGACATATAAGACAAACTCCAGGAAGGCTATAGGCAAATAAATGAGGTTTGGGAAACACTGCTTTAAATCAAGACTGTTCACTCATGGACCATCCCAACCCTTATAAAAATAACTAGCAGGTGAAAACTGGTAGTGTAGGTCTGTCTCCAAAGTATGCATTGGGAACAGTGGACGGTTTATAGATAATCCACTAAAAGAAGAGCTCCACATACAAATACATACATTATTATATTTACAGTTAAACAGGTTTTTTCCCAGGTGCCTTCTCAGGGTCTTCCATATGTAAATACTTACGTGACTCTTGAAAAGAGGGACATGGTGTGCAGCATCTCCAAAATGTAGGCAAACCCGGCCAGGAGCGGTGGCTCATGCCTGTAGTGCCAGCACTTTGGGAGGCCGAGGGCGGGGGTGGATCACCTGAGGTCAGGAGTTCGAGACCAGCCTGGTCAACATGGTGAAAACTCGTCTCTACTAAAATTACAAAAATTAGGCCGGGCGCAGTGGCTCACGCCTGTAATCTTAGCACTTCGGGAGGCCAAGGCAGGCAGATCACCTGAGGTCAGGACTTTGAGACCTGCCTGGCCAACATGGTGAAACCCTGTCTCTACTAAAAATAGAAAAATTAGCTGAGCATGGTTGGCACACACCTGTAATCCCAGCTACTTGGGAGACTGAGGCAGGAGAACTGCTTGAATCCTGGAGGCAGAGGTTACAGTGAGCCAAGATGGCGCCACTGCACTCCAGCCTGGGTGACAGAGCGAGACTCCATCTTGGAAAAAAAAATGTAGGTAAATCCAAAAACACTTTTTTCCAGACTACCTCTTGAGACTTGGGCTTTTTGGGGGTGGTAGAGAGGGTGCACCATTCCTGGAGGTACTGCAATCCAGGCCAATGTGTAGAGTGGACAGAGCAAGCTCCTATTCCATCTCCTTGCTCCAAAAATCTATTTATTATATTATCCTCAGATAGAGGATGTATCAGATATTAAACTGGTAAGAACAGATACTGCACATGATCTTAGCCAGAAGGCCAAGAAGCAATGAGACTTGAGCTTTTTGAAATGACTGAACCTCAAGACTCTTGATCTAGGTTGTCACCCAAGATCTAGTTCTTATTCATCTGATTCCGACTCTCTTAGGCTAGTTATCAACCTGGCCCAACTCTTGTCTCCCAGAACTGAACACCTCTAGCGTTGTCTAAACAACTCTTGCTTTTCAGGGACCCATCCATCTGCACACTTTCCCCGGACTGCAAGATTATGGAGGAACAAGATACACAAATACACAGATGTGCTGCTACAGTTGTTTGGACCAGGATGGGCACTTGATCCAAGCTGAGCCACTCAGGTTAACTTCCTTAAGGTTCTAGAATTCAGAAGAAAAGAGTGGTTCCATCTGTCTTCTTGTGGATAGATCTGTAGTATGTAGATTAGGGAGCTGCTCCTGGCGATACTTGCTGTTGGAAGGGCCAGAGAAACCTGGAAGTGGGGGAGGATATAGGAGAAAGTGGGTGGAGGAAGAGAAGAGATAAGAGATAGAAGTCCCTCCCGCCAGATGGCTCACACCTGTAAGCCTAACACTTTGGGAGCCTGAGGCGGCTGGATCATTTGAGCCTAGGAGTTTGAAGTCAGCCTATGCAACATGGCAAAATGCTGTCTCTACAAACAAAAATTAGCTGGGCATAGTGGTGTGTGCCTGCAGTCTCAGCTACTAGGGAGGCTGAGGTGAGGAACACCTGAGAGGCTGAGGCAGCAATGAGCCAAGATCGTGCCACTGCACTCCAGCCTGGGTGACAGAGTGTCACCTTGTCTTAAAAAAGAGAGAGAGAGGACCCTGATGAATGAAGTTCAGGACCCTCGTTCCTACTTTCTCCTGAAGCCTGGTTGCATGGTTCCTGTTCTGGCACCTTTAAATTGATTCCCCCTTTTGCTTAATTGCACTCTGATGGGTTGGTCCTAATCTCTACTTGATTCCTGGGCACTCACAAGGCTTTTGTCATCCTTTTGGCACCCCCTCTGGGGCTATCATGCTGTGGAACAGGATGTCCCACCTGACGTTTTGACCCTTGGATGCTGGCACATTCTTGACTTTGCCAATTCTTTGACAGTGATGTCTTCTAGCAGCTCTCCCCGCCCATGCCTAAGAATCTGCTGCCCTTTCAAGATTCCGATACCCTTGGAAAAGAAACTGCTGGGTGCTCAAGAAAGGAGATTCAGGCTGGTGATCTCAGGAACAACCAGAAAAGCTCTTTGCCTCCTAGAATGAAACAGCTCAGCAACAGTTGAGATGTGTGGAATAAAAAGGTCAGAATCAGGCCGGGCGCAGTGGCTCACGCCTGTAATCCCAGCACTTTGGGAGGCCAAGGCGGGAGGATCACCTGAGGTCGGGAGTTCGAGACCAGCCTGACCAACATGGAGAAACCCCTCTCTACTAAAACCACAAAATTAGCCAGGCGTGGTGCTGCACGCCTGTAATCCCAGCTACTAGGGAGGCTGAGGCAGGAGAATTGCTTGAACCTGGGAGGTGGAGGTTGCAGTGAGCCGAGATTGCGCCATTGCACTCCAGCCTGGGCAACGAGAGGGAAACTCCATCTCAAAAAAAAAAAAAAAAAAGGTCAGTATCAATAAGAAAGCTGGCAACTCTTGAATTATGAAATGAGAGGCAGTCAAGCAACAAAGATGTAGGATCCTGGCCATGTGGCTTGGGGCAAGAAAAGTAGTCCACTTGCATCTCCATTGTCTTCCTGCCAGAATACATCCTAAATGAGGACATTTATTCATTCAACCAGTATTCCCTGAGGAATGAAGGCAAATAGGTACTACTTACCTATTTGAGGTTGGTAGGTCCTATACTAAGCCCTAGAGATACAGCTATTTATAAGACCTAATCCTCATTTTGGAAGAGTGCCTAGTCTGATAATGAGACAGAGGTATTCTCCAGCTGTAACACTAAGGTATAAGGAATAATAGGGAAGAGGAGGCCAGCCACCAGTTGCTGTGGGAACTCTTGAGTAAAGGAGCACATCCAACTCACCAGTGGTGGTGGGGGCAATATTAGGAAAGGTTTCTAGTTGGACACTATTCTTGAAAGATGAGGGGTTGCTAGCCCGTGGAAGAGAAGAAAAGATATTGCAAGAAGAGAGGCAATATATGCAGAGCCATAGCTTTGGTCAGGATGGAGCAGAGGGTAAAAGTGAAGATATAACCAATGTAGGCTGGGCAGGTGGGAGAGGCCCTCCCAGTTCTGGTGGAGATACTGCAAGGTGAATTATGACAGGGTTTTAAACAGGTATGAGAACAATCACAGGCAGCAGAGGGGGAACAGTTTGGTGGAACTGACACTGGAAATAGGCAGATTAGCTCGGAGGTCCAGGGAGACCATTGTGTTTCAGAAGCAACCTTAATCATGGAAGATCATTTGGAATACCTGAAGATAGAAAGTATCTGTACCTGTGACGGGGACAGAAGGATTTGGCCTGTGTCAAGGGTATAGCCCAAAGAGAAGTTGTGAAGCAGCTCTCTCTGAATCCCCCTCTCCCAATGTGTGCTGCTGGGACATCCTGCGGCTGCCTGAGTCCAGCTGCCTCCAGCTAGAGAACCAGCAGGCAGTGGGAGGCATAGAGGCAGAGACCAGGCTCCAGGAAACACTGGAAGATTCTAGGAGTGAGAGAAGCTCCTAGAGATGCCTCAGCATGACTCCCCAAGAAAATGGAACAGAAGTAGCTGCTTCATTCAGTAACCAGCAGGTGATCCTTTAGCCAAAGTTGGGTTTTGAAAAGGCCTACTTCCCCATCCTCCCTCTCCACAAGCCCTCCAAGTCCTCAGTCCCCTCCCTTCCACCTCCTCAAAGCCTAGTTCACCCGAGCATCTTCTCTCCCTCCTGCATGGCAACTTCTCCTCCTCCCAGTTTTCCTCCTTGACCCTGTTAAAATTCATGTCTCACGTTAATTGGTTGCTTACCACGTCTCTGCCCTGTGCTGAGTGCTTCACATACATTTTCATATAATCATTGCAATAACCATATGAAACAGGGGCTACTTGTCCCACCGTTTTAGACAAGGAAACTGAGACTTAGGAAAGTTAAGTAAGTTAACTTGCCCAAAGTCACACAGCTATTGAGTGTTGGGGCTATGATTTGAACTTAAGCAGTGTGTGTATGGAGCCCAGTCTTAGAACCCCTAACCTGCTTCCCAAGTTGTCCTTAGGTCACTGTTGCCCTCACCTGTGTTTGAAAGATTCAGAAAGGACAGTCTACATGTGCTGCCTTTTCTGCTTTATTTTTCATTCCTTTAACACTGTTGGTCTGGCTTCTATTCTAATCAGGGACTTCCTAGTTTCCAAGTAGAGTAGCCTATTCTTCTCCACCTTCCTGCAACACTCAATGAGGTGGATGAGCACATTCTTTGAGGTCCTTTGCATTTGGATCCAATGACCATTAATTCTCCTGGCTTTTTTCTTACCTGTCCAAATACCATTTCTCTCTCCCTCTCTTCTTTCAGCACAATTTAATGGATCCCCAAGATTATATCATCACACTTGTCTTCTCTCTATATGCCCCCATCTTGGTAGCCTTGTTTTTATCTTGAGACGGAGTCTCACTCTGTTGCCCAGGCTGGAGTGCAGTGGTGTGATCTCAGCTCACTGCAACCTCACCTCCCAGGTTCAAGTAATTCTCCTGCCTCAGCCTCCCGAGTAGCTGGGATTACAGGTGCCCACCACCACACCTGGCTAATTTTTATATTTTTAGTAGAGACGAGATTTTACCATGTTGGCCAGGCTGGTCTCAAACTCCTGACCTCAAATGATCTGCCCACCTTGGCTTCCCAAAGTGCTGAGATTACAGGCGTGAGCCACCGTGCCTGGCCAGGTAGCTTCTTAAATGAATGTCTCCAGCCTTGACTCCTTTTTAGAACCATAGAAATATTTACCCATATGCCTATTTCATGTGTCCACTTGATGACCCCCACAGCCCTTTGGTCCTGGGTTCAGCTTTTCTCCTGAAACTGCCCTTCGCTTCTATGGTCTCTGCTTAGTGAATAGCTCTATTCCTCCCAGTCACTCAGGCTCAGAACCTTGAAGCCTCTTGAGTTAACCCTTGATCCTGTCCTCCACATCCCATTGGTGGCTACTACCTGTATGGAATCTGCCCAAGACTTTCCTTTGTAATTGTCCCTCCTTCCCCAGGTTATCATTGCATCCTGACCCTTCTTTGGCTTCCCTGCATCACACACACACACACACACACACACACACACACACACACACACACAATCAACTATAAGCCAGGTACTAAGCTAGTATTAGGAATTCAGCCGTGAACTAGAAAGACAAGGCCCCTGCTCTCAAGGAGCTCAGGTCTGGTGGGTGAGACAGAGAAGGGAACAAGTAATTGTCACTTACTGTGATGAGTGCCTCGAGGATAAAGTACAGTGTGTTTGCGGTAGGAGCCCTTTAGAAGAACTGCCATCCAGAATTACAGAGTCAGGCACGGATTTCCAGTGGAAATGGCACTTAAACTTAGGTCTCAAAATGGAAACAGAAGTCAGCCAGGTAAAGGTTGGGGAGAATAAAGAAGGCAAGTGAGGGAGACAAGCACTCAAGGCCAAGAGAACAGATGGGCAAAAATTTGGAAACTGGAAAGAGCAGGGTTTATGTGGGGAACTGCTGGTAATTCAGTATGGCTAAGGGGTAGAG
This sequence comes from Homo sapiens, assembly GCF_000001405.40. Lineage (NCBI taxonomy): Eukaryota > Metazoa > Chordata > Mammalia > Primates > Hominidae > Homo > Homo sapiens. The sequence goes on along the minus strand of NC_000020.11, from coordinate 41,019,553 downwards.
GGTGAAGAGGAGTAGTGAGAGATGAAGCTGGAGAGGTAAGCAAGGCCCAGTTCATGCAGGGTCTCTAAGGCATTTGCAGTTTATCTTCATAGCACTGGGAAGTCACTGAGAGTTGCTATGAGCAATGGAGGAACATAATATGTGTTTTAGAAAATATTACCTACAGGCCAGGCATGGTGGCTCATGCCTGTAATCCTAGCACCTTGGGAGGCTGAGGTGGGCAGATTGCCTGAGCTCAGGAGTGTGAAACCAGCCTGGGCAACTTGGCGAAATCCCGTCTCTACTAAAAATACACACACACACACACACACACACACACACACACACACATAAATTAGCTGGGTGTGGTGGCACACACCTATAATTGCTTAAACCTGGGAGGCAGAGGTTGCAGTGAGCTGAGATTGCACCATTGCACTCCAGCCTGGGCAACAGAGCAAGACGCTGTCAAAAAAAAAAAAAAAAGAAAGAAAATGGATTTAAAGTATTCAAGACTTGAGGCTTGGCTGGGCATGGTGGCTCACACCTGTAATCTCAATGCTTTGGGAGACCAAGGTGGAAGGATTGCTTGAGCCCAGGAGTTCAAGACCAGACAAGGCAAGATAGCAAGACCTCATCTCTCCCCGCAAAAATGTTTTTCAAATTAGTCAGGCATGGGAGTATGCACATGTAGTCCCTAGCTAGGCAGGAGACTGAAGTGCGGGGATTACCTGAGCCCAGGAGTTTGAAGTTACAGTGAGCTGTAATCATGCCACTGCACTCTACGGAGTGACAGAGTGAGACCGTGTCTCTAAAACAGAACAAAACACTACACAAAGCTTGTTAGAATACAGTTAAGAGGTTATTGTCATCATTGAGGCAAAAATGATGATGATGGCCCTGATCAGCAAAAAAGCCATGAGGATGGAGAGAAGTGTATGTGTTTCGGGGATATTCATGACATAGGGTTGATGTATTAGTGACTGATTATATATACAAAGGAAAGGGAGTGGGGGAGTCAAGGATGAGGATGGCAGTGCATTCACAAAGACAGGGAACACTTGGGATCTGTTTTAAGGAAAGATGATGAGTTCATTCTGTACATGTTGAGTTTGAAGTGTCTGTGGGTTAGCTGAGTCAAGATGTCTAATAGGCAGCTGAATACGTGAGTTTGGAGCTCAGGAGAGGGACTGCAGGTTATTAGTATCATGGTAGTACCTGGAGTTAATTACACTAGATGACATCATTTGGGAGGGCCTGGAAGGACAGCCTTATTTTAGGAATGGACCTGAGTTAAGAATGAAATAGAAGGTGAGGAAGTGGAGATAGCAAGTTTGAACAAGTCATTCAAGAGATTTAGCTACAAACAGTAGGCAGAATATAATGCAGCAACTAAAGTAGCCTGCGTTAAGAGAGGGTTTTTGTTTCTTTGTTTATGATGGACATGACACACTCATGTCTAATAGGAGGGTCTGCAATTTCCAGTTCAGGGCCTTTTGGCTCATGCCAGCACCCTTGACAAAGTACTAGCACAGTTGATATGCCAGGAACTCTGGGTCAGATAAAGAGTGAGGTCCGTTCGGAGGAGACACCCCTCTTTGCCTCTAAGAGGTGACAAGCTGCTTCCAACCTCACCTCTAAGATTCTGGTACCTTTCCCACAGGAACTCACTTGAGGATTGACTCACAGAACTAGTTTTTCAGGATGGCTCATGCAGGCCCCTGAGGATATTCTCCTCCCAAAGGACAGAGTCCAGGCCTACAGGGTCTGTCCCTACCTTTCCAGGATCAGCTATGGGTGCCTGGAAAGGGGCCTGGCAGAACAGACACCAGCTCTGGTGGTGGAACTAGAGAAAGACACTCAGAGCCCAGGAAGATGGAAGTTCCTCATCAGATTCTGCAGTCAAGTTCCACTGACATTCCCTGATGCCTATTTGGTGCCAGGCCCGGCTAGTAGTTCTGTGATGAACTCAACATGGCTTCCACCTGGAGGTAGAGAAAATAGACAATTACAATACAGAGTTCTGGGACCTTGTGAGAGAGCCCTCAGGGCTGGAAAGCCAGGAAGACTCTTCCTTGGGAGCCCAGCCTTAAGGGTTTGATGGGAGAAAGATAATGCTAAAAACTCTAAATTCTCCCACTGACCCAGAACTTAGCTTTCCTTCTATTTTTGGAAAACATAACCTAATAATTTAAACAATCTATTTAAAACTTTTTTTTTTTCTTCTGTGGACTTTTCCCTTCATGGTGAGCATTTGGGTTCAAAGGGGGAGACAGAACTTAGGGAAAATATTTGCACAAGTCCTTACAGAATGTTCAAACCTAGCCTTCGAACCCCCAAATTAAAAGCAGGTGAGGCCCCCACTGCTGGATGTTGGATAGCCCCTGGGCTCAATCCTCAGACCTTTTTCCTTTGTCCTCTTGATTCACTATCTTATTCACTCCTGTGGCTTTAAATACCAACTATATACTGAGAAGTTCTAAGTTCATACCTAAAATCAGGGCCTTGCCCCCAGGTGTCAAACTTATGTATCCAGCTGCCTACCTAATATTCCTATTTGGACTTCCAACAGGCTTCTTAAACATAATGTGTCCCAAATCAACCCTCTATCTTTCCTCTCAAGCCTGTTCCTCCTTTGGTCTTCCCCAATCATAGTTAATGGCTCAGGTCATCCTTGACTATTTTTTTTTTTTTTTTGAGACAGAGTCTCACTCTGTTGCCCAGGCTGGAGCGCAGTGGCAACATCTCGGCTCACTGCAACCTCCGCCTCCCAGGTTCAAGCAATTCTTCTGTCTCAGCCTCCTGAGTAGCTGGGACTACAGTTGCACACCACCATGCCCAGCTAATTTTTGTATTTTTAGTAGAGACAGGGTTTCACCATATTGGTCAGGCTTGTCTCGAACTCCTGACCTGTCGATCTGCCCACCTCAGCCTCCCAAGGTGCTGGGATTACAGGCGTGAGCCACCACGCCCCGCATCCTTGACTCTGTTTTGCCTGCCTACTCCCCCTTATCCAATTTGTCAACAAATCCTGTTGACTTCACCTTCAAATATCCTGATGTTAACCATTTCTCACCATGCCCTTTGCTTTCACTTTAGCCCAAATTGCCATCATCTCCACCTGGTTTAATGTGGGAGTCTCCTAACTGGTGTCCTCTGCTCTATGTTTGTCATCTCATGGTATATAGTCAGAACAAGTGATCCTTTAAAACAGAGTGGTCCTATTTAAGACTTGAGATCCTGGCCAGGCATGGTGGCTCACGCCTGTAATCTCAGCACGTTCAGAGGCCAAGGTAGGAGGATGACTTAGAGCCAGGAGTTCAAGATCATCCTGGGCAACAGTGAGATACTATTTCAACGAACATTTTTAAAAATTTAGCTGGGCCTGGTGGCACATGCTTCTAGTCCCAGTTATTCAGGAGGCTGAGGCAGAAGGATCTCAAGCCCAGTAGTTTGAGGCTGCAGTGAGCTATGATCATACCACTGCACTCCAGCCTGGGTGACAGAGGAGACCTTGTCAGTTAAAAAAAAAGAAAAGAAAAGAAAAGAAAAGAAAAAGGGCTGGGCACAGTGGCTCACACCTGTAATCCCAGCACTTTGGGAGGCTGAGGTGGGCAGGTCACCTGAGGTCAGGAATTCGAGACCAGCCTGGCCAACATGGTGAAACCCCATCTCCACTAAATACACAAAAAATTTAGCCAGGCGTGGTGGCGGGCGCCTGTAGTCCCAGCTATTTGGGAGGCTGAGGCAGGGTGAATTGCTTAAACCTAGGAGGCTGAGGCTGCAGTGAGCAGAGATTGCACCACTGCACTCCAGCCTGGGCCACAGAGTGAGACTCCATCTCAAGAAAAAAAAAAAAAAGAAAGAAAGAAAGAAGAAGGTCGGGTGCGGTGGCTCATGCCTGTAATCCCAGCACTTTGGGAGGCTGAGGCGGGTGGATCACCTGAGGTCAGGAGTTCGAGACCAGCCTGACCAACATGGTGAAACCCCGTCTCTACTAAAAATACAAAATTAGCCAGGCATGGTGGCACATGTCTGTAATCTCAGCTACTTGGGAGGCTGAGGGAGGAGAATTGCTTAAACTCAGGAGGCAGAGGTTGCAGTGAGTCAAGATTGCACCATTGCACTCCAGCCTGGTCAATAGAGTGAGACTCTTTCCTGAAACAAAACAAAACAAAACAAAACAAAACAAAACAAAACAAAACAAAACGTAAGATCCTGTCACTCTTCTGCGCAAAACTCTCCAGTGGCTCCCATCTCATTCAGGGTAAAGTCAAAGACTTACAATGGCCCCAAGGCTCTGCCACACCTGCTCCCCTCCAAGGCCTCCCTTGACCTCATCTGCTGGTGCTGTACACCTTGGTCACCTCTTTCCAGCCACTCTGGGCTCTGTAAAAGCCTATCACACACCACTCATTCTCCAGCATTAGCCCTTTCATTTGTGGATCTTTCTACCTCGAACGTCCTTCCTCCAGATATCTCCATGGCCTAGTGCCTCTCTTCTTTCAGATCCTTGCTAAACTAAGACAGGCCCTGACTACTCTATTTAAAATTACAACCCCCTTCCCTCAGTTCTTCCCTCTTTCCATCCCTGCTTTATTTGTCTCCAATGCACTTGTCACCATTTGGCCTACGGAATATTTTACTTATTGTTTTCCCCGTGTAGTATGTAATCTTGATGACAGCAGCAATTCTTATCAGTTTATTTATTTATTTATTATTTTTGAGACAAAAATAATATTATTTTGTCACCCAGGCTGGAGTACAGCAGTACAACCATGACTCACTGCAGCCTTGACCTCCTAGACTCAAACAATCTTCCCACTTCAGCCTGCTGAGCAGCTGGGGCTACAGGTGTGCACCAACATGCTCAGCTAATTGTTTATATTTTGTAGACACAGAGTCTTCCTATGTCGCCCAGATTGGTCTCGAACTCCTGAGCTTAAAGGTGTTCTGCTTTGATATCCCAAAGTGCTAGGATTACAGGCATGAGCCACCGTGCCCGGCTTTCTCAGTTTATTTAGTGCCACATTTCTACCATCCACAGAAGTGCCTGACACACATAAGATACTCAATTAACATTTGTTGAATAAATGAATTATGGGCTGCAACGGGCTCCTAATATGTGTCAAGCAGAGGCCTGGAATGTACCAGAAAACTCCTTATAGTGAATAACATGGTTCCCATTTTTTTTTTTTTGAGATGGAGTTTCGTTCTTGTTGCCCAGGCTGGAGTGCAATGGCACAATCTTGGCTCACTGTGACCTCTGCTTCCTGGGTTCAAGTGATTCTCCTGCCCCAGCCTCCCGAGCAGCTGAGATCACAGGTGCGAGCCAACACGCCCAGCTAATTTTTTTGTGTTTTTAGTAGAGATGGGATTTCTCCATGTTGGCCAGGCTGTTCTGGAACTCCTGACCTCAGGTGATCCACACTCCTCGGCCTCCCAAAGTGCTGGGATTACAGGTGTGAGCCACCGCACCCGGCCATGATTCCCACTTTGCAGATAAGAAGATTGAGGCTTAAGGCTGAGTGTGGTAGCTCACGCCTATAATCCTAGCACTTTAGGAGGCCAAGGCGGGTGGATCACCTGAGATCAGGAGTTTGAGACCAGCCTGGCCAACATGGCGACACCTCGTCTCTATTAAAAATATAAAAATTAGCTGGACGTGGTGGTTCACACCTGTAATCCCAGCTATTTGGGAGGCTGAGGCAGGAGAATGGCTTGAACCTGGGAGGTGGAGGTTGCAGTGAGCCCAGATCACACCATTCACTCCAGCCTAGGCTAAAGAGCAAAACTCTGTCTCAAATGATAAATAAATAAATAAATAAATAAATAAATAAAAAGAAGACAGGCTTGGGGAAGTATGAGTGCCCTTTTCCTCTGTTCCTATAGCAACTTGCGCATGGCCCCAGTCTCAGCACCTATCATACTGCACTCTCATTATCCATTTCCTCAACTAGATGTAAGATTTTATTTTATTTTATTTTATTTTTGAGATGGAGTCTTGCTCTGTCGCCCAGGCTGGAGTGCAGTGGTGCGATCTCGGCTCACTGCAAGCTCCGCCTCCTGGGTTCATGCCATTCTCCTGCCTCAGCCTCCTGAGTAGCTGGGACCACAGGCACCCACCACCACGCCTGGCTAATTTTTTTAATATTTTTTTTATTTTTTAGTAGAGATGGGGTTTCAGCGTGTTAGCCAGGATGGTCTCGATCTCCTGACCTCATGATCTGCCCGCCTTGGCCTCCCAAAGTGCTGGGATTACAGGCGTGAGCCATGGCACCCAGCTAGATGTAAGATTTTTAAGTTCAGGGACTATTCTATCTTTTATTTATTGTTGCATCTCCAACACCTGGCAGAAAGGTGGGCACATAATAGGTGCTTAAGAAATATTTGTTGCATGAATACATGAATGAAATGGGCAAGTCAGGGTACAAACTCACAAATTTCAAAAAGAAAAGTCTCTGCCCACCCCACCCCCCTCTGCCCTAGAGTGTTCCTGAAACAGCCACAGAGCCAACAGTTAAGTCCCTCCCCCTGGCAGAGTGCCTTCTTGCAAATCCTCACCCACAGAATCAGAAGTATTTTAGATGGGGAGAAGTATACACTGGCTGACAGTTCTTTCCCATCACACCAGGCAAACGGAAATCATTTCTCCAGTCAATCCCTGCCAGTCTTCTAGAGTCAAGGTCTCTCTTATGCCTTGCCTCCTGATCTGCAGTCTGCCTCCCTAGTTTCCCCAATCCTCAGCTGCTGGGTCGGGCTCCCTGCCCATCCATCCACTCACCCAGCCTTCAGCCAACAGCCTCTGTGAGCCTGCTCTGGGCCATGTGATAGCTGAACTAACCCCCATTCCATTCCCACTGTGAGCTGACTTGGTTCTTTAAGTCTTCATTCCAACAAACTCTTTTTTTTGCCTCTTCTGTTTATACTTTCCGCCACCCCTGATCCCAAGTCTTAGGTCCATGGAGATGGCTCATTCCAACCATGGATGATTGTGGGCCTCTTGTCTCATCTGCTTCTTTCTCTTGGCTCTTAATTTCTCTAGATCAGTCATTTTTAAACTATTGTGTGTGTGTGTCTGTGTGTGTGTGTGTGTGTGTGTGTGTGTGTGTGTGAGATAGACTCCTTTGAGAAGCTGATGTGGGCTATGGTATCTCTTCCTCTAATAAATATTAATACCTATGCACTTAAAAACAGCATTTTGCATATAAGTTCTGGTGCACCTAGATCAAGATCTCTCCTTGCCTTCTCCCCTTCCCTCTAGATTTCTGGTTGTTTTTGGTTCCCAAATCAGTCCACCTGGTCTCCTTTCAGAAGCAGAAGCTTCTTCCTACGGTATTATCAATACTGTTATTATTAACAGCAACAGCAAGATTTGTACATTTTTCATGCATCAACTGATTTCAACCTCTCAATAACCCCAAGAGAAAGGAACTATTATTGTCCCATTTTTACAGATGAGAGAGCTGCTTGGTTACATGTTTTGCCAAAATCACATAATTCTAAGTCCAGGGTTTCTTCCTCCGCACGATGGATGGTGTGTTGCCTATTATTAACCACTGTGGTTTTTTTTTAACCTTTCCCATCTCCACCACCCAAAACCTACCTTCCCCACCCCTACCCTCACCCTATGGTGTATTGCCTATGATTCTTAACTGCTGTTTTCTTTGACCTCCTCCACTTCTACCACCTAAAAACCTTCTTCCTCACCACCACCCCCACTTCTCTGAAGCTCCCTCTTTCTCCCCCATCCACTCTTCAGCTGACCACAGGTGGCTTCTTTGTAGTTGCTTGAGCATATGTGAGCCATGAAAGGGTTTCGTTTCCCCTTCTGTTCTCAGCCCAGCTGTGCCAGCCTCTGTGATCCTTGTGAGCTTTAAATGAGGCACTCCAGACCCTTCTTACGCAGGCCATGGCATTTCTGGAACTGCCACACCTAAAATCCAGGTATGAGGAAGGAAGGAGACAACTATTTGAACACCTACATTGTACCAGGCCCCGTGCTTGACATAGAGACACTGAGCCCAACCTTTAAAGGCCTCAGCTTCCAGGTCCTTCCAGGCATCTTACTGATGGGCACCTGGAGGCTCTGAGATGATTGGTCTGATTCCATCTGCAGTCTGTCTGTCTGTCTGTGGGTGGTTAGGGGCCTCTCGGTAGCATGGCTAACCCTTTTTTTATTATTATTATTATTTTTGAGAAGGAGTCTAGCTTTGTTGCCAGGCTGGAGTGTAGTGGCACGATCTTGGTTCACTGCAACCTCTGCCTCTCTGGTTCAAGCGATTCTCCTGCCTCAGTCTCCTGAGTAGCTGGGACTACAGGCGTGTGCCACCATGCCTGGCTAATTTTTGTATTTTTAGTAGAGACAGGGTTTCACCATGTTGGCCAGGATGGTCTCAATCTCTTGACCTTGTGATCTGCTCACCTCAGCCTCCCAAAGTGCTGGGATTACAGGTGTAATCCCAGCCCATACCCAGCCTTAAAACCTTTTATCAAAGTGTGATATAGGCCAGGTGCAGTGGCTCATGCCTGTAATCCAACACTTTGGGAGGCTGAGGTGGGCAGATATGGGAGTTTGAGACCAGCCTGGCCAACATGGTGAGACCCCATGTCTACTAAAAATACAAAAGAGTTAGCCAGGTATGGTGGCACATGCCTGTAATCCTAGCTACTAGAGTGGCTGAGGCAGGAGAATCACTCAACCTGGGTGGCAGAGGTTGCAATGAGCTGAGATGGTGGCCACTGCACTCCAGCCTGGGCAACAGAGTGAGACTGTCTAAAAAAAAAAAATCATCTGAACTGAACCAAGAATCTGTAGCCTCAAAAGGGATTTGGCTATAAACCAATCTTCCACTGAAGGCTCCAGAATCCCAAAGTGTGCTCTTAATAAATGGTCCAGAGCATGTCTGATCAGTTCCTCTGATGCTCAAGTTCTCTGCCCATTGTTGCTTTTTTTCTTACCTTTTTTAAGTTCTGGAAAAAAAAATTAGAGACTCTGGTTAGGAGCCCCCTACCCCACAAAGAACTCTAGCCTTCATCACTCCTTGATTATGAGTGACAGAGAAATCATCATCTCACAAGGCCACATATTGCATTTTTTAGACAGATCTGGCAACTTAGATTTAAATTTTTAAAAACACGCATGTGTGCGCACACATACACACACAATAAAAAAAAATCCTTGTTTGAGCTGAAATATGCTGCAATTTTTGCTCACTAATTCTAGTCCTGCCCTATATGGCCTCCCATAATTAGTTTAGTCAATTCAGTAATCGAGTCTCAGGTGCTGAGGCACTTGAGGCAGACTTCCTCAACTCTACATTCTTCCTGTGGGGATCCTGGGATCTACTGAGTCAGGCATGTGGCTGTATCAACATTTGCCAAAGAACATTCCACTGGACACTAATCCCCCGAAAGGCCTTATGAAAACAGAACCCTGAGCTCAGATAAGTTGGGGAAATGCTATATCGCTCTTCTGGTCTTTATCACATCTCATTCCCCAGAAATCTTTATGAAAACAGAGCTCTGAGCTCAAGTAAGCTGGGGAGATGTTACATGTTCTCTGGTCTGTATCACATCTCACACTAGCACAGAGAAGACTCTTGAGGTCCTAAAGAATTAAAAACCCTGTTTCACTCTGTCAGTGACCGGTCTGACTTAGAATCCTTTTTTCCAAAGAGGAAAATTTCTATGAATTTTTCTCAGAATGAATGTCCTCCAGTACAGGACATAGGCCAGTTAGCTGTAAGCATCCTCTAAAACTACACTGTCTAATCTGATAGCCGCTAGCACCCAGGACTACTGAGCACTTGAAATGTGGCTAGTTCAAACTCAGATGTGCTGTGAGTGTGAAATATACACTGGATTTCAGATTCTTAGTACAAAAATAAAATGAAATATGCATACTTTTTATATTGATATATGTTGAAATATTGGGTTAAAATTTGTTATTAAAATTAATTTCATCTATTTACTGTTACTTTTTAAAATGTGGCTACTAGAGACCAGGCACAATGGCTCACACCTGTAATCTCAGCATTTGGGGAGGCTGAGGCAGGTGGATCCCCTGAGCTCAGGTGTTTGAGACTAGCTTGGGCAACATGACGAAATGCTATCTATATCAAAACTACAAAAAATTAGCTGGGTGTGGTGATGTGCACCTGTGGTCCCAGCTACTTGGAAGCTGAGGTGGGAGAATCACTTGAGCCTGGGAGACAGAGGCTACTAGAAAATTGATTTATTTTATTTATTTTTTTTTAGACACAGGGTCTCAGCCTGTCACCCAGGCTGGAGTGCAGTGGCATGGTCATGGCTCACGGCAGGCTCGAGCAATCTTCCCACCTCAGCCTCCTGAGTAGCTGGGACTACAAATGCATGCCACCATGCCTGGCTAATATTTGTATTTTTGTAGAAACAGGATTTTACGGCCGGGCGCGGTGGCTCACGCCTGTAATCCCAGCACTTTGGGAGGCCGAGGCGGGCGGATCACGAGGTCAGGAGATTGAGACCATCCCAGCTAAAACGGTGAAACCCCGTCTCTACTAAAAATACAAAAAATTAGCCGGGCGTAGTGGCGGGCGCCTGTAGTCCCAGCTACTTGGGAGGCTGAGGCAGGAGAATGGCGTGAACCCGGGAGGCGGAGCTTGCAGTGAGCCGAGATCCCGCCACTGCACTCCAGCCTGGGCGACAGAGCGAGACTCCGTCTCAAAAAAAAAAAAAAAAAAAAAAAAAAAGAAACAGGATTTTACCATGATCACTTGAGCCACCCATCTCGGACTCTCAAAGTGCTGGGATTACAGGCATGAGCCACCGCACCCAACCCAAAAATTTATAATTATGCACGTGGCATGCATTGTATTTTCATTGGAGAGTGCTGCCCCAGTGTTCTGTGCTGCTGGGGAAGGCTGTTTTGGGCTGTACAGGGGAATGTGAGAAGGAGGGGGTGGGTAACCCAGTGTAGGAAGTATAAGGGAACTGCGGGATTCACTGGAAGGGCAGCTCAGGAAGCCTAAGAGCAGGGTGGTCAGGAAGTGGTGACTAAGCTGAGACCTGAAAGATGAGAAGGAGTTAGCTGGAGGAAGGCAGAGAAAACAGCAGGGGTCAAAGCCTTGAAGTGAAAGAGGAACTGTATGTATTCCAGGACGTCCAAGGCTTCAGGGGCAGAGGGTAGACAGTGACCCAACCTGACCCCAGAGAAGGCAGCAAGGGCCAAGACTTTTAGGGCCAGGCAAGCCTCTGTAAAGGGTTTATCCTGAGGGCACTGTGAAGCCATGGCAGAGTTTTCAGCTGGTTGAGACTAGACAGATTTGCATTTTAGAAAGATTGCCCCTGACATTTTGAGTGGGGTATGGATGGATGGAAGGATAAACTGGAGGCAGAGGAGCTTTTACAGAAACTGTTGAAGTTATCTAAGAGGGAGATGATAAAAGTCTGGACTATGCTACATCCCTTTGAATTGAAGGCCAATGTCTAGGAAATAGACTTGGAATGGGGACCACTAATCCCAGGCTATTTGGAGATAGAAATAGGGGAGAGGGTGGAGTCAACATTAGTATCTGGGGTTCTGAGTAGTAAGGCTATGATGGGAGACCAGAAATCTATGGGAGGGGAAGAGGATGAGTTCAAGGTGACTTTGAGAAGCATGTGGGGTTATAAGTAGGAATATCTGAGACAAAGTAGATAGCCAGGTTTAGAGGTTGGAAGACAGTTATGGGCTGGAGATAGAGTTGGGCAGGAAATGTCTCCCCTATGAGCCTTAGGTTCCTTATCTGCAAAATGGGGATGTAATCTACTTCCCAGAGTTAGTGTGATGATTAGATTATGTAACATTGATGGCAGTGGTGGCCTGTCTAGAGTGGCCACTGCCATGATGCAGGCTGCAGTGGGGGAGGTGCTCCACAGAACCAGCAGGAGCCGGGAACAGGCAGAAGCCCTGCCGTCTTCTGAGTTGACAGGGTGGAAGCTTCATGCTCCTTGGGCGCAGCTGCAGCTGCCCAAGCCAGGGCTGCAGACCCAGGCATCTCTGCACTCTTGGGGGCCCAGGAAGGCCCCCCTGCCCCTGCAGGCTCAGAAATGCCTGCTTCCACTGCCTGGCCTTTCCCTGCTCCTGGCACCTGCTTCGATTTCAGAGCAAAGTTGAGGCTGATCCCAGGCACTGTCGCAACCCAGCTGGGTGTGTGCATGCTTGGGGCAGCACTGACACACCAGCCCCCTGCCACCTTGGCCCACTTCAGACTTTGGGCACAAACTAACATGGAAGGGAGACCAAGGAAGGGCTGAGGGCAGCTCAGCACTGGCCTGCAGGTGCCCCTCTGCCTGAACAGCCTGGGTGCTATGAACAGTGGCAGGAGGCAGATAGGCTCTGGACAAAAAGGGGTGGGTCCCTGGTGAAGCCCCACCTTCAATCCTGGGAAGGCCTGAAGCCTGGGGGCCAGGCTGCCAGTCCTGCAGATTGGAGTAGGAACTTATGGTGCCTTTTCTGGGCCTGCCCATGGCCAACCATGGACCAATCAGCACACACTTCCTCCCCTCTGAAGCCCATAAGAACCTGGACTCAGCCAGACTCAGAGAGATGTTGGGACAACCAGCTGCAGAAAGGAGCTATCCCCTCTGAAGTCTCCTCTCTGCTGGGAGCTCAGCAGACATCAGGATGACCAGCTGCGGAGAGAAGCTACCCATTCCAGGGTCTTGTAGCTCCTCTCTGCTGAGAGCTGAACATTAAAGTTGAACATTAATGGGACACCCTGGCAGCAGAGAGGAGCTACCCACTGTGAGTCTCCTCTGAGCTGCTCTATTGCTCAGTAAAGCTCTTCAGCTTGCTCACCCTCCACTTGTCTGTGTACCTCATTCTTCCCGGGCATGGGACAAGAACTCAGGACCTCCTGAATGGCAGGGCTGAAAGCGCTGTAACACAAACACGGCTGAAACACACCTCTTGCTCACCACGTTGTGGGTAAGAAGAAGGGGAGAAGAGCTGAGGCCCTTCGGGGACCCCAGACCTAGGAGCTCCCTGAGCCAGGGCTGTGACACCCTCTTTGGGGGTCTGGTTCCTGACATATCCAAGCCCCCAGGAACCATTGCATTCCCCAGTGGCAGCAGTGGAAGCTGCTTGCAGGATGCCTGTTCCAGCTGCAGCCTCGTAAGAAGCCAGCACTCATGCTGGCACCTGGAGCTGCCCACTCCACCACAGCCATTGTTCCTGGCTGTGCACAGTGGCTGGACCCCACGCTTGCTTGCTCACACATATCCTCGCTGCTCCGCTCGCCCTTGGCAGGCAGGGGATCCAGGCCATTAGCACGAGCTGAGCATAGCCTGCCAGGCCAAGTGGGCGCAATGAGCCTGAGCAAAACTCTGGCAAAGGCACCACTGGCTACAGAGGTTTCTGGCTGGTGAAGTGACAGCCCAAGGATCCCATAATGACATGTTGGATGTGCCTGGCATTGCACAGACACACAGTAGGTGTTGGGAAGCACTGGTTCTTTCTTTCAGAGGGTCTGTCATCCTCGTTTCCCGCATGGCCGAACTTACCAAGGTCTTTGCAGCTTCTGCTTCCTTCTGTAGTACTCATGGGTCCCACATCTGTGCTTACAAAGTCCCTAGTGTAGTGATGGGGAGATGTTTCTGGAAGCAGTAGTGGGAAAGGGTGAGTGAAGGCAGCTCCCCCTGCCTGGGTAGTCCTAGAATAGGAAGGGGGTGAACAGTCAATACATGCAGTGGAGAGGACTCTGACCTGGGAGGAAGGAAGACAAGCTACTTGCCCCAACCGTGCCACCAGCACAATCAGTAAACCTTGCTCTGTTCTAAGCCTCAGTTTCTCCACTTCTTCAAGGAAGGGTCTTCCAGCTGAGCGCTTCCCTGTTTCTGTCCCTATCTCCTTCTCTCTCCCAGAAAGTTTCTTGCCTTCTCTTGACTTACAGAAGACATCACTTCCTTGAAGACTTGGCTCACTATAAGCCTCCTGGCGGCTCCTTCCTGGGGCACTGGGCCAAACTCCTGACACGATTAAGAAGAGGTTTTGGAACTGGGCCAGACTAGGAAAACAGGAAAGATGACGAACAAAGCTTCCCTCCTTCTGAGGGTTGTTTATTCCAGTGTTCCTTCAGTTGAGTTTTCTGGGTACACAGCAGCCCTTGGCTTTCCATCCCATGTGCAGCCTCTGGCCCAGCACTTAGTCCACTCTCAGTCATAGAGCTTATCACACAGACTTGCTCCAGTGCCCACTTGTCCAACTGCCCCAAACTCCTGGAAACCAGAAAGAACACAGATGTATCTCAACTGAGTGCCTACCATATTTCTACAGGAGGAACTGTCTTCGCATAAAAGCCCCTCTGCAGCTCCTTAAGGTAAGCAGTGTTCTTTCCATTTTGCAGCCATGAAAACTGAGGTCAGGGAGGCTCCCCAAGGTCACCCAGCATGTTGGTGTTGGATCCAGAAATGGAGGGAGTTGGAAGGGAGGACGTCTTATCAGTTAAGACAATATTCTTTGGAGGCTGATGAACCTTTCTGAGTTTGAATTTTGACTGTCACTTACTGCCTGTGGAATCTGGACAAGTTCCTAGTGGGAAGCAGTTTTGGGTCACAGTGGGGATCACAGACTCTGGAATCAAATGTCGGTTCCACCATCTGCTAGTTATGTGACCTTGGGCAAGTTCCTTTGCCTCTCTGCACTTCAGTTTCCACAGCTGTCAAACAGGATAATAATAGTGCCTGCCTCATCAACTTGTCGTGTGGATTAAACGTGATAATCCTTGTGGGGCGTTTAGCACAGTGTCTGGCCCATGGTCCAGTGCCATCTATGTCAGCAATGGTTTGAATGCAGGCCCCACTGACTCTGGCTACCACCTGTTTCCCTGCCTATCACCTGTCACCCTGGTGGCTCACTCATCACTTGGCGTGCTGTAGGTGCTCCCGGGCTTACTGACTGAAGGAGTGGTTGAGAATTGACTCAGTGTTTCTGAAAGCAGGCTTCTGATAATGTGTGGGAGAAGGATTCTGGAGGAAGATGATTTTCAGGAGTTTCCCAACCAATCAGCAAGTAATTGCTTTTTGCACACTAGTATGGACTTAGACCAGTTTCAGATTGGTTCTCTGAATGCTACCTGTGCAATCAGAAGCATACCTATACTCACGCCTATAGAAGCAATCTATACTGATTGTGGAGTGTTCAAATGCTACATAAAGACCGAAAGCAGAGAGTTAAAGTTCTAAGTAAACTTGCTTCAAAAGGGTTGCCCACTGTTTATCTGAGGCATGTCCTTCCAGAATTTGCCTAAGCCCTATACCTTTTTTTTGTTTTTTTTTTTTTGAGACAGGGTCTCACTCTGTCACCCAGGCTGGAGTGTAGTGGCATGTGATCCTGGATCACTGCAACCTCTGCCTTCTGGGCTCAAGCAATCCTAGCACCTCAGCCTCCCAAGTAGCTGGGACCACAGGTGCACACCACCACACCTGACTTTTTTTTTTCTTTGTAGAGGCAGAGTTTTGCCATGTTGCCCACGGTGATCTTGAACTCTTGGGCTTAAGTGATCTGCCCGCCTCGACCTCCCAAAGTGCTGGGATTATAGGCGTGAGCCACAATGCCCGGCCTATATGCCTATGCCTCATTTTTGAGTGTCACTGTGTACCCTAGTCGGTGTTAGACACTGCAGGTCCCCGAAGAAGTAGAGGTGACTGTCTGTACCTTAGGGGCAGGCACAGTTGGGGCGGGACCCAGAATTCATGGAACACTTAATCAGCAATTAAAATGTCCACAGGACCAGTGACTCACTCATTTAATACGTACTTAACATTTGTGGTTCGGAGACCCGGAAATGACAAATCAAGGTCCTACTTGGTTTCAGAGTGAGCCCCGAGATTGAATCAGCAAGGAAACCTTTTGGTATACTTGCCTCCTGATTATGGGCCTGTCAACAAGCCTCAGTGGGAGGGCAGGACGGGTGATGTGTCCTCACTGCCCAGAAAATTGCACTTTCCTGCCTCATTTATTGTATGTAGAGAAGTGAACTGAGGAGCCCGACAGGCTGGGCTTGCCACAGGTGGTTTCTAGGACCTTGGGTGACTCACTCCCTTCTCTGAGCCTCAGGTTTCTCATTTGAAGCATGGGGAGGCTCCTCCTGCCTTGAAAGGCACATTTCTCATTCATTCATTCGTTTGTAAAAGATGGTATTTCATAAGAATGTGGAGGGATGACTCAATAAACATAGCCATCTGGGGGAAAAAAAGAATTGGGTGATTTGGTAGATTGTATTACTGTTCAGCAAATATTTACTTTCCCCAGCCCCCACCACCACGGAAGGAATATACTTCCTCACCCTGTTGATATTGCACTTGGCCACGTGACTTGCTTTGGCCATGAGAATATGTGTGGAAGTCACAGGGGCCAGGCCCAAGGCACAAAGTGTTTCCATTCATCCCTTTGAGCAACTGTCCTCGGCCATGAGAACCACAAGTCCCAGACAGTGGAGGCTCCTTCAGCCTGGACTCCAAATGAGAAGATATATGAGACAGCCACCTACTCACCCCAAAGCCTGGAGCCCAGCCCAGCTAGCCCCAGAAAGCCCTGCAGAGCCCCAGCTTGACCCACAGACCCCTGGGCAAGAAGTGAATGTTTACTGCTGTAAGCACCAGGCTTCTGGAAGTTGTCTTTTATGCATCATTGTCACAGCAAAATCTGACCAATGTGGATCCCTGGCTCACTCCTTATATTGATTTTAGCTTGGGTCTTGAGCGAGGATTTTCTTTTTTTTTCTTTTTTATTATTATTATTTTTTTCGATACAGTGTCTCACTCTGTCACCCAGGCTGGAATGCAATGGTGCGATCTCGGCTCACTGCAACCTCCGCCTCCCTGGTTCAAGCAATTCTTCTGCCTCAGCCTCCCGAGTAGCTGGGATCACAGGGGCCTGCCACCACACCTGGCTAATTTTTGTATTTTTAGTAGAGATGGGGTTTCACCATGTTTGCCAGGCTGGTCTAGAACTCCTGGGCTCAGGTGATCCGCCCGCCTCAGCCTCCCAAAGTGCTGGGATTACGGGCGTGAGCCACCATGCCCGACCGAGCAAGGATTTTCTCATTAGATGATATTTGACCTGAGATCTGAATGTTTAAGAGCTAGTCATGTGGCCATCTAGGGGAGAAATATGCCAGGCAACAGGAATAGCAATGCCATGGTCCTGAGGCTGGAGGAAACTTGGCCTGTTCAGGAAAAGAAAGAAGGCCAGTGTGGGGCCAGGCATGGTGGCTCACGCCTGTAATCCTAGCACTTTGGGAGGCTGAGGCAGGCAGATCATGAGGTCAGGAGATTGAGACCATCCTGGCTAACATGGTGAAAACCCGTCTCAACTAAAAATACAAAAAATTAGCTGGGCGTGGTGGCGGGCGCCTGTAGTCCCAGCTACTCGGGAGGCTGAGGCAGGAGAATGGTGTGAACCCGGGAGGCAGAGCTTACAGTGAGCCGAGATCATGCCACTGAACTCCAGCCTGGGCAACAGAGCAAGACTCCGTCTCAAAAAAAAAAATAAATAAATAAAATAAAATAAAGAGAAGACCAGTGTGAAATAAATAAGGGTTGTTTGGTATCTGAGAGGGAGATAGTCTGAGCTCTAGACTCATATGTTCAATAGGGCACTTCAGGCTGGGCATGGTGGCTCACACCTGTAATTATTTTATTTTTAATTGACACATAATGATTGTATTTATGGGGTACAATGTGATGTTTCAATACGTATATACACTATGATAATCAAATCAAGGTAATTAAAAAATCCATCACCTCAAACATTTATCGTTTCTTTGTGGCGAGAAGATTTCAAATCCTCTTTTCTGCTATTTTGAGATGTACATTATTCTTAACTATAGTCACCCTATTGTGCAATAGAACACCAGAACTTATTTCTCCTACCTAATTGTAACGTGGTACTTATTGGCCAACCTCTCCTCCTCCTCCCTCTACCAATCCCTCCCTAGCCTCTAGTAACCACTATTTTACTCTCTGCTTCTATGAGATTTAAAACAAAAATTCTTTTTTTGTTTTGAGACAGGGTCTTTGTCACCCAGGCTGGAGTGCAGTGGTGCAATTACAGCTCACTGCAGCCTTGAACTTCTGGGCTCAAGTGATCCTCCTGCCTCAGCCTCCTGAGTAGCTGAGAACCACAGGAATGTACCACCCCACCCAGAATTTTTTTTTTTTTTGAGTCAGAGTCTTGCTCTGTTGCCCAGGCTGGAGTGCAGTGGCGCGATCTTGGCTTACTGCAACCTCCGCCTCCCGGGTTCAAGCAACTCTCCTGCCTCAGCCTCCCAAGTAGCTGGGATTACAGGTGCCTGCCACCATGCCCGGCTAATTTTTTTTGTATTTATAGTAGAGATGGGGTTTCACCATATTGGTCAGGCTGGTCTCGAACTCCTGACCTTGTGATCCGCCCACCTCAGCCTCCCAAAGTGCTGGAATTACAGGCATGAGCCACTGCGCCTACCCAGAAAAATTTTTAAATTTTTTGTAGAGATGGAGTCTTCGTATGTTGCTCACGCTGGTCTTGAACTCCTGGATTCAAGCAATCCTCCTTTCTTGGCCTCCCAAAGTGTTGGGATTACAGGCTTGAGCCACTGTGCCAAGTGGAGATCGATTTTTTTAGGTTCCACAGATAAGAACATACAGTTTGTTTTTCTGTGTCTGGCTTATTTCACATAACATAAAGTCACCAGATTCATCCATGTAGTCACAAATGAACAGGATTTAGTCCTTTTTTATGGCTGAATAGTATTCCATTGTTTACATGTACTTCATTGTCTTCATCCATTCGTTCATTGATGAACACTTAAGTTGATTCCATACACTGGCTATTGTGAATAATGCTGTAATAAATATGGGAGCACAGATACCTCTTTGACATGCTGATTTCCTTTCCTTTCCTTTCCTTTATTTTATTTTATTTTCAAGACAGGGTCTCACTCTGTTGTCCAGGCTGGAGTGCAGTGGTGCCATCTCGGCTCACTGCAACCTCTGCCTCCCAGGTTCAAGTGATTCTCCTGTCTCGGCCTTCCAAATAGCTGGGACTACAGGCACGTGCCACCACACCCAGCTAATCTTTTGTATTTGTAGTAGAGACAAGGTTTTACCATGTTGGCCAGGCTGGTCTCAAACTCCTGGCCTCAAGATCCACCTGTCACGGCCTCCCAAAGTGCTGGGATTACAGGCATGAGCCACTGGGCCCAGCCTATTTCTTTTAGATGTATACCTAGTAGTTGGATTCCTGGATCATATGGTAGTTCCATTTTTAATTTTGGGGGGAACCTCCATACTGTTTTCTACAACAGCTGTACTAATTTACAGTTCCACCAACAGCGTGTAAGGGTTCCCTTTTGTCTGCATCCTCGCCAACACTCGTCTTTTGTCTTTTTGATAATAATGGTTCTAACTGGAGTGAGATGATATCTGTTTATGGATTTGATTTGCATTTCCCTGATGACTAGTGATGTTGAGCATTCTTTCAAATATCTGTTGGCCATTTGTAACTCTTATTTTGAGAAATGTCTATTCAGGTCTTTTTTCCACTTTAAAATTGGACTATTTGGTTTGTTTTTTGTTTTTGTTTTTGTTTATTGCTATTGAGTTGTCTGAGTTACTTATATATTCTGGATATTAACCAGATGTATAGTTTGCAAATATTTTCTCCCACTCTGTGTGTTATCTCTTCATGCGTTGTTTTTTTGTGCAGAAGCTTTTCAGTTTGATGTAATTCCATTTGTCTATGTTTGCTTTTGATGCCTGTACTTTATTTTTGAGACAGAGTCTTGTTCTGTCGTCCAGGCTGGAGTGCAGTGGTGTGCTCTCAGCTCACTGCAACCGCCACCTTCCGAGTTCGAGCGATTTTCCTGCCTCAACCTTCTGAGAGTAGCTGGGACTACAAGTGTATGTCACTACCACCAGCTAGTTTTTGTATTTTTAGCAAAGACAGGTTTTCGCCATGTTGGCCAGGCTGGTCTCGAACTCCGGACCTCACGTGATCCGCCCACCTTGGCCTCCCAAAGTTCTGGGATTACAGGCATGAGCCACTGCACCCAGCCTATGCCTGTGCTTTTGAGGGCTTATCTAAAAAACCCTTGTCCAAAACAATGTCAAAAAATGTGTCCCCATGTTTTCTTCTAGTAGAGTTTCATAGTTTTGGATCTTAGATCTAAGTGTTTAATCCATTTTGAGTTGATTTTTGTATATGGTGAAAGGTAGGGGTCTAGTTTAATTTTTTTGCATATAAATACCCAATTTTCCTGGCACCATGTATTGATGACACTGTCCTTTCCCCCGATGTGTGTTGTTTGCACCTTTGTTGAAAAATGAGTTGGCTGTAGTTGTAGGGATTTATTTCTGTTCTCTCTATTCTGTTTCATTGGTCTATACATCTGTTTCTAAGTAGTTTGAAGTACTAGCCAATGTATTTCTTTTTTTGTATAATGCCTTTTATCTTATCACATTTCTCTGGTTCCTTTGGCCTTGGAGGTGGTTTTTATAGCAGAAGTGCAGAAAGTATGAAAATAAGCAAATATTAGCTTTTTCTCCTCTTTAGTATGGGAAATTTTAAGCATTTACAAAAGTAAAGAGAATAATGTAATGAACCCTTACATACTCATCACCCAACTTAAAGTGATCAACTTATGGGTAAACTTTTTTTTTGAGACGGAGTCTTGCTCTGTCGCCCAGGCTGGAGTGCAGTGGTGCGATCTCAGCTCACTGCAAACTCCGCCTCCCGGGTTCATGCCATTCTCCTGCCTCAGTCTCCTGAGTAGCTGGGACTACAGGCGCCCCCCCACCATGCCCAGCTAATTTTTTTTTTTTTTGTATTTTTAGTAGAGACGGGGTTTCACCATGTTAGCCAGGATGGTCTCGATCTCATGACCTCATGATCCACCTGCCTCGGCCTCCCAAAGTGCTGGGATTACAGGTGTAAGCCACCGCGCCCGGCCAGATAAACTTCTTTAATTATATGCCCATCTACTCTCTCCTTTATGGAATAATTTCTGTGCAGATCTCAAACATCATATCATTTCATCAGTAAACATTTCTCCATGTCGCTCTAAAAAAGGAACTTTAAACATGTAGCCACAATTATTATTATTACACCAAAAAAAACCAACAACAATTCTTAATATAATCCAATATCCAGTCCATGTTTAAATATACTGAATTGGCCAGGCACGGTGGCTCATGCCTGTAATCCCAGCACTTTGGGAAGCCGAGACGGGAGGATCACTTAAGGTCGGAAGTTCAAGACCAGTCTGGCCAATATGGCGAAACCCTGTCTCTACTAAAAATACAGAAATTAGCCGGGCATGGCGGCATGCACCCGTGGTCTCAGCTACACGGGAGGCAGAGGTTGCAGTGAGCCGAGATGGTGCCACTGCACTCCAGCCTGGGCAACAGAACTACACTCTGTCTCAAAAAAAAAAAAAAAATATATATATATATATATATATGTCTATGTGTGTGTGTGTGTGTGTGTATACCCAATTGTTGCATGTAATGTGTTTATTTGAAACAAGATCCAAACAAGGTCCACACAATCCACTGATTGGTAATAATTAAGTCTCTTTTACCCTTTAGGCTCTCCCTTTCTCTCTTTTTTAAGTGTGGAAGGTGGAATAAGCAGGATTGGAGAGATTTTCCCTTGCTCTGTCTTCAGTTCGTTTATTGAAGAAATAAGAGGCTGGGCAGGGTGGCTCATGCTTGTAATCTCAGCATTTTAGGAGGCTGAGGCTGGTGGATCACTTGAGGTCAGGAGTTCAAGACCAGACTGGTCAACATGGTGAAAACCCGTTGCTACCAAAAAACAAACAAACAAATAAAAACACCACCACAACCAACACCCCCCCCCCCAAACAACAAACAAAAGCAACAACAAAATTAGCCAGGTGTGGTGGCACATGCCTGTAGTCCTAGCTACTTGGGAGGCTGAGGCAGGAGAATCACTTGAACCTGGGAGGTGGAGGTTGTAGTGAGCGGAGATTGCACCACTGCACTCCAGCCTAGGCCACAGAGTGAGACCCTGTCTCAAAAAAAAAAAAAAAAAAAAAAAAAAAATATATATATATATATATATATATATGGCATTTATCTTGTAGAGTCTTCTATCTTCTGGTTTGTGGATTGCATCCCTGTGGTGTCATCTAACACATGAGTCCCCAATCCTTTGTACTGGTCCTCGGCCTGATTCCTAACAGGCCACACAGCAGGAGGTGAGTGGTGGGCCACTGAGCGAAGCTTCATTTGTATTTACAGCTGCTCCCCATCGCTCGAATTACCACCTGAGCTCTGCTTCCTGTCTGATCAGCAGCAGCATTTGATTCTCATAGGAGTGCGAACTCTTGTGAACTGCGCATGTGAGTGATCTAGGTTGCATGCTTCTTATGAGAGTCTAAG
The DNA here is from genome assembly GCF_000001405.40 of Homo sapiens. Taxonomy (NCBI): domain Eukaryota; kingdom Metazoa; phylum Chordata; class Mammalia; order Primates; family Hominidae; genus Homo; species Homo sapiens. The sequence continues at coordinate 40,997,167 of NC_000020.11, read as the reverse complement.
TAATGCCTGATGATCTGAGTTAGAACAATTTCATCCTGACCCCTTCCCTTGTCTGTGGAAAAAATAGTCTATGAAAAATCGTCTTCTATGTTTCATCCTGACTCCCTCCCTTGTCTGTGGAAAAACTGTCTTCTAGCCCAAAAATTGTCTTCTACGGCATGGTCCCTAGTGCCAAAAAGGTTGGGGACCGCTGATCTAACACATTCCTCTGACTTCTAGTTCATGTGACTAGTATCTTAATAAAGTCAGGTTAAGTGTTTTTAGCAAGAATGCTTCATAGGTAATATTGTGTACCTATACCAGGAGGCACATTGAGTATATTTGTCTCATTCTGTGCGATTCCTAGGCATTGACGATCATGGCCTAGATCCATTGTTTCCTTAAAGTGTGTAAAGTACAAAATGCAAAATTCAAATTCTTTAGATTTTTTCCTCATTACTTAGCTGAAATAATTCTGTAAGGAGAAATTTTCTCTCACCAATTATTTGGTTACAAGGAGATACGGTTCATACAGAAAAAGTAGAAAAGGTGCTTGATTCTTTCCCTTTATTTACCTATTTTCAAAATAATGAGTTGGTGTCCTAACATGCTCAAAGGGAATCCAGTGAAGTTTTCCTTTTCCCTCCCTCTCTCCCTCCTCTTTCTTTTTTCTTTTTTCTTCCTCTCTTTTTCTTCCTTTCCTTTCCTTTCTTTCCTTCCTTCTCTCTCTTTCTTTCTTTCTTGCTTTCTTTCCTTTCTCTCCCTTCCTTCCTTCCCTCCCTCCCTCCCTTTTCTTTCTTGCTTTCTTAGGTGCTTTATTGAAAAAGAAATTACATAACATAAACTGCTCATTCTTAAAGTATATAATTTGATAATAAGTATCATAAAAAGATTGCTACTGCTGTTACTGTCTTGACTCAAGAATGGCTCCATACCTACTTATTTAAAAAAATTGGCTGGGCACAGTGGCTCATGCCTGTAATCCTAGCACTTTGGGAGGCTGAGGCAGGTGGATCACCTGAGGTCAGGAGTTCGAGACCAGCCTGACCAACATGGTGAAACTCTGTCTGTACTAAATATAAAAATTTAGCTGGGTGTGGTGGCGCATGCCTGTAATCCCAGCTACTTGGGAGGCCGAGGCAGGAGAATTGCTTGAACCTAGGAGGCAGAAATTGCAGTGAGCCAAGATTGCACCATTGCACTCCAGGCTGGGCAACAAGAATGAAACTCCAGCTCAGAAAAAAAATTCAGAAAAACAAGGAAAATATAGCAAATAAGTTGCCTGTAATTGACACATAATAGTTGTGCATATTTATGGGGTACAGTATGATATTTCAATACATGTGTACAATGTGTAACGATCAAATCAGGATAATTAGCCAATCTATCACTTCTCTTTTTTTGAGTATCATTATAAACTTATGGATTTTGAATCTGTTTTATTTTAGATCCTACTGATGCTTCAATTGCCTCATCTTTGGTCAACAAGAGCCTCTTCAAGACATTGGCTTCTGAGCCCTTTTGACATGACACTATAGCTTTATTGCTTTCTGGAATGAAAAAGTCTTCTTGGTTCATCTTGTATATTTTTTGCTCCAGACCTTGAATCAGCTATTTCTCCTAGGAGCCCTGGTTCTTTTGTGGGAAATGGTATTTTGATATTGCAACCTTTTCTCTAGGGGTGCTCATAGTTATTGCAGTGGTAATTGTTTCTAGGCCTTTTTAGTGGGTAGAGCTAGAGAAAAAAAGTTTTAAGAGATCTTGAGTTCATACTGATATTTTAAATTTCAATTTAGGGTATAGCATTTTTATTTCTTTTATGTTTATATTTTTTCTTATGCTGAAAATGTTGGTTTTAGTGGCAATAATATTAGATTTATTTGCTTTATCTTATAATGTATAAAATAACAATTTATATTAATAATATGATTATGGAAAACATTTTAAGATTAAAAACTGGTCAGGTATGGCAGGTCACGCCTGTAATCCCAGCACTTTGGGAGGCCGAGGGGGGCGGATCACCTGAGGTTGGGAGTTCGAGACCAGCCTGACAAACATGGAAAAACCCCGTCTCTACTAAAAATACAAAAAAAATTAGCCAGGTATGGTGGCACGTGCCCGTAATCCCAGCTACTCGGGAGGCTGAGGCAGGAGAATCACTTGAACCTGGGAGGCAGAGGCTGTGGTGAACTGAGATCGCACCATTGCACTCTAGCCTGGGCAACAAGAGCGAAACTCCATCTAAAAAAAAAAAAAAAATTAAAAACTTTAATTTTTTTGGCAGTTCCTCTTGTCCTTTGGGTATATCCTGATGGGAATGTACAAATTACTATGTTTAAAGTCATTTGAAATAATTCTTCTCTGAGCACTTATACCATCAATTTAATACATAGTTTGATACATTCATTTCATTTTGCTTTCATTTTAGGGGTTACTTTATTTAAAATTCCATTTTGTTTTAATGATTATGTGGAACATTTACATCGTTCCATAGCCAAATCTTCAAAATAAGTATATTCAGGTAACTCTAGCTTCTATACTTGTTCTTTGTACTCTGATGTCTTCCTTTCTCATCGAGAGTCATTTTTTAAAAAGTTCTTTTCTTTTATTTAAAAAATATAAGCAAATATATATATTGATTTCCCCTCTTTTGTACATAAATGCTAGCAGCCATACACTTTTCTTCTTTTACTTAACTATATATATATAATATATGTATATACATTTTATATTTTATTTATTATTTATTTATTGAGACAGGGTCTTGCCCTGTTGCGCAGACGGGTGTGCAGTGTTGTGAACATGGCTCACTGCAGCCTCAATCCCCTGGGCTCAAGCAATCTGGCCACCTCAACCGTTTGAACAGCTGGGGCCACAGGCGTGCACTACCACGCCTGGCTAATTTTCCTTCAATTTTTTTTTTTTTGCAGAGACAAGGTTTCACTAGGTTGGCCAGGTTGGTTTTGAACCCCTGGGTTCAAGTGATCCTCCTGTCTCAGGCTTCTGAAGTGCTGGGATTATAGGCATGAGCCACCATGCCCAGCCTAGCAATATATTCTGAAGATCACTCTACTACAGTATACAAAGATAGCTCTCATTCCATTTTATGGCTTCATAGTATTCCACTGTGTAAATATATCATAATTTATTCACATAATCCCCTGTTGATGGATGTTTGGGTAGTTTCTAGCCCCTTGTTATTACAATGAGTGCTGTAACAAAGAGGCTTGTGTCAGACATTTGCCAGAGTATTTTTGGGATTGACTCATGGAAGTTGTATTGCTAAGTAAATGCATCTGTAATACTGGCTTTTGAGATCCTAGCCCAAGAATGCTTTCTTTTTTATTAGTTATTTTTTAAATAGCAAAATCTATCAAAACTCTTTTCACTGTAAATTGACAATTTATAGCTGTATAAATTTGTGAGGTACAAAGTGATGTTATAATGTATGAATACAATGTGGAAGAATTAAGTCAAGCTAGTTAACACATCCACAGCCTCAATAAGAATACTATCTGTGTGAGCTTTTTTCACACTACCTCTCTGTGCCTCAGTTTCTGATCTGCAAAATGGGGATAATAACAGTATTTACCTCAGGGAGTTGTTGGGAAGACTATATGGGCTAGTTGTTTTAAAGTGTTTAGAATAGACTGGGCATGGTGGCTCATGCCTGTAATCCCAGCACTTTGGGAGGCCAAGGTGGGCGGATCACTTGATGTCAGGAGTTCGAGACCAGCCTGGCCAACATAGTGAGACCCCTGTCTCTATTAAAAATGTAAAAATTAGGGCCAGGCATGGTGGCGCATGCCTGTAATCCCAGCACTTTGGGAGGCTGAGGTAGGCAGATTGTCTGAGCTTGGGAGTTCAAGACCACCTTGGGCAACAGGGTGAAACCTTGTCTCTGCTAAAAAAAATACAAAAAATTAGCTGGACATGGTGGCGGGCACCTGTAGTCCTAGCTACTTGGGAGGCTGAGGCAGGAGAATTGCTTGAACCCAGAAGGCGGAGGTTGCAGTGAGCCAAGATCACACCACCGCACTCCAGCCTGGGCGACAGAGGGAGACCCTGTCTCCAAAAAAAAAAGAAAAAAAAAAGAAAAGAAAAATTAGCCAGGCATAGTGGTGGGTGCCTATAATCCCAGCTACTTGGAAGGCTGAGGCAGGAGAATCACTTGAAGCCAGGAGGTGGAGGTTGCAGTGAGCTGAGATGGTGCCACTGCTCTCCAGCCTGTGCAACAGAGTGAGACTCCATCTCAGTAAATAAATAAATAAATAAATAAATAAATAAATAAATAAAGTGCTTAGAATTTTCCTGGTACATGGAAAATGTTCAATAAATGTTAGCTGCTTTTATTTTTATTAGCAAAGGGATAGAAAGTATGGGAATATGTGGACAGGTGGAACAGTAGAGTTAGATGCTGCTATAAGTTTTTAAGAAGGGATTCTGGAGCTCTTCCTACTGCCCCTGCAGGAAAGGGAAGAATCGAAGAACCCAGAAATGAAGTTTGAAGATTAAATGAATAGGACAAGGACTGATAGTTTAATCCTAGCATAGACAGTGGGCCCTAAGGCTCCAAATGCCCCTCTTCCCAATGCTTGAGTGCTGGCTACACACTCTGACCTGTCTAGAGACTTAGATGCACTCTGGAGGAAGAGAGGGAGGAAGCAGTCACTTGACCACATTTAACCTGAACTTATTTACAGTAAATCTCTGCCATTAGGTTGGATGGGCACTTGGGATAGAAATGAAATTCAGTTATACAAAAATAAGTTACTTTATATATTCATTTTACATGAGCTTATGGCCTATGAAATTCAACTCGTTACAATATAATTATTGACTGATAGCCTGAGGCACAAGAGGAGGGTGTGAAAGAATGGAAGGAGTGGGAGGGAATAAAAGAAATATTGGAAGGCAGCTCTTTGTTCACCTTACACATGGGGCTAGAGCTCTGATGTCCAATATGGTAGCCACTAGCTACATGAGTCCGATGACTACCAAATTGGAAAACCTAGCTATAGAAATTTTCAGCATTGCACTGTTCTATTGGACAGTGCTGGGAATGTTGATTGGCCGTGCATAGTGGGTGGCAGAGTGTAAACCCTGGTGCTGGAGGTCCATCCTGATATCCTCATTTTTGGTTCCCAATAAATGGGCTCAAACTGGTCCTCTGAAGGTCCTGGACAGCTGCTCACATCCACACGGCCATCCAAGTCTGTGTCTCAGGCTTCTGCTCCTTCCTCCTTCCTCTAGGGAGTAGCTGCCTGCAGCTCTAGCTCTTTATCCCCTTTCTTACAACCTGCTCCTCCAAAGTCATGCCCAGACTCATGTCCTGGGTCTCCTTCCCAGGCTCTCAGGAGGCTTCAGTCAAGCTGGTCTATTCGTTCTCTGTCATCTGCCTAGACTGAATTAAGGTAGCTGGCAGGCTCCCTGTAGTTGGAGGCAGACAGGGCACCCCCAGTTAGTTCCTCCTTACTCTCTGCTGGCTCATATTTCCTGTTTTTAATAGCTAGGTCCCTGGGCCTATCAAGGGGTGATACAAGGCCTGTCTCTTCCCTCCCCCACCATGCTTACTTTGAAAAGGGGGAAGTGGAACTGCTCAGTGTTCATGAGCTGGGCTAATAGCACCTTCTGTCATGCAGCCCTCCCAGCCCTGAAACCTCCAGCTCTCAGTCCTACTCAGGTTCCCACACCCACCCCACAAAAAGCCTTGTCTGAGGCTTCCTCCAGAATTGCAAGGTCTGGGGAGCTGGGTGCCACAGACCCAGAGGAAGTTTCCCTGCTCTGTTCTGTTTGTTTCTGTAGAGATGATGTGAACACCTCACTGCTATCCAAGTTTCATTCAATGAATATTTGTTGGTCATCTGGGCCTGACCCTGAGATCACCAGGGTCTACAAGGCAGATGAAAGCCCTGCTCCTTAGACATCTGCCCTAGTCGGGGAGACAGACAACAAAGAAGAAAAATGGGATCCTGGTTGAGGAGTTGGTGGGGGGCAGATTCTAATATTGGAGGTTCTTTTGGGTTGGAGGGAGCTGGGCGTGCTAGGCAGGGACAAGATGGAAAGGAGAAAGGAGGTGTATGCCTGACTGTGAGCTCCATTAAGCCAGGGACTGTGCCCTATTTGCCTTCCATTGATTCCTCAGTGATTCCTTCCATTGATTCCATTGATTCCTCCTCAGAGCGGGAGCTCATGAAGCACTGAATGAATGACCGACCAGTGCTGCTGAGATAGGCGCAAAGCTGGGGGCTTCTGAGCTGGACTTGCCTCTGTGGTCCCCATGGCTGCCCTTGTTGCATGGGGCCTGGACCCCAGCCCCAGCCCAGCCAGCTTTGCTGCCACTTGGATTCATTCTCTGCAGTTTCCAAGTCTTTCCCTGAGCTATGGCCTCCAACCTATCCCAGCTCAGGGCCGGTACGTGTCTAGGCAGCTCTATCCAGCTCTTTCCTCACTTGGCAATTTGTGAAGTGGAGACATCAAGTGGTCAGATCCTGGAACGGCAGCAGTCGAGCTGTGGACACAGAGCAAAGGCTCCCGAGCCCTCCTGCCAGGCAGAGCCCTGATGCAGCGATGATTAGTACTGGATCCACACAGAACCTTATCCTGGCTGAGCCCAGATTCCAGCCATAGAACGAACTCTAATCCTGGTCACAGACTGAGACCTCCAACTCCTAATTAGGGGTCTAAGAGGGGTACTCCTAAACAATTCCCCTAATTTTACATTTGTACTGTAATGAACTGATACAACTTTAAAAACTTTTTTTTGGAAGGTTCACATATATTCAGAATTTTCCATTCTAAACATATCCATGCAACCAATGCTCATTGCTGGCAATCCCAGACACCTTCATCTTCATACTTCCTTCTACTCGCTACCTCCCCAAGGGTAACAACTTCTATATATTTGAAATCATACTGTATATTCTTTTCTTTTTTTTGAGACAGGGTCTCATTCTGTCACCTAGGCTGGAGTGCAGTGGTATGATCTTGGCTCACTGCAACCTCTGCCTCCCAGGTTCAAGTGATTCTCGTGCCTGAGTAGCTGGGACTACATGTGTGCGCCACCACGCCCAGCTAATTTTTTGTATTTTTAGTGGAGACAGGGTTTCCATCATGTTGGCCACGCTGTGTATATTCTTTTCGGTGTCTGGCTTCTTCTGCCCAATGTCATGTTGGTGAAATTCATCCACATTGATATGCGTCCTTGTTGATTGGTTATACTTGGTGTGCACAGTCAGCCCCCCGTATCCATGGATTCTGCATCCATGGATTCAACCAGCCACAGATTAAAAACATTTTTAAAAAAGTTGCATCTATACTGAACATGTAGACTTTTTTCTTGTCATTCTTTTTTTTTTTTTTGAGACGGAGTCTTACTCTTTCACCCAGGCTAGAGTGCAGTAGTGCAATCTTGGGTCACTGCAACATCCACCTCCCAGGTTTGGGTGATTCTTCTGCCTCAGCCTCCCAGTGAGCTGGGATTACAGGCATCTGCCACCATGCCTGGCTAATTTTTGTATTTTTAGTATAGACAGGGTTTCACCATGTTGGCCAGGCTGGTCTTGAACTCCTGACCTCAGGTGACCTGCCTGCCTTGGCCTCCCAAAGTTGCTGGGATTACAGGCATAATCCACCACCCCCAGCCCTTGTCATTCTTTTCTTTTCTTTCTTTCTTTCTTCTTTTTTTTTTTTTTTTTTTGAGACAGAGTCCTGTTCTGTCACCCAGGCTGGAGTGCAGTGGTGCATCTCGGCTCACTGCAAGCTCTGCCTCCCGGGTTCGCCATTCTCCTGCCTCAGCCTCCCGAGTAGCTGGGATTACAGGAGCCCGCCACCACGCCCAGCTAATTTTTTCTATTTTTAGTAGAGACAGGGTTTCACTGTGTTAGCCAGGATGGTCTCGATCTCCTGACCTCGTGATCCGTCCGCCTCGGCCTCCGAAAGTGCTGGCATGAGCCACTGCACCCGGCATGAGCCACTGCACCCGGCCCATTATTTTCTTAAAACACAGTATAACAACTATTTACATAGCATTTACATTGTATTAGGTATTATAAGCAATCTAGAGATGATTTAAAGTTTATGGGAGGATGTGCATAGGTTATATTCAAATACAACACCATTTTATGTAAAAAACTTGAGAATTCCTGAATTTTTGTATCTGTGGGAGTCCCGGAATCAATCCCCCATGGATATTGAGGGATAGCTGTATTTTACTGTGTGAATTTATACTGCAACTTAGTTATCTATTCTATTGTCAATGAGCATTTGGGTACTTCCATTTGAAGGTTATTGTAAGTAGTGCTGCCATGGATTTTGTAGCATATGTCATTTGGTGAACAGAGCTTAGGCATCTCTGTACCTAGAAGTGGAATTGCTGGGTTATGGGTTTTGTATTGATTTAGCTTCATTAGTTGCTAATAAATAGTTTTCCGAAGTAGTTATACCGATTTACATGCCCCACTCAGGGTATGCCAATTCCAGTTGTTCCATACCATTACAGTATTCATTCTAGACTTTTTGTCTTTTCTACTGTAGACTTTCTGGATGATGTGTACTGATGATATCACTCTTGGATGGGCCTGCAATGCAGATGAGCTTATGTGCAGATGTATTGATTTTATTATTAATAAATGGAAGGGATTTTAATGGAACTGGCCCTGCTATCTTATAATTGACACTGAAAAGGGATCCAGCTCAACATTTCTAAAACCCAAATAAAAGATTTTAGTCATTTAAGCAAAAATTTGTAAATCTCTCAAATTCATAAACTCATAAGGGACTCCTTCTATCACTTAACTGCTTATTCTTAGTAACTCTTTTTTTTTTTTTTTTTTTTTGTTGGAGACAGGGTCTCACTCTGTCGCCTAGGCTGGAGCTCAATGGCAGTCTCAGCTCACTGCAGCCTCTGCCTCATGGGCTCAAGTGATTCTCCATCCTCAGCCTCCCGAGTAGCTGGGATTACAGGCATATGCCACCACGCCTGGCTGATTTTTGTATTTTTAGTAGAGATGGGGTTTCACTATGTTGGCCAGGCTGGTCTTGAACTCCTGACCTCAAGCGATCCACCCACCTTAGCCTTCCCAAGTGCTGAGATTTCAGGCATGAGCCACTGTGCCCAGCCAAAAACTCTTATCTGATCAGACATTTTGTTGCACTTAAGCTTGGAAGATTCAATAGGAAGTAATTTTTTTGCTAAATTGGGATTTAGCATTATTTGTTTTATATCTATGTGTATATATATATATATATATATATATATACATGAGTAATATACAAGAGTATACTAGTGTACTACTCTTGTAGCATATGTCCATTGGTGAACATAGGTAGGCATTTCTGTGCCTAGAAGTGTGTATATACCTACACATACATTTATATTATATTCACACACACACACACACACACACACACACACAGAGTATTAATTGAAGAGAGTTATAAGACACAGCTTTAGGAAACTAGTTGCTGAATTTTGTCTTGATCTTGCTGAGCACAGTGTTTGTTTATTTGGCCCAAAGAAGCAATGGCCCAGGGACCATTTTGGGGAGCTGCCTTCTAGATCTGCAGAAAGTATAAAATGGTTCCAAGCAAAGAAACACTGGAGTTCCCGGGGTTCCAGATCCACCTTCCACATCAGAGTCCCAATTCCCACTTTACCTGACTTGTTGGCACTGTGTCTGGGCTCCGAGGCATGGAGACCATGCAGGATGGATGAGGCAGAAATGACCAGGAGACTCTCCAGCTGCCAGTGTGCAGAAGCCTCCACAACTGGCAACCAATCAAGTATCATACTTGTAAAACAATTCTTTTTTTTTCTGAGACAGAGTTTCACCCTTGTTGCCGAGGCTGGAGTGCAGTGGTCTGATCTCGGCTCACTGCAACCTCCACCTTCCGATTTCAAGCAATTCTCCTGCCTCAGCCTCACAAGTAGCTGGGATTACAGGCGCCTGCCACCATGCCTGGCTAATTTTTGTATTTTTAGTAGAGACGGGGTTTCACCATGTTGGCCAGGCTGGTTTCGAACTCTTGACCTTGTAATCCACCTGCCTCAGCCTCCTGAAGTGCTGGGATTACAGGTGTGAGCCACCGCACCTGGCCAAAACAATTATTTTAGCTAAAAGTCATACATTTTCTCTTATTTAAATGACAGGCTGATTTTTGTCTCTGCTTACAGGAAACACATACCTTGGAAGTGGTCAACCTTCATAGTCTGAAGGAGGAAGTGGTCAAATACCAAGATCAGAACCTGGTCTATTAATCACTAGGCAGGAGTGTGTAGAGGAAGACAGACTGGGGAATGGAGACCCTGCTAGGGACCACATCAAACCCAGGTTACAATCAAACATTGGTACCTGAAAGCTGTTCTGTCTCCACCTGGAGACTTTTCACTTCTTTGCTCTGGACAGGCTTGGCTGATCCCAGCATTTAACAACATTTAACTGCATTTAACTCTCAAAGGCAATCTTGTCACCCTCATTTCTATTTCATCTCAAGGACTAACAATTTCAAGAGTAAAAAGTAAAAAATAGGGGGATGAAGAAACAGGGACAAAGGGGAAATGGGAGAAGAAAGCTAAGAGCAATCAAGGGAGAGGTTAGTGCAAGCAATGCAGTTTATAGACTCCTAGGTAGTTGGAAACCATGGGCCACAAATCTGACTCTGAGCTTCCTAGCAGCCATTGTGAAAAGGGAAATGTAATCCATCACATGATTCATAAAGCTTGTCAGGTAAAAAGCAGAACAGTTTCCCCCCAGAGAAAATGCCTATTCCTATTATTAAGATTTGGAAGAAATTTCTTCTGGGGCACACAGAGAGACACAGTGCCAGCAAGTCAGTTAAAGTGGGAATTGGGGCTCTGATGTGGAAGGTGGATCTGGAACCCCGGGAAGTCCAGTGTTTCTTTGCTTGGAACCATTTTATACTTTCTGCAGATCTAGAAGGCAGCTCCCCAAAATGGTCCCTGGGCCATTGCTTCTTTGGGCCATCTCAGGAGGTAAAGAAATGGCCTTTTGAATCACAAGTGAGCAAGGAGGTAAGAAGTCTTTCGTGGCCTGGGTTACTCCCAGCAGGTGAAGCTGGATACTGGCTGCTGTCTTTTACCCTGGACCCCGGATGGGCAACACAGGTGAATAATATCTTGCTCAGTCTGGAAAGACCCAAAGAGATAATTCACCCCTTTCCTTTATCTTCTGATGGGACATTTTGCCAAAATTCTTTCTGGACTTAGAAATGTTTTTTTGGCTCCAGAGTCCCTCTCTTGGGAGAGCAGAGGGCAGGAGATTCACAGCATCTTAAGAGTTTATAACACTAGGCCCCTGGGGCAGGCAGAAGCTTGGCCCCCAAAGATATTTTGCATCAAAACTCCCGGAACCTGCAAACACTTTAACCTTAACATGGCCCAAGGGACTTTGCAGACATGATTAAGCTAATGATCTTGAGACGGGAAGATGATCCTGGATTATCTGGCTGGGCCCAGTGTAATCACAAGGTCCTTATAAGAGGAAGGCAGGATGAAAGTCAGAGAAAGAGACGTGATGATAGAGTCAGAGGTCAAGGCTCGGCATGGTAGCTCATGCCAGTAATCTCAGCACTTTGGAGGCTGAGGCAGGTGGGTTGCTTCAGTCCAGGAGTTTGAGACCAGCCTGGGCAAAACAGAGAGATCCTGTCTGTACAAAAAATACAAAAAGTTAGCTGGGTGTGGTGGTGCATGCCTGAAGTCCAGCTACTTGGGAGGCTGAGGTGGGAGGATCACACGGGCCCGGGAAGCCAAGACTTCAGTGAGCCGTGATTGCGCCACTGCACTCCAGCCTGGGTGACAGAGTGAGATCCTGTCTCAACAACAACAACAACAACAACAAAAAGTAGAATCAAAGGTTAGAGTGATTCAATGGCTGGCTTGAAGATGGATAAGGGCCACAAGTCTATGGAATGTGGGCGGCCTTTAGAAGCTGGAAGAGGCAAGGAACACATTTTACCCTAGAGCCTCCAGGAAGAATGCGGCTCTGTGGAAACCTTGATTTTTCGCCCTGTTCTGACTTGCAGGACTGTAAAATACTATGTATTGTTTAAGTGGTTAAGTTGTTACAGCAGCAATGGGAACTGAATACAACCCCCCAACACATACACACACACACACACACACACACTCCACATTTGAAATATGCCTTGTGGACTTGTCCTCATCTAGCCAAATATATCCAGCTATATAGGGAAAAGTCATGTCTGGTGGGCTGGGGTTTGGTCATTCAGAGCCCAGAGCTGCCAGAGCCTGTCCAGGCACATTCCGAGGAGAGAGGGTTGTAGCCAACAGACTTCCAGTATCTCTACAGCTGCTGGTCAGGGTGGCCCCGTGGAATTTATTTGGCTCCCCCAATCTGATGCCATTGAACATCCACTTTTTCTGGCTCTGAATCCAGGGCTGCTCATGGGGAGAGAATGCACTGCTCTGGCCAGTGATAAAATGCTGGTCCCTGCTGCTCGCTGCGCATTCACCTCAGCCTGTGCACTGATAGCAATAGCAACATGTGTTGAGAACTTACTCTGTGCCAACACTTTGCATGGGGGATCTCATGGAATTCTTACCAGGACTTCGTGCAGCTGGCTCTGCTTGACCATAGGCTGTCAGTGTGACCTTCAGAATGACCAGCAAGGCCTGAGATTTGGTTGCCCATTTGCAGCTCTGTGCTGAGAAGGCCTCAGGGTGCCAGCATGAGTACCCTTGGGGAGTAACACCTCCATTTCGTCTTAGTTCAGGCTGCTATAACAGAATACCACATACTCGGTGGCTGAAATAACAGAATTTTATTTATCATGGTTTTGGAGGCTGAGATGTCCAAGTTCAAGGTGCTGGAAGATTCAGTATCTGGTGGGGACACTCTTCTTGCTTTGCAGAGGGCTGTGTTCTTGTTGTATCCTCACATGGTAGAGAGGGGGAGATCTAGCTATTGATTGATTGAAAGAGAGAGAGAGAGGTCTCTCTTACGTTTCTTCTCTTTTTATTATTTTTTCTTTTTTTCTTTCTTTCTTTTTTTCCTTTTATGTTTCTTCTTAAAAGGGAACTAATCCCATTCATGAGAGCCCCACCTTCATGACGTAATCACCTCTCAAAGGTCTCACCTCTTAATACCATCCCATTAGGGATTAGGCTTCAACATATTAATTTTGGGGAGGACACAAACATTCAGTCCATAGTAACTTTGATCTTTCTCTTTCTTGATTTCTGTAGTTAGAATTCCTGAAAGCTGCCTTGACTCCTCCTGGAACAATGTGGGACATAAATAAACAAATAGATGGTAACTAAAAAATCTGACTGCTGGGTGGACACAAACTGGTCCTCTAATCCTAACTTCATACTAAATTTTTGCGTGATTCTCCCCTTGATCTCTGACCCTGGTCCTACACTGACCCCTAATCCCACATGGAGTGGGACAACCTACTCTCAGTTTACATGAATAGCTTATTGCGGGATTGGTATGTGCCAGGCGCTGGTCTAAGTGTTTTACATTTATTCATGGATTTAATCTTCCCAATGGCCCTAGGGATAGGCATGATTATAACTTCTGTTTTAGAATGAATGATTATATAGTATTTTTATTTTTATTTATTTTTGAGACAGGGCCACACCTTGTCACCCAGGCTGGAGGGCAGTGCCGTGATCTCAGCTCACTGCAGTCTCACCCTCCCAGGATCAAGTGATTCCCCCACCTCAGTCTCCTGAGTAGCTGGGACTACAGGCGCATACCACCATGCCTAGCTAATTCTTTTTTTTTTAAATTTTTGGTAGAGATGGGGTTTCACCATGTTGCCCAAGCTAGCCTTAAACTCTTGGACGATGCTCCCGCCTTGGCCTCCCAAAGTGCTGGGATTACAGGTGTGAGCCACCATGCCCAGCTGTATTTTTAAAGTATTAATTGAGCTTCAGACTCTATTTGAAATAGATACAAATTAATATATTAAATTAATTAATTAATTCACTCATTCATTCACCAAACATGTATCACATTCCTGCTTTCTACAAGGCCAAGGGCCAAGTGCTGGGGATACCAGAAGATAAGGCAGATACAGGAGGGGGCTCCAGCCTGCAAAGCTGATAGCCCAGTTTCATCTCCTCCCCATCTGCTTCGGCTCATTGGCAGCTCCCTTCCCAGGTGGGATATTGAGGGGTATCATGTTGACTTCTTAGTTTCAGGCAAAGGTCCTTTCCCAGACCCTCCTTCCACTCTAGGGAACAGAAGAGTCAGGGAGGTGCTAAGAAACAGAAGTGAAACTTCATTAGATGATCTGGTGAATTTGAATGCATTGTCATCTTCAGAGCTGGGGGTGATCTGGTGAATTTGAATGCATTGTCATCTTCAGAGCTGGGGGTGATCTGGTGAATTTGAATGCATTGTCATCTTCAGAGCTGGGGGTGATCTGGTGAATTTGAATGCATTGTCATCTTCAGAGCTGGGGGTGAAAGGGCGTGGGCTTAGCTACCACTTCTGAGAGCAGCACATCGGCTTTGCACAGGGGACAGGTGCTGGGGCTGTGCCCAAGTGGGTACCAAGACCAGCAAGTGTCCCTTGCATGTCCATCTTCCCCTTTCTCACAGGAAGGGCAGGTGGATGGGAAGTCAGGCTGTTTTAACTTAGCTGTTTCCCTAGCAGTAAACTCAGCAGGTGTCAGCAACTATTTGTTGAATGAACAGATGAACCTCACTTGGGTTTCAAGCCCAGCTGGGCAGTTTAGCAGCTGTGTGGCCCTGAGAAAACTGCTTTCTTCTCTGTGTTTTCCCTTTGTCATCCATCAGGAGAGGACAGTGAAACCTACTTGTAAATATTTATATTTACAAGATTGAAATACTGAATAAATATTAACTGACTACAAGTCCTTTTATTTTTATATATTTTTTGAGATGAGGTCTCACTCTGTCACCCAAGCTGGAGTGCAGTGGTGCCATTACGGCTCACTGCAGCCTTGACCTCCTGGGCTCAGTTGATCTTCCCACCTCAGCCTCCTGAGTAGCTGGGACTACAGGCATGCACCAATATGCCCAGCTAATTTTTGTATTTTCTGTAGAGAAGGGGTTTCTCCATGTTGCCCAGGCTGGTCTTGAACTCCTGGGCTCAAGCAATCCACCCACCTTGGCCTCCTAAAGTGTTGGGATTACAGGCGTGAGCCACTGTGCCGGGCCCCGTTTTATTTTTAAATGGAAAATAGGGTTTCATGACCACTGTCTGGATGCTAGGGATGCAGATGGCTACTGATTTGGTCATTAGGAAATATATTTTATCACACACACACCTTTCAGCCAGAAACCAGGAGGATAGCACCCTGTGTTCATACTAATAATTCCAATTCACACTTAGGTTTTTCACTTAATCTTTTCTATATTACATCTCTCCTTTCTTCCATATTGAGAATCAGATCCTCAATAATACAGGAGATGATAGAATTAAAACAGTCTGTAATTGCTTATTTTCCTTATCCCACATTACACACGCAATGGTCTCAAAATGACAGCAGTAATAGCATCAACAAAATAATTACTGGAAACAGTTTAAAAAGTTTTTTTTTTTTTGAATATGGTCTTCCCATTATTCCTATTTTAAAAGTGGTCTTGTAGGGCAGTGGTCCCCAAGCTTTTTGGCATCAAGGACCGGTTTTGTGGAAGACAGTTTTCCACAGATTGGGGTAAGGGATGGTTTTGGGATGATTCAAGCACATTGCACTTATTATACACTTTATTTCTATTATTATTACATTGTAATAGATAATGAAATAATTATACAATTCTTCATAATGTAGAATCAGTGGGAGCCCTAGCTTGTTTTCCCGCAACTAGATGGTCCCATCTGGGGATGATGGGAGACAGTGATAGATCATCAGGCATTAGATTCTCACAAGGAGCCCGCAACTATATCCCTTGCATGCACGGTTCACAATAAGGTTCGCACTCCCATAAGAATCTAATGCTGCCACTGATATGATGGGAGGTGCAGCTCAGGCGGTAATGAGAAATGGGTAGTGGCTGTAAATACAGATGAAGCTTCACTTGCTTGTCTGCTGCTCACCTCCTGCTGTGCAGCGTGGTTCCTAACAGGCCACAGACCAGTACCAGTCCATGGCCAGGGGGTTGGGGACTGCCGTTGTAGGAGGTGGAGCAAGATGGCTGAATAGAAGGCTCCATCTCCCCATCCCCCACAGGAACATAAAATTTAACAACTATCTACACACAAAAAAGCACCTTCATCATAAGAACCAACAATTGGATGAGCACTCACAGTACCTGATTTTAACTTCATACTGTTGAAAGAGGCAATGAAGAGGGTAGGGAAGACAGTCTTGAGTTGCTGATGCCACCTGTCCCCATCCCATGGCAGTGGCTTTGTGGCGTAGAGAGAGAATCTCTGTGCTTGGAAGAGGGAGAGCGCAGCTATTGTGAGACATTGCATTGAATTTGATGCTGCTTTGTCACAGTGAAAGCAAAACCGAACTGAACTCAGCTGACAGCTGATGATGGAGAGAGTATTTAGACCAGCCCTAGCCAGAGGGTAATTGCCCAAGGGAATTGCCCAACCCAGTGGATGGAACTTGAGTTTCAGCAAGCCTTACCACCATGGGGGTAAAATGCTCTGGGTTGTAAATAAACTTGAATGGCAGTCAAGGTCACAAGGACTGCAGTTCCTAGGCAAGTCCTAGTGCTGAGCTGGGCTCAGAGTCAGTGGACATGGTGGGGGCACATGACCTACTGAGACACTAGCTGAGGCAGCTAAGGGAGTACTTGCACCACCCTCCCCCCAACTCCAGGTAGCACAGCTTGCAGCTGTGCAAGCTCCTTCCACTTGAGGAGAGGAGAGGGAAGAGTAAAGAGGACTTTGTCTTGCATCTTGGATGCCAGCTCAGCCACAGTAGGATAGGGTACCAGTTAGGGTCATAAGGTCCCCATTCCAGGGCCTAGCTCCTGGATGATATTTCTAGACACACCCTAGGCTAGGAGGGAGCCTACTGCTTTGAAGGGAAGGACTCAGTCCTGGCAGGATTCATTACCTGCTGATTAAAGAGTCCTGGGACCTTGAAGAACCAGCAGCGATACCCTGGTATCTACCATAGGCCTTGGTTGAGACTCTGAGACATGTTGGCTTCAGGTGAGACCCAGCACATTTCCAGCTGTGGTGGCTATGGTGAGAACCATAGTGAGAACACTTGCTTGAGTAAAGCAGAGGAAAAAGTAAAGGGGACTTTGTCTTATACCTTAGATACTAGCTCAGCCACAGTAGACTAGACCATAAAGAGGGTTCTTGGGGTCCCTGGTTTCAGGCCTTGCCTTTTAGATGCCATTTCTGGACCTGCTCTGGGTGGGAAGGAAACCCACTGCCCTGAAGGATGAGTCCCAGGCCTGGCAACATTCACTACAAGCCGACTGAAGAGCCCTTGGGTCTTCAGTGAACGTTGGTGGTAGACTGGCAGTAGTCCTATGGGCCTGTCGTGGTGATGGCCACAGGTTGAGGCCCCTCTGCTTATGGAAGTGGGAGGGAAGTGTGGGAAGGATTATGTCTCGTGGTTTGAGTGCCAGCTCAGCTGCAGTAGAATAGAACAGCAGGTAGATTTCTAAGCTTTTTGACTCCAGTCTCTGGCTCCCAGACAGTATCTCTGCACCTGCTTGGGGCCTGGGGGAACTGGGTGCCTTGAAGGGACGGACATAAGCCTGGCTGGCTTTGCCACCTCCTGATTGTAGAACCCTAGGGCCTTGAGCAAACATAGGCAGTAGCCAGGTGGCAGTTACAGCAGGCCTTGGGCAAGACCTAATGCTGCACTGGCTTCAGGTCTGACCCAGCGCAGTCCCAGTGATGGTGACCACAGGTGTGCTTGTGTCACTTCTCCCCCAGCTCTAGGCAGCACAGCACAGAGAGAGAGAGAGAGAGAGAAAGTCTCCATTTGTTTGGAAGAAAGTAAGGGAAGAGAACAAGAATCTCTAGTAATCCAGAGAATTCTTCTGGATCTTATCCAAGGCTACCAAAGTGGTACCTCTGCAACTCTGCAAGAACCACAGCATTACTGGGCTTGGGGTGTCCCTTAATGCAGATGCATTTGCAGTGACCAAACACTTAGATCACAACACCCAAGTCCCTTTGAATACGTGGAAAGCCTTGTCCTTCCACAATACTTGTCCTTCACAGTCTGGGCTTGTTTGTACCTGTCCACAAGAAAGGCAAGTACAAACAAACCCAGACTGTGAAGAGTACAACAGATACCTAACTGTTAAATGCACAGTCACTGACAAACATCCACAAGCATCAAGACCATCCGGGAAAACATGGCATCACCAAACAAACTAAATAAGCCCGTGGGGACCAATCCTGGAGAGACAGAGATATGTGATCTTTCAGATAGATAATTCAAAATAGCTATTTTGAGGAAACTCAAAGAAATGTAAGAAAAACCAGAGAAGGAATTCATAATTCTATCAGACAAATTTAACAAACAGATTGAAATAATTAAAAAGAATCAGGCAGAAAGTCTAGAGTTGAAAAATACAATTGACATGCTGAAGAATGTACCAGAGTCTCTTAATACCTGAATCGATCAAGCAGAGAAAGAATTAGTGAGCTTGAAGACAGGCTATTTGAAAATGCACAGTCAGAGGAGACAAAAGAAAAAAGAATAAAAAAGAATAAGGCATATCTACAAGATCTAGAAAATAGCCTCAAAAGGGCAACTCTAAGAGTTACGGAGCTTAAAGAGGAGGTAGATAAGAGATAGGTGTAGAAAGTTTATTCAAAAGGATAATAACAGATAACTTCCCAAACCTAGAAAAAGATACCAATATCTAAGTATGATAAGGTTATAGAATACCAAGCAGATTTAACCCAAAGACTACCTCAAGCCACTTAATAATCATACTCCCAAAGGTCAAGGATAAATAAAGGACCCTAAAAGCAGCAAGAGAAAGGAAACAAATAACATACAATGGAGTTCCAATATGTCTGGCCACAGACTTTTCAGTAGAAACCTTACAGGACTGGAGAGCATGCCATGACATATTTAAAGTGCTGAAGAAAAATAAGCCTTTTACCCTAGAATACTATATCAGATGAAAATATCCTTCAAACATGAAAGAGAAATATTTTCCCAGACAAACAAAAGCTGAGGAATTTCATCAACACCAGGCCTGTTCTACAAGAAATGCTAAAGGCAATACTTCAGTCAGAAAGTAAAGGACAGTAATGAGCAATAAGAAATCATCTGAAGGTACAAGACTCACTGGTAATAGTAAGTACACAGAAAAACAGAATGTTATAACACTGTAACTGTAGTGTGTTATACTGCTCTTAAGTAGAAAGACTAAGAGATGAACCAGTAAAAATGATGACTACAAAAGCTTTTCAAGACATAGGCAGTACAGTAAGACATAAATCGAAACAAAAAGTTAAAAGCAGGGGGATGAAATTAAAGTGTAGAGTCTTTATTAGTTTTCTTTTTGCTTATTAGTTTATGCAAGCACTATGAAATTGCTATCAGCTTAAAATGATGGGTGATAAGATAGTATTTGCAAGCCTCATGGTAACCTCAAATCAAAAGCATACAATGCATACACAAAAAATAAAAAGCAAGAAATTAAATCATATCACCAGAGAAAATCACCTTCACTAAAATGAAGACAGAAAAAAAAGGAAAGAAGGAAGAGAAGACCACAGAACAAAAATGACAAAATAGCAGGAGTAAGCCATTACTTATCAATAACATTAAATATAAATGGACTAAATTCTCTAATCAAAAGACACAGAGTGGCTGAATGAATTAAAAAAATAAGACCCAATGATCTGTTGCCTACAAGAAACATACTTCACACACAGACTGAAAATAAAGGGATGGAAAATAATATTCCATGCCTCTTAAACCAAAAAAAGAGCAGGAGTCACTATACTTATATCACACAAAATAGACTTCAGGACAAAAACTATAAGAAGAGACAAATAAGGTCACTATATAATGATAAATGAGTTAATGCAGTAAGAGGATATAACAATTGTAAATATACATGCACCCAACATTGGAGCACTCAGATATATAAACCAAATACTATTAGACCTAAAGAGAGAGATAGACTCCAATACAATAACAGCTGGAGACTTCCACATCCCACTTTTAGCACTGGACAGATCTTCCAGACAGAAAAATCAACAAAGAAACATTGAACTTAATCTGTACAGTAGACCAAATGGACTTAATAGATATTTACAGAACATTTCATCCAGTAGCTGCAGAATATGCATTCTTTTCCTCAGCACATGGATCATTCTCAATGATATACCATATGTTAGATCACAAAACAAATCTTAAAACATTAAAAAAATTTGAAAAATATATCAAGTATCTTTTTGACCACAATGGAATAAAACTAGAAATCAATAACAAGAGGAATTTTGGAAACTATACAAACACATGGAAATTAACAATATTCTCGTGAATAACCAGTGGGTCAATGATGAAATTAAAGAGGAAATCAGAAAATTTCTTGAAACAAATGATAATGGAAACATAACATACCAAAATCTATGGGATACAGTGAAAGCAGTACCAAGAGGGAAATTTATAGTTACAAGCACCTACATCAAAAAAGAAGAAAAATTTCAAATAAACAATTTAATGATACATCTTAAAGAACTGGAAAAGCAAAAGCAAACCAAACCCAAAATTAGTAGAAGAAAGGAAATATTAACAATCAGAACAGAAATAAATGAAATTGAAACAAACAAAAAACAATACAAAAGATCAACAAAACAAAGTTTTTTTGAAAGATAAACAAAATTGACAAACCTTTAGACAGACAATTGAAGAATAAAAGAGAGAAGACAAAGAAATAAAATCAGAGATGAGAAAGGAAATACTACAACTGATACTGCAGAAATTCAAAGGATAATTAATGGCTAGTATGAGCAAATATATGCTAATAAGTTAGAAAATCTAGAAGAAATGGATAAATTTCTAGATACATACAACCTACCAAGATTGAATCATGAGGATCCAAAACCTGGCCAGGCACGGTGGCTCATGCCTGTAATCCCAGCATTTTGGGAGGCCAAGGTGGGCGGATCATGAGGTCAGGAGATTGAGACCATCCTGGCTAACACGGTGAAACCCCATCTCTACTAAAAATGCAAAAAATTTGCTGGGTGTGGTGGCGGGCACCTGTAGTCCCAGCTACTCAGGAGGCTGAGGAAGGAGAATGGCGTGAACCTGGGAGGGGGAGCTTGCAGTGAGCTGAGATCATGCCACTGTACTCCAGCCTGGGTGACAGAGCGAGACTCTGTCTCAAAACAAAAACAAAAACAAAAAACAAAAAACAAAACCTGAATGGACAAGTAATGAGTAATGAAATAGAAGCTGTAGTAAAAAGTCTCCCAGCACAGAAAATCCTGGGACCAGATGGCTTCACTGCTAAATTCTACAAAACATTTAAAGAAGAACTAATACCAATCCTACTCAAACTCTTCCAAAAAATAGAGGAGGGAGGAATACTTCCAAACTTATTCTATGTGGCCAGAATTACCCTGATAGCAAAACCAGACAAAGACACATCAAAACAAACAAACAAACAACAACAACAAAAAACAAAAACTACAGGCCAATATCCCTGATGAATTTTAATGCAAAAATCCTCAACAAAATACTAGCAACCAAAATTGAACAACACATTAAAAAGATCATTCCTTATGACTAAGTAGGATTTATCCCAGTGATGCAAAGATGGTTGAACATATGCAAATAAATCAATGTGGTACATCATGTCACAGAATGAAGGACAAAAATCATAAGATCATTTCAATTGATGCTGAAAAAGCATTTGATAAAATTCAACAGCCCTTCATGATAAAAACCCTCAAAAAACCTGGGTATAGAAGGACATACCTCAACATAATAAAACCCATATACAACAGACCCATAGCTAGTACCATACTGAATGGGGAAAAACTGAAAGCTTTTCCTCTAGGATCTGAAGCACTACAAGGATGGCCACTTTCATCACTGTTATTCAACATAGTACTGGAAATCCTATCTAGAACAATCAGACAGGAGAAAGAAATAAAGGGCATCGAAATTGGAAAGAAAGAATTCAGATTATCTTTGTTTTCAGATTATATAATCTTTATATTTGAAAAAATCCAATGACTCCACCAAAAAATTATTAGAACTGATAAACAAATTCAATAAGGCTGCAGGATACAAAAACAACATACCAAAGTCAGTACCATTTCTATTTGCCAACAGCGAACAACCTGAAAAAGAATTCAAGAAATTAATCCCATTTACAATTGCCACGAATAAAATAAAATACCTGGGAATTAACTTAACCAAAGAGGTGAAAGATCTCTACAATTAAAATGATAAAACAGTGGTGAAAGAAACTGAAGAGGACACAAGGAAATGGAAAGATATTTCATATTCATGGATTAGAAGAATCAATATTGTTAAAATGTCCTTACTACCCAAAGGAATCTACAGATTCAATGCAATCCCTATCAAAACACCAATGACATTCTTCACAGAAATAGAATAAACAATCCTAAAATTTATATGGAACCACAAAAGACCCAGAATAGCCAAAGCGATCCTGAGCGAAAAGAACAAAACTGGAAGAATCACATTACCTGCCTTCAAATTATATTACATAGCTATAGGAACCAAAACAGCATAGTACTGGCATAAAAACAGACACATGCACTAGTAGAGCAGAATAGAGAACTCCCGAATGAATCCATATATCTAGGGTGAACTCATTTTTGGCAAAGGTACCAATAACATACATTGGGGAAAGGACATTCTCTTCAATAAATGGTGCTGGGAAAAGTGGATATCCACATGCAGGAGAATGATACTAGACTCCTATCTTTCACCACATAGAAAAATCAAATCCAAATTGATTAAAGACTTAAATGTAAGACCTCAAACTATGAAACCACAAAAAGAAAACACTGAGGAAACCCTCCAGGACATTGGAGAGGTAAAGGATTTCTTGAGTAATAATAACCCACAAGCACAGGCAACTAAAGCAAAAATGGACAAATGGGATCACACCAAGTTAAAAAAAACTTCTACACAGCAAAGGAAACAATCAACAAGTGAAGAGAAACCCACAGAATCACAGAATCATAGAATCCCATAGAATCATAGACAACCCATAGAATCATAGAATCACAGAATGAAGGACAAAAATCATAAGATCATTTCAATTGATGCTGAAAAACCATTTGATAAAATTCAACAGCCTTCATGATAAAAAAAACCCTCAAAAAACCTCCCATAGAATGGGAGAAAATATTGGCAAACTACCCATCTGACAAGGGACTAATAACAGAATATATAAGGAGCTCAAATAACTCTATAGGAAAAAACCTAATAATTCTATTAAAAATGGGCAAAATATCTGAATAGACATTTCCCAAATGAAGACATATAAATAGCACACAGGTATATGAAAAGGTGCTCAAAGTCATTGATCATTAGAGAAATGCCAATCAAAACTACAATGAGTTATCATGTCACCCCAGTTAAAATGGCTTTTATCCCAAAGACAGGGAATAACAAATGCTGGTGAGGATGTGGAGAAAAGGGAACTCTTGTACACTGCTGGTGGGAATGTTAATTAGTACAACCACTATGGAGAACAAGTTGGAGGTTCCTCAAAAAACTAAAAATAGAGCTACCGTACAATCCAGCAATCCCACTGCTGGGTATATACCCAAAACAAAGGAAATCAGTATATCAAAGAGATATTTGCACTCTCATGTTTACTGCAGCACTATTCACAATAGTCAAGATTTGGAAGCAATCCATCAACAGATGAGTGGATAAAGAAAATGTGGTGCATATACACAATGGAATACTATTCAGTCATAAAAAGAATGGTATCCTGTCATTTGCAACAACATGGTTGGAACTGGAAGTCATTATGTTAAGTGAAATAAGCTAGGCACAGAAAGACAAACTTCGGGCTAGGTGCGGTGGCTCATGCCTGTAATCCCAGCACTTTGGAAGGCCGAGGCTTCCAAAGTGGATCATTTGGATCATTTGAGGTTAAGAGTTCAAGACCAGCCTGGGCAACATGGTGAAACCCCATCTCTACTAAAAATAAAAAAAAACTAGTTGGGTTCAGGAGCGCGTGCCTGTAATCCCAGCTACTCTGGAGGCTGAGGCAGGAGAACCGCTGAAGCCTGGGAGGCGGAGGTTGCAGTGAGCCAAGATTATGCCATTGTACTCCAGCCTGGCAACACAGTGAGAGACTCTGCTGCAAAAAAAAAAAAAAAAAAAAAAAAAAAAAAGACTGCATGTTTTTGCTTATTTGTAGGAGCTAAACATTAAGATGATTGAATTCATGGAGACACAGAGTAGAAGGATGGTTAATGGGTACAAAAAATTAGGAAGAATGAATAAGACCTACTATTTGCTAGCACAACAGGGTGACTATCATAAAAAATAGTTGTACATTTAAAAATAACTAAAAGAGTAATTGGATTGTTTGTAACACAAAGGATAAACGCTTGAGGTGATGGATACTCCATTTACCCTGATCTGACGATTACACATTGTGTGCCTCTATCAAAATATCTCTGTAAGCCACAAATATTAATATATACACTTATGGCCCGGTGCAGTGGCTCACGCCTGTAATCCCAGCACTTTGAGAGGCCAAGGCAGGAGCATTACGTGAGCCCAGGAGTTCGAGACCAGCCTGCAATATAGTGAGACCTTGTCTCTACACAAAAAAACCTTAAAAAATAAGCTGGGCATGGTGGTGTGCACCTGTGGTCCCAGCTTGGGAGCTTTGGCAGGAGGATCCCTTAAGCCCAGGAGGCAGAGGTTGCAGCGAGCTGAGATTGCGCCACTGCACAACCGCCTGGGCAACAGAGTGAAACTCTGTCTCAAAACAAAAACAAAAACAAAAACAAAAACAAAAACAAAACAAAACAAAACCAAACCACTATGTACCCACAAAAATTAAAAATAAAAAAAGTGGTCTTGTAGCTACATTGTCAGGGTGTATAGCCATTACCTGCTATATTTTCTCCTTTACAATTCTCATTTAGTCTTAGTTGCATAAGTAACTATATGTTTAACGTTCATTACCAGTTTTTTAAATTTCATTTTTTGTCTTCCTAGTCATTTTGCTTGTCTGAAGCTTTTGATCTAAGACGTTTACAGGAAGAGCCCATGAGAACAATATCCTCTATTTCATGCTAATAACAATTTGCCTCTGCCCATTATACTTTCAAGTCAGTTTTGCTGGACATAAAATTATTAACATATTCTTTGTTTTTGAACATCTTAAACATGTAACATCTTTCTTTTGGTATAAAGCATTGCTCTTGAGAAGTCTGATAATAATTGATTTTTCCTTATAAGTCAATTATTTACATAGATGCTGAAGGATTCTCCCCTCACCACCCCACTTTTCTCAAAGTCTGTAATTTTATTTGAATATGTCTGATTATTCTGAGTTGATATTTTCAGGTATGCAGTATGTGCTTTCAATATGTAACTTCAATTTTTAAAAATTTCAGTAAGTTCTCTTGATTTTGTTTTTATTACTTGTCCTCTTGCTTTGGTTTTCTTCTTCAAGAACTCTTATTATTGATACGTTGGAACTTCTTTGCCTAATTTCAATATTTGCCACTTTCTCTAGACGATTTTAGAAAATAGCGTTCATTTCCTACTGATTTAAAATATTTCTTCCTTTTCACCTTTTTCTTTTAAGGCATTATCTTAAAGTTGCATCAGTTTGCTCTTATGTTCCTTCTAGTCTTCATTCCTGAAATTTTTTTTCTTAAGTTTTTAATTCTTTTCTGATTTGTGTCACCTTATTTATATGAGTTTCTAATTCTCAGTTATGTTGTTCTTTCACATTGTGCATAATTGAAATTTTAGGTCATTTTAAAATAGAAGGTTACAGTTTTGATCTCTTCCGAGATATGTCCTGCTGGCATGCCTTTTCTGTTTGTGGGAATGTCATTTTGCTCCCTATTCTCCTTTTGCTTAAATTAACTTTGCATGGGATTTGGCCTCAAGACTTTTCCATTGTTAGTTTTTATGTGGAATTAGTGTTCCCAAACTTGAAGAAAGAGATGATCAGAATGGCGTTTCCAACTTCAAGAGTACCCTCTCCTGTGGTTTTCATGTGCAAAAATGTGATGGCTTGCTTCCTGAGGTTCCTTGACTTAATTTCCTCCCTCTGCTTCTATCTGAATTTTCTCCTTTTTTTTTTTTTTTTAAGTCAGAGACTCGTTCTGTCACCCAGGTTGGAATGCAATGGCAAAATCTCAGCCCACTGCAACCTCTGCCTCCCTGGTTCAAGCGATTCTCTTGCCTTAGCCTCCCAAGTATCTGGGATTACAGGCACCTGTCACCACACCTGGCTAATTTTTGTTTTTTTTAATACAGACAGGGTTTCACCACATTGGCCACGCTGGTCTTGAACTCCTGACCTCAAGTGATCTGCCTGCCTCGGCCTCTCAAAGTGTTGAGATTACAGGCATGAGCCACCACGCCTGGCCTTCTCCTTCCTTCCTTTTGATTGTCCAGATCCTGCTCCATTTTGATTCCATGCTCAGTGCTATGTGATCCTGTCCTGGAAGGGAAGCCAAGTGGGTCAGTGTTGAGGGTTCTCAAGGCTCTACCGCTGCAGTCCCTTAGTCCTTGCTGACTCTCACCTGCTCCCGGACTGGGCGAGACCCTCCCAGCTTCTGCTGCTGTCTCCAGTTGTCCCTCCTTGCTTCCTCGTGAATACCTGCTGGCTCTTTTGGGATTCTCCTGTTCTTAAGTCCATCAGAGGGCTCCTTGTTTCCCTCTGTTGGCTGCTGGATGGGGCACCAAGGGCCAGAATCTAAACCAAGGAAGCCTCCCTGGGGGAACGTAGGGGGACCTGATGACATGTAGGTGGCTATGGGAGGGCTGTGCTTCCCCGCTTGTGTTTTGGTGTTCATGGGGATACCTTATCATCTAATTTTAAGCGAACATTGTCTGTAGGTTTTGCTTTTGCTAATCTGACCTGCTTATTTTTATTTTTTATTTTTGAGACAGAGTCTCACTCTGTTGCCCAGGCTGGAGTGCAGTGGTGCGATCTCAGCTCACTGCAACCTCCACCTCCCGGGTTCAAGGGATTCTCCTGCCTCAGCCCCCCAAGTAGCTGGGATTACAGGCGTGCATCACCATTCCCAGTTAATTTTTGTATTTTTAGTAGAGATGGAGTTTCGCCATGTTGGCGAGGCTGGTCTCAAACTCCTAACCTCAGGTGATCTGCCTGCCTCGGCCTCCCAAAGTGCTGGGATCACAGGTGTGAGCCATTGCGCCTGACCTGACCTGCTTATTTTTATGTAGAAATTTGGAGGGGTTCAAAAACTGCGCTGGCATTGCTACCAACCATCTTCCCAGCCAGTTCAGTATTTTTGATGCCAGGTGCCATACTGGGCCACAAGGAAGAGGAGATGTAATGATAAATGTGTGTAAAAGCGTGTAAAGTGTCCGGTCATCCTAAGTGTCCTGTAACCCAGCTGATCCTGCCTTCCGCTGCCCTGCAGCTAAAAGCAGGCTGCCTGAGCCAGCAGTGGCAACCCACTCAGGTCCCCTTCCACACTGTGGAAGCTTTGTTTTTTCACTCTTTGCAATAAATCTTGCTGCTGCTCACTCTTTGGGTCCACACTGCCTTTATGAGCTGTAACACTCACCGCAAAGGTCTGCAGCTTCACTCCTGAAGCCAGTGAGACCACGAACCCACCGAGAGGAACGAACAACTCCAGACGTGCCGCCTTAAGAGCTGTAACACTCACCGCGAAGGTCTGCAGCTTCTTTCCTGAGCCAGCGAGACCACGAACCCACCAGAAGGAAGAAACTCCAAACACATCCGAACATCAGAAGGAACAAACTCCGGACACGCCGCCTTTAAGAACTGTAACACTCACCGCAAGGGTCCGCGGCTTCATTCTTGAAGTCAGTGAGACCAAGAACCCACCAATTCGGGACACACAGCCACGCCTGACCCTCTTCCTCAACTGCTGCCGGCTTGACCTCTGGTCTTTGTTCCTGGCTCAGGGGATGGGGCATGCAGTAGGGCACGTCCCCACACTTGCTGTCCTGAGGCTGGGGGACCCCCTGGCCTTTATGCCCTTGTCTTGCCTGCTGGAATGTTTCTGAAGATTTCCTTGTAGAGTGGGTTTTGAAGAAGAGAAAAGAAAGACCTTTGCTCGGCGGCCCGTAAAAGAGATGGTCCGGAGAGCAAGGCCCTGCTGTGAGCATGCCCCGCCATCTGCTGGCCATTTGCTTAATTGCAGCGAGGAGGGCCGTGGGGGCTCCATGCCTTCATACTCAACCAATGACTTGGGTTAATTCCTTTTTCCCTCTAGCTGAAAACGTTGTATTTATTAAATACACCGTTAAAGTAATGATAATAAAGGCAAGCAAATAAAAAGTTTTCCCACACGGCCTCACCCTCCAGACAAGCGCATCTTTTTTTTTTTCTTTCTCTTTAATCATAAATAAAAGTGTGGGCTGGCACAGTGGCTCACACCTGTGATCCCAGCACTTTGAGAGGCTAAGGCAGGAGGAGTGCTTGAGCCCAGGAATTCAAGACCAGTGTTGGCAACAAAGTGAGACCCTGTCTCTACAAAAAAATAAAAAAAAATTAGCCAGGTGTGGTGGTGTGTTCCTGTAGTCTCAGCTACTCAGGAGGCTGAGGTGAGAGGATTACTTGAGCCACAGAGGTTGAGGCCGCAGTGAGCTGTGATTGTACCACTGCACTCTAGCCTGGGGGTCAGAGTGCGACCCTGTCTCAAAAAATGAAATAAAATAAAATAAAATAAAATGTGTATTTACTGTATGGAGACTGGGCCCCTGTGTCCTTCCCTTCTGGCTCTGGAAAAGGGGAGAAAGAGCTCAGATTCTGTAGCCCCAAAATGTTGGCTTTAAATCTCACTTCAGTCACAAGCTGGGCGAGGTGGGCTGGTTAATTCACCTCTCCGTTTATGAATCTCTGTGAATCTCTGTGTGTTAGGCAGGATAACATCTCTCCCCGCTCACCACCACCAAAAAAAAAAAAAAAAAAAAAAAAAAAAAGATGTGTGTATCCTAATGTCTGGAATGTATGATTATCCCGGATTATGCAGGTAGGCCTAACCTAATCACAGGCATCCTTAAATACAGAGAACCTCTTCTGGCTTCAGTAAGAGAGATGTGACATTGCTGGCTTCGACGCTAGAGGAAGTGACTATGAGCCAAGAAACATGGGTGGTCTCTGGAAGCTGGAGAAAGGAAGGAGATAGATTTTCCTGAGAGCTCCCAGAAGGAACACAGCCCTGCTGACACCTTGATTTTAGCCCATAGGGCCTGGGTTGGACATCTGACCTCCAGTCAGAAAATAAACTTGTGTTGTTTTAGCCACTGTGTGTGTTAATTCGTTGTTGCAGAGATAGGAAATGAGTACACTGCATTATGTGGGCAATAATAGTACCTATTTCTCTCTCTCTCTCTCTTTTTTTTTTTTTCCTGAGACAGAGTCTCGCTCTTGTTGCCCAGGCTAGAGTGAAATGGCACGATCTTGGCTCACTGCAACCTCCACCTCCCGGGTTCAAGCGATTCTCCAGCCTCAGCCTCCAGAGTAGCTGGGATTACAGGCTTCCACCACCATGGCTGGCTAATTTTTGTATTTTTAGTAGAGACGGGGTTTCACCATGTTGGCCAGGCTGGTCTCGAACTCCTGACCTCAGGTGATCCACCCACTCAGCCTCCCAAAGTTCTGGGATTACAGGTGTGAGCCACTGCACCCAGCCTAATAGTACCTATTTCACGGGGTGGTGGGGAGAATGAAACTGGAAAACTGTGGGGGGTGCTTTGTAAATTGTAAAACATTTTATAAATGTCTTAAGGTCTCCTTTAGGAGGATGTCCCTTTATTATTTTACTTATTCCAGTTATTTTCTGAGCATCTACTGTGTGCCAGGCATTGCACTAGTTGCAAGGGGTTACAGGAGTGAACATAGTCCCTTCTTTCATGGGGCTTACAGGTCACGCGGGTAGCAGGACATTAAAAGGCCATGCAAGCATATGCATCACGGAATTATAATTGTGATGTGCGCAATGAAGGGATTGTCACAGGGAGCTGTGAGAGTGTGGAGCCAGGAACCTGCCAGACCTCAGGTTTCAGGCCCCAGGCTTTGGGCAGGGTCTCCAACCTCTCCAGGTCTCATTTTCCCACCTAGGCTGGTCCGCCCTGATCATGGATAGGGTGCCAAACCAGAACTCAGGCCACAAACAGCCTCCTAGGGGCCATCAGATGGGTCTATGCTCATCCAGAAATCTGGGGCCTTACAGGGAGACTCCTGTGCTGGTACATTGGGTGTTGGGGTGTGGAGTCCTTGTTTGAGTTCAGTGAGGTCAGAGCTGCTTGGAATGATGGGCACGGGAGAAGGCAGGGCTTGGCACATGGCCCCAGACTGCGAGCCCTCAGGCCTTCATCTTTTTCTTTAACAATTTCAGAATACGGCTTACCAGGCTGGGCTGGGCTCAGGCCTGTGGCTGCAGGGAGTGAATCTGAGTCGGGGTTCAAGGCCTTGTGGCCACAGATGAGGGGACAGCAGCAGGGACACTTTATTGGGCTCTAGAATCCTCTCTCTAGTGGCAACCTGAGCTGCCCTGTGTTGTCTCCTGGGTTTTCCAGAGCTGCCTGGTAGCCCTGCCCTAGGCCTCCTGTGAAATGAACAGGATCCTTTGGAAACAGACTTCCAGGGGGCACAAGACAGTCCCTGTGCCCCAACAGACCACAGAATCTTATCCTGCTAGTGGTGCTTTTTGATGGGGACTGGAGGCTCACAATGA
This sequence comes from Homo sapiens, assembly GCF_000001405.40. Taxonomy (NCBI): domain Eukaryota; kingdom Metazoa; phylum Chordata; class Mammalia; order Primates; family Hominidae; genus Homo; species Homo sapiens. The sequence goes on along the minus strand of NC_000020.11, from coordinate 40,966,346 downwards.
ATTGCAGAGTTGAGACAAGCAGAGGACCCTCAAGGCCAAGCCTGGGTGCAGATCAGAGTCCCAGGGGACCCCATGCCAGTGAGAGACCAGAGACAGAGCAGGAGCTCTGCTGTTACCTGGTGGCAGATTTCGGAACTGCTGTTGGATCAGATGCCTCCTCTCTTGGGGTCTCGACTTTCAGTTCCACCCTGTTTAGCTCAGCTCATCTCAGCTCCTGACAAAGTGGACAATAGAGAGGGCCCAGAGAATAAATTTGGTAGAGATGGTGGCAAGTTTGGGCCATAGAGTCCCTTTTGCCTTTCACTATCCTAGCACTGGCCAGGTTCACCATAGTTCTGAGAATCAAGGGCAATTCCAGAAAAAGGGCTGTTATTGGGAACTGGGCAGCCACCCTGCCCTAACCCTCATCCTCCTCCAAAGAGACCACCATGGGCTTCACAGGCCTCAAGGTCAGTGCTGACGATGTCTCCTCTAGACCTGACACCCTGGAAACCTTCAGTTTACTCGGGCACCTGCAGCCCAGGTCAGGGGCCATAACACATGATGGGCATCGATGGGAAATATAGTGCTGGCTAGCTCAGATTTTCACAGGAGACTCCTCACAGGCTGGGAAACATGGGAACTGGTCCACCCTTGGATATCGACTTAAATCATTCTGGCTATTATTAAAAAGTAAAAAAACAACAGATGCTGGCGAGATTGCAGAGAAAAAGGAATGCTTTTACACTGTTAGTGGGAATGTAAATTAGTTCAACCATTGTGGAAGACAGCGTGGCAATTCCTCAAAGACCTAGAGGCAGAAATACCATTTGGCCCAGCCATCCCATTACTGGGTATATACCCAAAGGAATAGAAATCATTCTATTATAAAGAGACCATGCACACGTATGTTCATTGCAGCACTCTTCACAACAGCAAAGACATGAGGTACATATACACCAAGGAATACTATGCAGCCATAAAAAGGAACGAGATCACGTCCTTTGCAGGGACATGGATGAAGCTGGAGGCCATTATCCTCAGCAAACTAACACAGGAACAGAAAGCCAAACACCGCATGTTCTCACTTATACATGGAAGCTGAATGATGAGAACACATGGACACCTTGGGGGGAAACAACACACACTAGGGCCTATGCGATGGGGTGGGGGGAGGGAGAGCATCAGGAGGAATAGCTAATGGATACTGGGCTTAATCCTAGGTGATGGGATGATCTGTGCAACAAACCACCATGGCACTCGTTTACCTACGTAACAGGCCTGCACATCCTGCATATGTACCCCGAACTTAAAATAAAAGTTGAAAAAAAAAAAAAGAAATGTAGGCCATTCCTCCCAGTCCTCACCTATCTGTAAGAAGGTATGTGTCTGCAAGTTATATGGTGTAACTATGGAGGTGCCACTAACCCTCAGATGAGCCAGCCTGAAGGCCATGGAGTGGTCAGCTGAAATCCTGAAATTAGGAATGCAAAATGTTTATGAGACAGGTGATTTTTTTAAGAAATGAAATTTAGAACCCTTTACATGTATCTCTTAAGAAGTAGTGTCTTAGAAAAATTATAAAAGAAAACCGAAGAAAGAATAAGGCCTATAGAAAAGTGGGAAGCATTTTGGCAAATGTGTTTTAGATCCTTAACTTGGCTTCAGCTGGGGTAAATGAACTAGTGAATGAATTTGTTTTTGTATAAACTTATTAGTAATAGAAAATTATTTTTGGCCAGGTGCACTGGCTCGTGCCTGTAATCCTAGCACTTTGGGAGGTTGAGGTGGGCAGATCACTTGAGGTCAGGAGTTTGAGACCAGCCTGGCCAATAGGGTGAAATCCCATCTCTACCAAAAATACAAAAATTAGCTGGGCATGGTGGCGTGTGCCTGTAATCCCAGCTACTCAGGAGGCTGAGGCAGGAGATTCGCCAGAACCCGGGAGGTGGAGGTTGCAGTGAGCCGAGATCACGCCCCTGTATTCCAGCCTGGGTGACAGAGTGAGACTCCATCTCAAAAAAAAAAAAAAAATTTTTTTTTCTTCTCTTCTCCAGCAAAATGATGTTGACAAGTATTAAAGGGAACATGGGCACTTACCACAGGGGAACTCATATGCATGCACTTTGAGAGACTATGGACTTGGAGGATGTGGCTGTAGCAGTTTGTAGGAGTTAAAATTTGGAAACAACTCAAGTGTCATCAGCAGGGGCACAGATAAATACATCGTGGTGCATAAGGCAGATGTCAGTTGTGTGACAGCCTCCTTAGTTAAAACAAATGATCTCTGTGTATTGCCATGCAAAGAACCAAAAAACTATGTAGACTTAGAAAGCAAGTTGCAATAGCATATATACAGTCTATTATTTATACATGCAAGTTGCAATAGCGTATATACAGTCTATTTATTTATTGTAACAAAAGAGGAAAACACCATGGGGAACACACAGTGCTTTCATTTGTCAAAGAATGAATAAGTGCGTCTTTTCCTGGGTAAGTCCTGGTCACCTTTCAGCTCTCAGCTCAGTATGTTACTGCTTCAGCGCAGTAGGTGCCTGGTCAGTGGGTCTCAGAACCCAAATCTTTCCTTTACGTCTCCCGTTATAGTCGCATATTTGTGTGATTATTTGGTTAATGTCCTTCTTCCCCACAGGATTCATTTGAGCAGGGACCCTGACCACCCTCTTCACCACGGTATTGCTAGAACTTAGCCCAGTGCCTGACACACGGTACCTAGTCAGTGAATTTCTGATTTCTGTCTGTTCCCCTGACTAGGTGTAAGCTCCATGAAACGAAGGGGTGGGACAGGGGAGGGGTGCTGGTTTTCTTTCTCATGGAATCCCCCAAGGCTTAGCAATTAGGAGGGCAGGCTGTGGAGTCAGAATTCGAGAGCTCAAATCCTGACTCTGCCACTGCTAGCTGTGTGACCTTGGTCAAATAAACGTTGCATCTCCGAGCTCAATGTCTTTATTTGTAAAAAGGGTAAGGATGCCTTCCTTAGAGTGTTGTTAGAATTAAATGGTATAGCGCGTGAAAACAACGCACCAAAGTGCTTGGTATTGGGGCCTCATTTATTTGTTGAATGTCCAAGTACCCCTGTTGTGAGAAGCACCTGGGCTGGGGCCTGTCCCACTCGGAGAGGATGCTGCTTGTGTTCCACCCTCTGGGGCCCCTTAGGTCATTTCTTATATTTCCACCAGGTGGCGCTGTGGCCATTCGCGCCGGTAATGCTCAGCCGGCACAAAGCTTCAAAGTGGCTTCCAGTCTCCTTCCCAGCCAGAAGCCTGTCTGCAGGTCCCCAGGTGGCCGTCCCACTCTGCTTTAACCTCTCAGAGATGGGGTGCTCACTGTTACCAGGCTGGAGACGCTTTCGGGGCTGGTCTGAGCGTCTCTGTCCTCTGGGTTGGGGCAACTGGACCCTGCGGGACTGGGGAAGCCCAGATGGAAAGTCATGGGCTGACCAGGGTTGGAAGGGATTTAGGTGAGGCCAGCGAGGTGCTCAGGAGGCGCTCACTCTCAGTGTGCAAGGGTGGGGCTGACCTCACTGGAGGCCTCATGAGGACACCTTGTGGTTGGGCTGCCGCCAGTCCACGGCTTTAGACCTGCCTGTCCTCCACTAATCCACAATAGTGTAGGGCACCCACCATGTCCCAGGCTCCATATGAACTCACTTGTTTCTCTTAAGAACCCTAGCTAGTAAGAACTATTATTATCTGCATTTTTCAGATAAGAAAATTGACGTAGGGACAAATTAAGAAACTTGCAGGTAAAAAGTGGCAAAGCTGAGGTTTGAGCCCTGGCAGTTTGGCTCTGAGTGTCACCTCTTAGCCATTCTCTTCCACGGCTGTGCTGACCTGTCCATCCTTCCTTCCCTCCCTCTACCAGTCTCCCCATCCAGCACACACTTGCTGAGCTGTCACTCTGTGGGGCCCAGGTGGGAGCAAAGCTGGGCACTACCCTGGCCCTTGTGCGGTTTTCAGCCCATCAGGTGGAGACCTGGCTCTGCCATGACTTTATCCTGTGACCTTGGACAGGTCATTTAACATCGCTGTGCCTCAGCGTCTTCATTGTGAAATGGGAATGAGAATCCTGGCCTCGTTAAGTTTTGGGGAGGATGGAGTGACTCCAACCTTTGGAGCTGCAGCCTGGCACCCAGGGGCGCATGGGAAGTAGTGGCCATGATTGTGATTGGCATCAGCATGGAGAGGCTCCTTCCAGCCCACACTGGAACTGGACCTAGAGTCAGGTGCTCGGGTGGCCATGTGGAAGCGTGGAGGAAGAATCGAGTCAGGATCTGCTGTTCCTGGGCTTGAATCTTGGCTTTGGCACCGTGAGGGTCTGAGACTCGTGATTTTGGGCAAGGCTTTTCATCTTTCTGAGTTCTCCCTTAAAAACAAGAATGACTAATACCAACCTTGTGGTATCCTTGTGGTTGTTCTATGAAGTAACAAGCGCTTGGCACATAATGGGCACCTTTGTAAAATTTCATTTCCTGTCCTCAAGAAGAATCAGATGGCTGTGCAAACCCAGGGATCAACACATCTGGAGTTCTTGGCACCTCCCCTTCTCCCAAGGAAGGCCTGGACCTTGTGGGATGGGCTGCAGAATTCCATTTTTTTTTCCTTTTGCTTTCTTTCTTTGTTCTTGTTTGTGTTTTATTTCTTGAGAAAGGCAGGGTGGGGACAGTGGTGCATTTCTCAGCCACCCATGCATAGGACTCCATGTTAGCTGTCTGGGTGCCCAAAAGAAGGCTGCACGTTGGCCTCTTAACACCCAGGGCAGTAGGAGGGTCAGTTGGTGGGTGTGGGACACTGGGGTCGCCTCTCTGTGCCTGAGGCATCCTGAGATGCCATGCTCCAGATGGCAGGGGGAAGGCTGAGGGCTGAGAGGCTGCTGAGGGCTGGGGAGCCCTGTCTGGTCCAGCCTCTTCCAAGGTCTAGGGCTGTCCTGGGTGTCCTGATGCTTCTGCTGCTCCTGCCCAGAGATTAGAGCAGGGCCGAGCTGTGGCCCTGCCCTGGGGTGTTGAGCCCAGTTGAGGTGGCAATGGGTAGTTACTCAGGGGCTGGAGTTAGGACAGCTGGGCAGTGAGGGGTAGCTGCCCTGGGATCTGACCTAGCAGGCTGGCATTACCCCTGCTCAGTATCCATCACCTTCCCCATGTGTCCCAATGCTGGAAGCCTCATAGCAGGGTCACTTCGTGCTTCTTCCTGCTGGGTGTTTCCATACACAGTGTCACTGATACTGTAGCCATATCTGCCCTTCTGTTTCAGAGAAGAGGAAACCAGGACGAGACGTGACCCATCCAAGGTCCCGCAACAAGAAAGTGTCCACATCCAGTGGAGATTCACACTCAGCTCCGCCTGGCCCCACCCCTCCCCCTTTTCTTCCCCCTCCCCCTTCCCTGGCCCCCGCTCCTCCAGTACTTAATTTTAATGGCCTTTTGATTGCGAGCCTCTTCTTGAAGAGAGACAAATCATTATTGATGAATTTGGACTGCTCCAGTGTAAATGAGTCAACGGGGCCTGGCGTGGGTAGCTGGCCAAGCCATGCAGGCAGCAGGAATCTCAGGACCAGGCCCTGTGGGCCACAGAGAGCCCTGGTGTAGCCTCTTGTAAGCCGTTTATTTCCGTTCCCAATTAAACCAGGCGCTTGGCTGGAAGGGGTGTCCTTATCCTGGAGCTGGGGGGTGGGTGGCTTACAGAAGATCCTGGCCCCTAGGCCTGAGAACAGAGCCCCAGGATGGCCTGGGCTCCCCCTCTCCACCTGGCAGTCCCCTTTGGCCTGGGTAAATCGGAAATGAGGGCGGCCGCAGTGAGTCCCAGCCCTCACCCTCCATGCTCGGCTGTTTTCTTGGCAGCAAGACCTAGGGAGGCTCCCATGGCTGATTTTAGATTTGTTTTCAAAAACTGAAAGGAGAGAAATAATCCTAGCGAGAAAACAAAACAAAACAATAAAAAACAAACAAAACCTCTTCTAAAATGTTTCAGTCCTGAGCCTTGTCCCCACTCTGTGTGCACTTTCTGGTATTTGACCACCTTTGCCACCAGCCCCTGCTGCTGGGACCTTGAGCCAGCCCCAAAGCTCGTGAGTCCCTGTCCTCTGCCGTGGAATGGGGATTACATTATACACATCTCTGGGTTTGGGAGGTGATGGAAGGAGATGGGGGAAAGGGATGCATTTTGTAAATGAGGCCTTCTGATGATAATTTTATCATAGGCAGTAGACAAATACACTCACACGCCCCCAAATCACTAATGGGACCTCCCTCTGAAGGTGCTCCTTGCTTCTTGAGACGGGCATGATTACTCAGTAGATTCTGTGTAATTATTTAATCAAGCTCCAGCGAGTCCTCAAGTCCTCGGTGTGGAGCTGGGCTGCTGACCAGGCCCCAACCTCCCCTCCTCCTGCAGGGAGGCATAATCAGAGATGCTGAGAGGGAGGAGAAGCCCCAAGCACTTCTTTTCTTTGTGCAACAACTGGGTTGTGTGGGAGGGACAGCCGGGAGGGAGGGGGCCAGGTCACCTTGGGGCTCTCTTCAACAGTGGACGGGGCAGGAGGGGTCTTTAGAGACCTGTTTATGCTGTGCCTTTCTCTTTGAGGACACTGAGGATCAGAGAGGAAAAGCCAGCACGTCCCATGATTTCCCAACTGCAGACTTGGCTTCTGCCACTCATTCCCTCCCTCCCTCCCTCCCTTCCTCCCTTCTTTCTTTCCTTCCTTCCTTTCTTCCCTCTTTCCTTCCTTCCTTCCTTCTTTCCTTCCTTCCTTCCTTCCCTCCTCCTTCCTTCCTTCCCTCCTTCTTTCCTTCCTTCCTTCCCTCCTTCTTTCCTTCCTTCCTTCCTCTCTTCCTCCCTCCCTTCCTTCCTTCTCTCCTTCTCCTTCTTGACCCTCCTTTCCCATTGATTCCCTTCCCCTCCCCTTCCCTCCCTTTCCCTTCCCTCTCCTCCTTTCTCTCTTATAATGAAAGTACTGAACAGATGGCTGGGTGCAGTGGCACAGGCCTGTAATCCCAGCACTTTGGGAGGCTGAGGCTGGTGGGTCACCTGAGATCGGGAGTTTGAGACCAGCCTGGCCAACATGGCGAAACCTCATCTCTACTAGAAATACAAAAATTAGCTGGGCGTGGTGGTGGGCACCTGTAGTCTCAGCTACTTGGGAGGCTGAGGCAGGAGAATTCCTTGAACCCGGGAGGTGGAGGTTGTAGTGAACCGAGATGGCGCCACTGCACTCCAGCCTGAGCGACAGAGTGAGACTCCTTCTCAAAGAAAACAAACAAAGAACAAAAAAGTACTGAACAGATGCATGCATTCTCATGGTCAAACATGCAGATCATACAACAAAAGCAAAGGTCTCCCCAGATCCCTCTCTTCCCCCCCACCCAAATTCCCAATTCCCTCCTCAGAGACAACCCCAGCTCCCAGTTTGGAGACTCCCTTCAGACTTTCTGCTATGCATTCATACATTTACCTAAGTTCCTATAGAAGTTCTAGTTAGGTGTTTACTTTGGTTCATGTAAACATTCCTGACAATGCTGTCTAGACCAGTTCTCACTGTGGGGGGTGGGAAAGCGGGATGGGGAGGGAATTTTACTCCCCAGGAGACATTTGACACCATCTGAAGACATTTTTGATCATCATGGCTGGGGAGGGAGGTGCTCCTGGCATCTGGTGTGTAGAGTGCTAAAGGAGTGTTGCTAAACAGCCTGCCTTGCCCCGGACAGCCCCCAACACGAAGAATGATCCGGCCCAAAATGTCAGTAGTGCCAAGGTTGAGGAATCCTGGTCTGGAACGTTCTCAACTTGCTTTTTTCTAATAATAATAATGATTAATAATAATAATATATCTTGGAAATCTTTGCAGGTTAGGCAATATCTTTCTCTCATTCTGATGACTTCTGTGTCTTCTTTTGACTACATCACAGTCCATCCATCTCATCCCCTTTAGATTGATTTCAGGTTGTTTGTGACTTGGCGGTATTAATAGAAACATCCTTGTTATTCCCTGGTTTGGATGCTTGGGAGTGGGATTGCTATGTCAAAGGGGTAGTTATTGGTTGATTGATTTACTAAGTCCTCATATAGTGCTTCTATTTTAAATACAACAGGCACTTATTTATTATTGTTATTATTTTGAGATGGAGTCCTGTTCTGTTGCCCAGGCTGGAGCGCAGTGGCACAATCTTGGCTCACTGTAACCTCTGCCTCCCAGGTTCAAGCGATTATCCTGCCTCAGCCTCCCGAGTAGCTGGGATTATAGGCGCGCGCCAAGACGCCTGGCTAATTTTTTTGTATTTTTGGTAGAGACGGGTTTTCGCCATGTTGGTCAGGCTGGTCTCAAACTCCTGACCTCAGGTGGTCCGCCCGCCTCAGCCTCCCAAAGTGCTGGGATTACAGGCCACAACATCCACTTATTTTTAACTTTGATAGATACACTGCGCTTTTCCACAAAGGCTGTGCCAGCTGACCCTCTGTCCTTTCCTAGCTCAAAGCCAAGGTTTCAAGGAAAATGATACAAACAAAAGTTTTGAGTTATAGTTACTATGTCTTCAAGAGGACTAAAGGAAACTCAACCTTCCTAGGGTGGATGGGGGCCCAGTCTTGCCAGCCCCAATGGCAGCCCTTGCCATAGGCCCTCCACCATGTAGCTGGCAAGGGACAGACTTGTCCATCCCCATCAGCCCTGTGCAGCATGAAGGGGAAGAACTGGGACAGGCTGGGAGCCTCTGTTTTGCAGATAAGGCTCAGCAAGGCTGTGTGATTTGCCCACCAGCTCCGAGAAGTCACATCTTCCCAGAGCCCCTAGTGGGACGCCCATGGGTTGAGCAGGGGGAGAGCAGCGTGCAGAGTGAGACTGGGCTATGGTTATGGACACTGGAACTTCTCATAGTGACATCAGCTCAATACTCTACCAGGTCCCTCATGGCCCTGGGGCCAGGGTTGCCAGGTTTTACATGACATCTATGCAATATTTGGGACATTCTTACCCTAAAAAATTGTTCATTGTTTATCTGAGATTTGAAAGTAACTGAGCAACCGTGTTTACCTGGCGACCCTGCCTGCTGCTCTCTGCACCGTGTCTTCTCCATGGATAAAGGGGCAGGAAGGGGCAAATGGCTGGGACCAGACAATCTCTCCATTTCTCACCTACCCCTTTCTCCCTTCTCTCCCGCTTCCTTCAGAGTCTGAACATCCATATTCGAGAGCATGTTCTTGCCTACATGTGAATGGCAAGGCTGGAACGGAAGGCGGCAGACGTGTCCAGGGCAGCACTGATGGCCGGACTGACCCCACCTCCCCCCATCGTCCATACTTAGAGCCAGCGGCCACTGCAAGTGTAATTAGTCAATAAATCATCCCGAGTGATAAATAGAATGATAGATGCAGGTTTCACTTGATCACTTTTTTATTAAGGAGAAATAAATCAGCACCACATTGTTGCTATAAACCTTTCAAACTGGTCAGATCCTGGCTGGTAGGAGCTGATTAACATGGCCACGTGTAGAGACCATTTGTAGCTGATCATTGAGATCAATCAATCCCTGTCAAGTTCCCTTCTTAGAAGAGGTGGCAGAAGCCAGGTGCTGTTCCACCATCCACTGCTCCTGTGGCTTCTTGCCGCAGGGGCAATGGGGAGAGTGTGAGCGTGCTTTGGTGCCAGACAGCCCAGATTTGAATCCCAGCTGAGCCACCAACCAGCTGTGTAACCCCGGCTAGCTGTCATCCCCTCTCTTGGCCTCAGCTTCCTCTTCCCGAACAAGAGCGTGACACCAGGAACTTCCTTAGAGAGTTTTTCTGAGCATTGTGGTGTCAAACTTCTTGGTTTCAGGACCCTATTATGTGCCTAAAAATTGTCAAAGACCCCCCCCACCATGAACTTTTTCTCTATGTGAGCTCTATCAATATTTATTATATTAGAAATTAAAAAAAATTTACTTACTGACTTAAACAATCATAAGCCCAATACATATCAACATAAATAACATTTTTATTGAAAAATAACTATTTTCTAAAGTAAGAAGAATGTGAGAAGAGTGTCATTGTACTCTATTTTTTGCAAATCTTTAGAGTCTCATATCTACTTTTTTTTTTTTTTTTTTTTTTTGAGACAGTGTCACTCTGTTGCCCAGGCTGGAGTGCAGTGGCTTGATCTTGGCTCACTGCAACCTCTGCCTCCTGGGTTCAAGTGATTCTCATGCCTCAGCCTCCCAAGTAGCTGGGACTACAGGCATGCACCACCAAGCCTGGCTATTTTTTTTGTATTTTTAGTAGAGATGGGGTTTCACCACGTTGCCCAGGCCGATCTCCAACTCCTGAACTCACGCAATCTGCCGCGCTCGGCCTCCCGAAGTGCTGGGATTACTGGCAAGAGCCACCACACCTGGCCTCATATTTACTTTTGCATTCAATCTGATAAGTTCTGATAAGTTGTTTTGGTTCAAGGGTATGAAGAAAATCCGGTCTCATTCCAATATGCAGTTAGAAAAAGAAGGAAGGATTTTAATAGTCTTTTCAGGTAATTGTGGCTATATCAAGTAGCCTCTGGAAAACTCCTCCATATATCCATGGAAGAATGAGAGTCAAAAGGCAAATAATATCTTAGCATTATTATGAAAACAGTTTTGACCTTGTGGACCCCCTGAAAGGGTTCCAGGGGCCTCCAGGGTCCCCAGACTCCAATGTGAGAACCACTGAAATGGAGACAGCCTGGAGAAGGGCCTGGACACAGAGGTGGTCTTCTGGAGACGCTGAATCCTGTCCCTGGCCTATGTCTTGCTAGGTCTTAAAGAGCCTATTTTCTTCTCCTCCCACACACCCTCTATGGAGGTAGTGCTGATGTCTTTCTGTGCTCACCCAGGTCCTCTGCCCACCTCCTCCCCCTGCTCTGGCCCTGGGGTCTGACTTATGAGTGTATTACAAGCTTCCAACTTCTGGAATGGGTTCAACCAATGGGAGGTTCTAGCCGGAGACTGGAGGGTGGGAGGACAGTGAGGTTTGGGACATTTATTTCTCCAGCTCCCTCCCCACCAGGTTGGTGGCTGAAGCTGCAGCTGCTGTTGGCAGCCCCTTCTCTCCCTAGCCCCCACTAACTGCTCTCCTCCTTGTCCCTGCAGGCCTTGGTGTGGTAAGGGTTCCCCACTGTTGCTGTTCATGGAGTGTGGCACCATCCTGGTGTTTTGCTCACTTAAAAAAAAAATTAAACCCTCCTCAATTACTACCTGTTTCCTTTGGGATTCTGACTGATGCATGGTTTTCTGGGAAAACTTCCGTTTTTGGATAAAACCGGAGGAAATACACCGAATGAGGAATGCGAGTAACTCCACCCCATCCAATTGCATGGGCTTCACGGTTTGGTTTACAAAGTGCCTTCCCAGCCTTCATTTATGAGTTCCTCGGTAGAACCTCCGAGAGGCCAGGCTCAGAGAGGACAGACCTGCCTAAGGCCACACAGTCGTGAAATGATCTTGGCTTGTGGGGTCCTAGATGCCCTTGTGACCTACACCACTTCCAAGAGCTATGTGGGTCTTGAGGATCCCTGCTTCCTGGTCCCCCCTTGCTGTGGTTGTATCTATCCTGGAACTCTCTGTCCAAATCCCTCACCCCATCTTCTGCAACCACAGCAAGTGTTCATATCAGGTCCTTCCAGCCTCCTCCTAGCTGGGTGCTCCTTAGCTGGTGCTACACCTTTAGCTCTGCCCCTAGCATGGCCTATAGAAGGCTGATGCTCACGTGCCCAGGGCCCATGGCTGCCCCAACCATTTTCCCTGCTCTTGACCAAGCCTCCTCTCTTTTCATGACTCCATGCCTTTGCCCATGTTCTTTCTTCTCTCGCCTGTCCTCCCTGGACAGACATGTGCTCATTTTTTGTCGTCTGGAAAGCCTCTCCTGACTGTGGCTCTTCGTTCTTCCCTGCAGAACTAAGTTCTTCCTCCTAGGTGCTCCCAGAGCTCTGTGCACATCTTGGATGTGTCAGCATTACACCTTGCTATAGTCTCTTTCTCCCTCCTTCTCCTCCTCCTCCTAATTCTTCTTCCTTTCTTTGTCCCCACCCCCCTCATTTCTTACCATGCTCCTGACCCCTCAATGTGTGTATCAGTTAGCTACTGCTGTGTAACAAACCATTCTAAAACTTTGTGGTTAAAAACAATGGCTGTGTATGTAACTCATAATTCTGTGGGTCAGCTGGGTGGTTCTGCTGATCATTGCTGGGCTTGGCTGAACAGTTTTACTAACTCTCAGCTGGGGATCCCTCATGTGTTACTGATTTTTGGCTGATCTAGCACAGCCTTGACTGGGATGACTCATTTATGCTCTGCGTGGTCTCTCACCCTCCAGCAGGCTAGGCCAAACTTGTGCTAATGGTGACTGAGCAGGGTTCCAGGAAAAGCAGCAGAATCATGCCCAGCTGCTCGAGGCCCACGCTCGGAACTGGCACGGTGTCATTTCCAGCACATTCTATCAGGCAAAGCAAGTCACCAGGCCAGCCCAGATTCAAGGGATGGGAAAATAGACTTCACCTCTTGATGGGAGGAGCTGTAAAGTCTCATTGGAAGGGATGTGGGTACAGGGAAGGAAAAAATTTGGGCCACCTTTGCAATAAATCTATCTCAACTAAAGCTAGCTGAGAGAAGATTCTAAAGCTCACGAGTAATTTTTATAGTCCAAACTCTTGACTATGGCCTACAAGGCCCTATATGGACTAGCCCTACCAACTTCCTCATCCTTAGCTTGCACCACGTTCCAGCCACATTGGCCTTTTTTTCCAGTGCCTTGTCCTTAAAATGCTTCCTCCTGCCACAGAGCTTTTGCATGTGCTGGTTTCTCTGCTAAGACTACTCTACTTTAGTGTTTCCCTTAATTAATGTACCCCCTCCTTTGCATTTCAGCTCAAGCCCTTCCTGATTTCCCTGGCTAGGTTGAATCCTTTTATTATAGACTCTCAGAATATGACATACTTTGCTTTTTACAGTTGCAGTTTTAAGTTTGTATTCATTTAACAAACACTTACATGGAGCTTACCATATACCAAGCACTACTCCAAGTGTATTATAAATATTAAGTCATCTAATCTTCAATACATTTTTGAGGCAAGTACTATTATTATTATTATTTTTAGAGACAGGGTCTTGCTCTGTCACCCAGGCTGGAGTGCAGTGGCACCATCACTGCTCACTGCAGTCTTGAACTCCTGGGCTCAAGTGATCTTCCCGCCTCAGCCTCCCGAGTAGCTGGGATTACAAGCACACATTACCACACCCAGCTAATTTTTAAATTTTTTTGTAGAGACAGAGTCTTGCTACATTGCTTAGGCTGGTCTCAAACTCCTGGCCTCAAGCAATCCTCCTGCCTCAGCCTCCCAAAGTGCTAGAATTACATGTGAACCACTGCACCCAGTCTATTATTTTCCCCATGTCACAGATGAGGAAGCTGAGGCACCAAGAGGCTGAGTGACCAAGCCAAGGTCACACAGCTGTTAAAGGATGGAACAGGGATTCGTGTTATTTATATTTTTTCCATTTTCAGAGTGTAAGCTGATGGATGGATGGAGCAGGAATTCAAATTCCAGAGAGTCTGGGCTCCACTACCCCTCTTGTCTCTCACTATGCTGTGATTATTCGATTCAAATCTGTTTTCCCAACCAGAGTGTGAACCTGCTGAAGGCAGAGACCACGTTTGTTTGCTGACAATTTTGCCTCCCCAGGGTCTGGCGCAGCATCTGGCACACACTAGGTGCTCAACAAATATTTGTGGAATGAATGAACTGGAGACATGAGCCACTGATGAAGGGACTTTCTGTAGCTCCTTTGAATTGCAGGGTCCTAAGACTCTCTGCAGCCTGATTTCTTCCTTGAGGGATGCTCCTCACGCCCTGGGGCCCCTCCTGCAGGCCCACAGCCTCCACTCTGCTGAAACCCTGAATCCCAGAAACGTCCCTTTGCATAGACATCTCTGGCAGCTGCTTCCCCTGCAATGGCCCCGAGGAAGTTTCGACAATGCCAATTCCCACCCGCGTTGCAGCCACCCCTGAATGAATGTCCCTGCTAAGAGTGCAGTTTTCTCTCCCTCTCGCCCTAACTTTGATTTGATCAGGCCAAATCTGAAATGATGTGTGAAAGTAATGATATTTTGTAATTAAATCTCTGGTGACGGCCACTGCAATTTGTGCTACATGCATTGTTCATAAGGAAAAAACGCATCAATTCATTTTCTGACTGGCTACTCCAGGGACTGGCAATTAGGAGCAGCTCATCTCTCGTTGCCTCGCATATTAAAGAGCTACTGAAACGCAAAGAGAATTTGGGAGGGTTTTCTTTTTCTTTTTTTCCCAACCTTCTAATAATGTTAGCTTAATTAGGGAGGCTCAGTGATAAAGGGAAAGTTTTGGATGATTTGAGCATGGTGTGGTGGAAGGAAGAGAATGAGCAAATAAAGAGAAATGAAAGTGTCAGGCACAGGGGCTATGATGGCTGGAAGATTATGAAGGTTCTACCCTGCAAGGCTTGACTTTGTAGGGTCAGGCTGGGGTGTGGCTAAGAACAGGAGGGTCCCAGGGCATCCTGGGTGCCACAGATCTAAGCTAAGTGCTGCTCCCTTCCACTCTGGCAGGATCTTTTCTTTTGCATTCTTAAAAAAATGTATTTTTTATTGAGCCTTGGAATGTGTCTTTTTCACTTGCCCCCCAAATGATGGCTCGTCCATCCTCTAACTGGTTACTGCTGTTGGCATCTTCACTGGACCAAGGTACTGAAAGTCAGTTCCATCTTTTTTTTTAAAGAAGACTTTATTCTTTTAGAGCATTTTCAGGTCCATAGCAAAATTAAGTGGAAAGTACAGAGTTCCCACATTCCCCTACCCCCACCCTTACCCAGAAGCTCCCTCACGATCAACATCCTGCTGGGAGTGGGACATTTGTCACAATCAGCGAACCTACCTTGACACATCAGTATCACCCAGGGCCCATAGTTTACACGAGGGTTCACTCTTGGTGTTGGCTATTCTATGGGTTTTGACAAATGTCTGATGACTTGTATCACCATTATAGTACCATATGCAATAGTTTCACTGCCCTAAAAATCTTCCATGCTCTGTTATTCATCCCTCTCTGGCAACCTCTGGTCTTTTTATTGTTTTGTCTCCATAGTTTTGTCTTTTCCAGAATGTTACATAGTTGGAACCATACAGTGTGTACCCATTTCAGATTGGCTTCTTCCACTTAGTAACATGCCTTTAGGGACATCCCTTTTCCAAGCTCATCTCTTAGAGCCCAGGAAAGCCTTTTCCCTGATCTCCACTCTTCATGTGTCCAAGCCTTTGGTTCTGTCTGTGCAGACCCCAGTAAGGACTTAGTCTATGTGCTGATTGCCTGAAGGCGTGGGCAGAGTTGGAGATGAGAGGGACAGTGATCACAGAGGATGGATTGGGGAGTGGGGATGGAAGTGGAGTGTGGTGAGGGCCCAGGTAGAAAAACAGGGAGGTTCGGGACCCCGGGATCTAAGATGAAGAAAGGCAAGACCAAATGCTGAAGTAGATTTGGTCAACGTTATTTATGCTTCTAGAGTCTTCCAGACAAGGTGCTTGTCTAGTGGTTTCACGAAAACTTTTAATTTGGTGCTTGCAATAACCGCGCTGCTTAGAGTGACATGATTAGTACAGCCCATTTCACAGGAGAAGAAACTGAGGCTCAAGGAGGAAAGGACCTATGCCCAAATCTGACAGCCAGCAAGGACAGTGCTAGATCTGAATTCCGGGTCAATACTAGGCCAGTGCAGAACTTTCTACGATGGTGGAAATGTTCTAGATCCGCACTGCCCAACATGGTAGCCACGAGCCACATGTGGCTACTGAGAACTTGAAATGTGGCTAGTGAGACTGAGGAACTGAATTTTACATTGTATTTAATTTTAATTAATGTAAATTTAAATAGCCACATGTGGTTGGTGGCTTCCTATTGGACCACACAGCTAGACTCTTGGAGACCTTGGTGCAGCTCCCCAGCTGCCCCCAGCCCGTGAGTTTCCCAGCATAAATGGCAACATCATGACTAATCTCCTTACATCTGATCTCCCTGGGAGCTCCAGGAAGGGGGATCTGGCCTCATCCTTTGCACACCTCACTGTGCCACACTCAGAGCCCATTATGGAATAAATCTACTAATACTTTTTGAATAAACACCTGCTTGTGCCATGGGCTTAGTCTGCAGAATTTCAATGCATCTTTTCAACAACTGATTGCAGTGGCTCCCATTACTATTCCCATATCTTACTAGAGGACAGAGAGGCTCAGCGAGGCTCTCTGACTTTCCCTAAGTCACACAGCTGGTAAATAGCTGGACCAGATTTGGAGCTTAGGCATCTCTGCTCCAAAAGCCCATCCTCTTTTCATGCAGCAGGCACAGGGGCCATACTGGAGTGGATCTCCACCACAACTGCTAACCCAATGGTCCCAAAGGTATTGTTCTTACCCCTGTCCTAGCAGATATTGACTCAAATGCAAGCAGTTTATCTTGGAGATAAAAGGCAATACAGCTAAGAGAGTGAGGAAGTGAGACAGGGAGGAGAAGGCAGACAATAAAGAGGCCATCATCCTGTTAGCGCTCCCGGGGTGGTTGAGGCTTAATCGTGCTGGGGAACTGTGGCAGTCTGTATGGACTACACCATAGAGTTATTCCACCCATGAGGTGAGGGAGCTGGGGCATTTGTCCACCGACTTTCACCATGCATTGGTTGAGAGCTGCTTTGGGTGTGTGTGTGGCACTTCTGGCATGCCACAGAGGTGGACAAAGTGGCTTTTGTGGACAGAGAAAGTCCTCAGGCAAAGAAATAACAAAAAAAACCTCAGAATGTTGGGAAAATCCCTCAGCCTTGGCCAATCCCCTGTGGTCACTATAAGCACCATTTCATCAGAAGGTAAGATGATGCTTTTCTTATGAGTGGTTCATCCCAAGTCCTCCATCACCCTTAGAGACCCCGGGTTCCCTTTTAAGGGGTTTAGCCATAATGAAGCAGATGGTGCTTGCTGATGATCTTTGGAAATTGGGTTGTATTTGCAATTCAGAAAAGGGGCACTGGGATCTTTGCATATGTGTAAAGAAGGTGTTTTCTGAAAATCATAAGGGTGTAAATAAGGTTTAGGTGCATGTTTAAATCTACTTGGGGGACAAACTTTTAGGGAACATTCTCAAGGTCTTTAGGAGTGTCTTTCAGCATAATAAACAACTCATGGATTACGAATTGTTCTTCTAGTTCATTAAAGCATGCTCCATAATCACTGATTGAAGGCAACTCCTAGCCTAGTTCAAGTAACTGTAAACAAAACTGTAAGATTTGGTGCTAAAGCTAGTGTGATCTTCCCCCATTCTGAATTCACTTTGGTATATAAACCTTCTGGCCAGATCATCTTCACTGTTAAACTTTTCAGATTTAGTTTTCCACACCTGGCCCCAGGTTTTAACGGAGTTAGAAGCTATAGTTAATGCTTGGTAGACATTTTCTCGGAGGCATTTGAACCAGAGCAACTCCATCTTGAATAGCGGCTGAGTAAAATAAGGCTGAGACCTTACCAGGCTGCATTCCCAGGAGGTTAGACATTCTTAGTCACAGGATGAGATAGAAGATTGGCACAAGATATAGGTCATAAAGACCTTGAAGATAAAACAGTTTGTGGTAAAGAAGCAGGCCAAAACTCACCCAAATCAAGATGGTCATGAAAGTGACCTCGGGTCGTCCTTACTTCTCCTTATACGGTAATTATAATGCATTAGCATGCTAAAAGACATGCCTCCCCAGCACCATGACAGTTTACAAATGCCATGGGACCTCAGAAAGTTACCCTATATGGTCTAAAAAGGGGAGGAACCTTCAGTTCCAGGAATTGCCTGCTCCTTTCCCGGAAAACTCATGAATAATCCACCCCTTGTTAAACATATAGCCAAAAAGTTACTATAAGTATACTTAGTCAAGCATTCCATTCCACTGCTCTGCCTATGGAGTAACCATTCTTTATTTCTTTACTTTCCTAATAAACTTGCTTTAAATTTACCCTATGGACTTGCCTCAAATTCTTTCTTGCTCAAGGTCCAAGAACCTTCCCTTGGGGTCTGCTTCAGGACTCCTTTAGGACGATTTCATCTTGGGTTCTTACTTCTTGCTGCCCCCCATTTCAAAACTAACATTTATTTAGCATGTACTAAGTGCTGGTTCTCAATTAGTCTCTTTTAGTTCATTTCAACCTGGCTGCAAACTTGTAAGGGAAGTGTTCACCCTTCGATTTTTCACGAGGCAAAACTCCCCGGGGGAAGTGAGCAGGAAAATTTCAGGGAATGTTCATGGGGTGAAGGGTGCCTGATGACTGGGATTTAGACTAATGGTTCTAGACCCGAGCTGCACAGTTAAGTCACCTGGGAAACATAAAAAAAAAAAAACAAAAAACTGATGTCCACAGACTGGGCAGCATGGTGAGACACCATCTTTAAAAAGAAAAAAATTATCCAGGCATGGTGGTGTGTGTCTGTAGTCCAAGCTACTTGGGAGGCTGAGGTGGGAGGATCGCTTGAGCCCAGGAGGTCAAGGCTACAGAGAGCTGTGATCATACCACTGCACTTCAGCCTGGGCAACAGAGCGAGACCCTATCTCGAAAAAAAAATGCTCATCCCCATGCTGTTCCCAGATCAATAAAGGCAGAGTCTTTGAGGGCAGAGTCTGGGACTGGTTTTTTTTTTTTTTTTTTTTGACAGAGTCTTGCTCTGTCACCAGGCTGGATGGAGTACAGTGGTGTGATCAAGGCTCACTGCAACCTCCACCTCCTGGGTTCAAGCAATTCTCCTGCCTCAGCCTCCCGGGTAGCTGGGATTACAGGCATGTGCCACCACACCCACTAATTTTTGTATTTTTAGTAGAGACGGGATTTCACCATGTTGGCCAGGATGGACTCGATCTCTTGACCTTGTGATCTGCTCGCCTTGGCCTCCCAAAGTGTTGGGATTACAGGCGTGAGCCGCCGCGCCTGGCTTGGGACTGTTTTTTAAAGCTCCTCAGGGGGGTGTCAGGTGAGTCTAATGCAGGCAGAACTGAGAATGACAGTGTTAGAAAACACACAGCCTTTTTCCTGATGCTGAATCCTAACATCCAGTGTAGTGGAATTGATGTGGACTTCAGAGCCAGGCAGACCTGAGTTCAAATCCTGATTGCTGTTAATACATATTGGCTGTGATTTTAGACAAGGTAGCTAGTCACAAGGAGTCTCCTTTTTGAACTGATGATGGCAATGATGATGATGATGATAATACTACTAATGATACTTGACTTGCAGGGTTGTTCTGAAGAGTCAGTGGGGTGCTCAGATATCCAGGAAGTGGGGTTTCCTTCATTAAATACCGTATTACAAACCTTTTCCTGCCTTGTCTGTGGTGACTTGGGCCTCACCCCACCTGGAAGCCTGTGGCTGACCTCAAGTCCAACTGCTGGCCATGTCTTTGGAAGCCATCCTCTTTGCTGATGCCCGGGATGTGCTCAGCCGTGCCCATCTTCTCCCGATGAGGATGGTATCGACATTTCAAAACAGTTTAATTATTCTGCGGCTGCCTGGCTATTAGCTGCGACAAGAGAGCTCAGGGCTATTTTTCAGCATTAATTTTCCATTTGAAATGAATTCCTTTTGGTTACACTTTTTAAATGTTTCTTTTAATTAGACGCAATTACTTCAGAAGAATTGCTTTTATTCCTCAGCCTGAGATCCCAGTGATAAAGTCGCTATCTGGCCCCACTGAACGGCCGGGACGCCTCATTTAGTTGCTGCACTAAAGTATATTGAACTAGGAAATTATACAGCGAATCAACTATTAATTCCTTTTATGATCGCTCACTCTAACATCTTGAATGAGATCTTCAGGGGGAAATTTAGTCACAATAGGGATCATTGTTCTCCACCTCTAGCCGCCGGCCCAGTGTGAGGGGGGCTGGCAGCCGGGGGCTACCGTGCTGTTGGGCCTGGCACAGATGCAGGATGGCGTGGAGGCGCCTGGCTTTCCAGGGCTTGGAGCAGAGGACAACAGGGGTGAGCAGTGCAGCTAAAGCTCTCTGTCCAGGCTGGAGGGGTGCCCCTTGGCCCCATGAAAGGGGAGGTTGCTGCGGCTCTGCAAAGGGAGAATGCAGACAACTGCTCACTTTGAGCTTTGCACATTCCGCTGACTCCTTTGGTGGCTCAGTGTCTTGGAGGGAGGCTGGGAGTCAGTAGGTGGCACTCTTCCCTCTGCGTTGGTAACTGGGTCTGGGCTGATGGGAGGCCCTGGAAGAGGCTGTGCAGCCGGAGTTGGAAGAACCCTTTCTTTCGAGGCTTTAGACCAATTCACTGTTATGAGATGGAGAAACTGAGGCACAGAGAGGCACACTGTCACACACAGACAAAGGCTGAACAGGGCTCAGTTCTGGCCAAGTCTCTGAACATGGCCCTTGGGTTTTTCTTGGGGACTTGAAGCTTCCTCTCCAATCCTGGCAAGCTGATGGCTTTTATTTGAGGTGGGTGTTGTTGGTGAAAGGTTGACCCATTCAGGGCTACTCTGCTGTCTGTGCGCCCCAGAGGGGCTGCACTCCCAGCCTGCCAGACAAGGAAAAGATGAATAGGACCACAGAACTTCCCTTGGCATTTGGAAATCACAGGACTGCAGCGGTGCCGGGGCAGGGAGCAGTGGGTTAGAGGAGCACCCCGATGCTGACCATGACCTCAGGGGAACAATAAACACTGCCAGACAGTCGCTGTAAGCTAGGCACTGGGGAGGTGGTTGGGGGGATGAAAAGGAAGAAAACATAGTCCTTGACCTCGAGGTGATATTCACTCAAAATCACAATATGACAAATGAGTGGAATTTCTCTGAGAGGAGCTGGGCTTTGAAGGATGGTTAGGAGTTTGCGGGGGAAAGGGTGTTCTGGGTAGAGGGCACTGTAAGTGCAAAGGTGTGGAGGTGTGAAAGCAGGAAGGCTGGGCGCGTGCAGGAGAGTGCAGCTGAGTGCCCCCTGGGGACTTGTGTGCCTTGCAGGGGAGTTTGGACTTTTGTCTTGAGGGCAATCCAGAGGCACAGCAGGTTTTCAGGAGGGAGGAGGCAAGGTCAGATTTGTGATTTCGACAGATCATGCTGGCTGCTCTGTGGAGGACAGATACAAGGATTTCAGAGACAGGCTGGGAGACTTGCTGGGAGGCTCTGGTCATTGTCTAGGTGAGAGGTGGACATGGGTTGAGTTAGGACGGGTGCAGCAGTGGGGATGAAAAAAAGGCAGGTACAGGATTTTTTTATTTTTATTTTTTATTTTTTTTGAGACTGAGTCTTGCCCTATTGCCCAGGTTGGAATGCAGTGACATGATCTCGGCTCACTGCAACCTCCGCCTCCTGGGTTCAAGCGATTCTCGTGCCTCAACCTCCCGAGTAGCTGGGACAGGTGCCCACCACCATGCCCGGCTAATTTTTGTATTTTTAGTAGAGACGGGGTTTCACCATATTGCCCAGGCTGTTCTCGAACTCCTGACCTCAAGTGATCCGCCTGCCTCGGCCTCCCAAAGTGCTGGGATTACAGGCATGAGCCACCGCGGCCGGCCCAGGCACAGTTTTTTGTTTTTGTCTTTTGAGCAGGGCTGCATTGTGACTTTTGTGGGCCCTAGACGCTTCTGCCTTCATGGGCCCCTCCCACAAGAATAGATTTTCATGGGTCCTAAAAATTCTATTTGTTTCTGATGAAAGAAGAAAATGAAACATGTCTGTCTAACCTAAAAGTTTATATTTTACTTGATTTTGAAGGAAATGAGAACATTCTGTGGGTCTCTAAAATGTTGTGGACACTGAATTGCTACAATGCCTAATGGAGAAGTCGGCACTGGTGTTGTGGAAAGAACAAATAGGATATGGAGCTCAGGCCTCCTGCTTCGAGGCTGAGGAAGGATGTGGGACCCTCCCCTCCTCTTCCTGCCTCAGTGCCTCCCCAACCCCTGGGTGCCCTTGGTGATAAGAGGAATGACAATGATGATCTCACTGAGCCTTTACTACGTCCAAAGTAGGCTACTACACACCCTGTTTCATTTACTCCCCAGGGAGACTCTGTGAGGTTGGGACTATTACTCTTTCTATTTTGTAGATGAGAAAACTGACACTCAGGGTAACTCTCAGCCACACAGCAATGGAAGAGGTGGGGCTGCAATGGGAACAGGAGAGGCGGAGGGAGGGAGGATGAGCCCATTCTGCACGTCCTGGGTCCCAGTGGGCGATAGCTGCTTAAAAACAGCTCAGATTCACTGAGCACTTACACATTGTCTAGGTGTGCACTAAGCACCCACCTATCATGGGTGGCCTCATCAGCTCACCGTCTCAGCTGCCAAGCCCCTGCTTTTGTGGACCCACTGTGGGCAGCAGGGTGGCCCAGCCAGCTCAGGAGGCCCAGGGTTTTAGGGCTGGATGGACATTTTCTCCCACCTTCTCTGCCTTCTGTGGCACAGGAGAGCCGAGAGGAAGCCAGGAATGGAGTCTTCAGCTGTCTCTGTCCTCTGTTGATGTCCCCTCCCTCCCATCCCAGAGGACTGGCCTGGGCTTTGTTTCTATTGGAGGAAGAGGTTGATACGTGGGGGTGGAGCTCCTGCCCCAGAATCATCTGGAGTTTACCTGGGGGAGGGGAGGGCAGTTAGGAGGAAATGTGGTCACTGCTCAGACTAGTTTCCCTTCTGTCCCCAAGTACCCTGCTATGGACTGAATGGGTCCCCTCAAATTTATATGTTGAAGACTAAATCTTCAATATGATGGTATTAAGAGGCAGGGCTTTAGGGCAGTAGTTAGGACATGAGAAAAATATCCTGATGGGATTCATTGCCCCTTATGAAGGGATGAAGACACCAGAGCTCTCTCTTTGAGGGTATAAGAGAGATATCGGATTTCCAGCCTCCAGCAATGTGAGAAATAAATACTTGTTTAAACCCACCCAGATTACAGTATTTTGCTAGAGCAGCTGGAACTAAGACATATTCCTTCTGCTAGGCAGTTCTTTGACACTGATCCTGGCCAGAGTGTCCTGCCCCATGGGAGCCCTAGACCCAGGCCCCTGGCTGGCCAAAGGGAAACAGAAACTCCTTCTCATGCACCTTGATGTGAGTCAAGCATGGTGCTGTTAGGGTGGCCAACTGTTTTCTGGGACTCAGAACTTTCAGTGTCAAAACTGGGACAGTCCTGGGCAAACTGGGGCCTGTTGGTCACCGTAGGCTGTCTGTGATTGTAACACAGAGTAGTTGCACATTACTCCTGCTGAAGACACCAGGTAGTTATTGCCATGTTTTGGAATAATCTCTATCCCGTAGCACATTTCCAGGTGAGTCACGTTGACCACTTCATCCACATGGTAGATAACGGGTTGACTGGCTGATTAAAACACCTTCGGATGTGAGTAATAGGCTTCCAATGTATTGGAGAATGACTGTTTGGACTTGAGGTCACATACTTTTCACGTTGAGTTCCATTCTTTTTTTTGTCACCCAGGCTGGGGTGCAGTAGTATGATCATGGTTCACTGAGGCTTTGAGCTGGTCTCAAGCAATCCTCCCACCTCAGCCTCCCAAGTAGCTGGGACTACTGGTGCAAGTCATGGCTCCTGGCTCTTGAGTTCCACTCTTTTAAGCAATATGGACCTTAAGGTAGTTGTACCTGTGGAGTGCCACTTTCCATTTACATTTCATTCCAGTAAGGAAACTTGGGTGTCTGCTCTTTGCATTTTAAACATTTAACTGAGCTTTACAATTTTCATAAAAGAAAAATGCATGATATCAGTTAGGGCAGCAAACAGATGATTTTAAAACATTTCAACAATTAGTTTTTTTTAAGAAAATGAACACTAGCTTTAAAAAGCAGGTATTTGGGTAGAAAAAAGTAGTGAGATATTAAACAAATCTTATGACTGGGGGAAAGCACTACAATGGAGGTATAAACCACAGCCATATGGGTGTGATAAGTGCCTGATATGGTTTGGCTCTGTGTCCCCACCCAACTCTCATGTCGAATTGTAATTCCCAAAGTTGGGGGAGGTACCTGGTGGGAGGTGATTGGATCATGGGGGCAGATTTCCCCCTTGCTGTTCTTGTGATAGTGAGTTCTCATAAGATCTGGTTGTTTAAGAGTGTGTAGCACTTCCCCTTTCACTCTCTTTCTCTTGCTCGCCATGGTAAGACATGTTTGTTCCCTTTTACCTTCAGCCTTGATTGTGTTTCCTGAGGTCTCTCAGCCATGCTTCTTGTACAGCCTACAGAACTGGGTCAATTAAACGTCTTTTCTTCATAAATTACCCCGTCTCAAGTAGTTCTTTATAGCAGTGTGAGAACACACTTAATACAATGCCTAATGTTTGGAAAAGATGAACCGGGGTGGGGCAGAGAGCAGTGTTTTCCTGGGTTTGCCACTTAACAGGTGGGCCGAACTCTCAACCTCTCCAAGCTTTAGTTTCCTTATCTATAAAATAGTATAATGAATATTGGGTTGTTCCAAGGTTTAAATAAGATCTTTAATGTAAAGTACTTAGCACAGTCCCTGGCACATAGGAAGACTTGACAAATGGAAGCAAATTATTATTATTTTTATGAAAGAAATGATACAAATAATCAGAGTGAATAGGATCCTGAAGAATTCGAAGGGGCAATTAACACGTTTTTTTCTAGGCCAGTGGTTCTCATAGTTGAGAGTACATCAGAATCACCTGTGTGATTTCCTAGTTCACAGACTGCTGGGCTTCACTCCCAGAGTTTCTGATTAAGTGGGCCTGGAGTAGGCCAGGAATTTGCATGTCTAACAGGTGTCCAGTGATGCTGATGCTGACAGCCACTGCTGTGATGAGAAATTGGCAGTTAAAGAAGAGAAGTTGCCTGCTCTGAAGCAATGTGGTTGTGAAACATCCTGCAGTGAAAACAGGCACATGTATGATGGAGAGGTATGATTTTTCACAGCTTCTTCTCCTAACAAAGGAGATCTGAAGGCTTTCTACATCAGCTTGCGAGAAAGCAGCAGAGTTTGGTTAAACAGAGTCTGTGAACAGCAGATGTTTAGTGAGGAAGGAAGGTGCTCAACCACTTGAATTTCTTTAAACCTTGCTCCAATTCAGTGTTTCTCAAAGTGGAGTTTCCAGACCAGCAGCATCAGTGTCACCTGGGAACTTGTGAGAGATGCAAATTCTTGGGCTCGAAGTGGTGCCCAGTGATCTGGTTCAACAAGCCCTCCAGGTGATTCCGATGTTTGCTACAGTTTGAGAAGCACTGATCTAAGTAATTTGTGACTTCTTTATACATGGAAGACGGGGTGGCTAATATAAGTTTATCTTATTTAAATAAATAATTACAAAAAACACAATTGACTGATCATACTTTCAAAACCTCTAGGGAAAGCAAGCCCGGGTGGCAGCATTGCAGATTACCCTCCTTACAATTACCCTCCTTTATCCCCCATGCCAGCATGTCAGCCTGACTGCACACTAGCATTACCTAGGCAATTAAAAAAATAATTGATGCCCAGCTTGTGCCCTCAGAGATTCAGCTTTAGTTTTTCTGGGATGAAGCTTAAGCATCACACTTTGTGTGTGTGTGTGTCTGTGTGTCTCTGTGTGTGTGTGTGTGTGTGTGTGTGTGTGTTTTGAGAAAGAGCCTCGCTCTGCCACCCAGGCTGGAGTGCAGTGGTGTGATCTCGGCTCACTGCAACCTCTGCCTCCTGGGTTCAAGCCTCCGAGTAGCTGGGACTACAGGCTTGCACCACCACGCCTGGCTAATTTTTGTATTTTTAGTAGAGATGGGATTTTGCCACGTTGGCCAGGCTGGTTTTGAACTCCTGGCCTCAAGTGATCCACCTGCCTTGGCCTCCCAAAGTGCTGGGATGACAGGTGTGAGCCACTGGGCCCACGTGAGCAGCATATTTTTAAAAGCTCCCCTGATGATTCTAGTGGACGAGAACCACCAGTCTATGTAATTATTTGTCTGTTTAGTGTCTGTCTGTCCCGAAGGTTTAGAAGTTACACAAGGGGAGGGACTGTAAATATTTGTTGAATGAAAAATGAATGCATGGGAGTGAGGATATTTCTTTGCAATACTGATTTTATTTCCTTATACACCCATAAGTGGGATTGCTGGATCATATGGTAGCTCTATTTTTAATGTTTTGAGGACCCTCCATACTGTCTTCCATTATGGCTGTACCAATATTCACAGTAGTTAAGATATGAAAACAACCTAAATGTCTGTCAATAGATAAATGGATAAAGAAAATGTGAATAATAAATGTGAATTATTATTCAAACTTATAAAAGAAGAAAATCTTGTCATTCCCAACAACATGAATGAACCTGGAAGGCATTATGCTAAGTGAAATGTCAGACACAGAAAGACAAACACTGTAAGATTTCGCTAACATGTGGAATCTAAAACAGCCGAACACATAGAAGGAGGGAGTAGAATGGTGGCTGCCCGGGGCTGGGGGTAGATGTTGGTTAAGGGGTACCAAGTCTCAGTTATGCCAGATGAACAAGTTCTGGAGAGTTAATGTAGAGCCGGGCGACTATAGTGACCAATGCTATATTGCATATTTGAAACTTGCTGGGAGGGTAGATGTTAAGTGTTCTCACCACACACACATACACAGAGGAAAAAAAAGAAAAGAAAATGGTAACCAAGTGAGGTGATGGGTATGGTACTTAGCTTGATTGTGGTAATCATTTCATAATGTGTATGTATATCAAACATCCAGTTATATATCTTAAAAGTATGCAATTTTAATTTGTCAATTATACCTAAATAAAGCTGAAAAAAATTAACAAGTGAAGGAGATTACTGCAGGGTAGGCCTTCTATAGGGTTCTCATGAGGAGGTGACAAACCCACTGGACTGACCTGGACCCTGACTGATGGGAGCTGGCCTTCCTGGTAGAGGAAATGGCATGAATGCATTGGACGCTGGAGGATGCAAGGGCAGCTCAGAGAAAATCAGTCTGCCCAGGCTGATAAACCTGGGTCAAAGGAACCATGAACAATGTTGGAGAAGGGCCTTGAATGCTGAGTCAAGGAGTTTAGGCCTCTCCCATTGGTTACCATTTCCGGGGATCATTGCTTCTGTTTTCTTACCTCTCCCATCTTGAAGATCAGCTTCAGGGTGGAGAAGGCCTGGGGGACAATTTCTCTTATTGATGTCACTCAGTTCTCCATTCAAGCCAGGGACAGAGAAGAAGCCCAACTCCAGCTGGACTCCCGAGAACATATGGGCCTTGGAAATCATAATAAGAGGAAGCCATCTTCTTCATTAATTGATTAATGTAATTAAAGAAAGATAAGTATGTCGATGCCGACCACATTAGAGTTAATTTGTACGGGCAATTAGCTGCGCTCCCTCCTTCATCTAACTGCCTCAGACATGCTTGTGCACAGCCACCCTGGGGGTCATTAGTTGGTGCTTGGTGGCCCCTGTGAACCTTTTTCTGGGCACCCTAGTGCCTAAAAAGAGCGTGTGAGCCCCCAGATGTGGATGAGATACAAGGTTCGTGGCCTTGGGAGAAGTCTCCTAACCTCTCTGATTCTCAGTTTTCTTGTCTGTGCAATGCAGATGATTACGGTGATCTCATAAAGGAGTTGTGAGCACTCAGTGAGGAGATGTATATGCCAGAGCCTTGTAGGGACCAGCACATCTCCCTCCTTCCAAGGCTATCTCCCTTTTCAGCTCTGGTGACCAGCCCTTGGCACACACTGCTCTGGGTCCTTGCCCTGAGATGTTCCTGTAAGACCTCTGGGGACTTCGTGGGTCTGGCTGTCACCCTACTTTGCCCCTAGCCTGATGCCGTCTCCATTCTCACGTACTCTCCTGGGGCTTCTCTGAGAGCTCCTGCATCTCTATCTTTCTCTTCCACCACCCCCACTCCTCCTGGGCCAACATACTCTTGCCAGGGAAGCCCTAGATCCCTCTCTGCACCACATCTCTCCTTGGTCATCCAGATCCCAGGATCCAGCTCCCTGTGGAATGTCCCAACGGGATGTGGCAGCTCTAAAGCTGATGGCTTCATTTCTCCTGTCCCAACACCTCAAATCAAATCCCTTTCTAGGACTCCCAGAGCTTGTCATCCTCCCTGCCCTGTGAATCCAGCAGGTCCCAACACAGCCACCTGGGGGCTCCCTCTCTGCTCACTGCTTCTTGCCCTAACCCCACCCCAGTGAAGGACTCCCTTTCTGTTCCTCCCCCTTGTTCCCATCCTCCATGTCTTGGCTCACGGTTTTCCCTGCATGAGTTCCCTCTCCCCGCCTCGCCCCCTTTATTTTTGAGATGAAGTTTTGTTCTGTTGCCCAGGCTGGAGTGTAGTGGTGCTGTCTTGGCTCACTGCAAACTCCGCCTCCCAGGTTCAAGTAATTCTCCCGCCTCAGCCTCCCGAGTAGCTGGCACTACAGGCAAGCGCCACCACACCCGGCTAATTTTTATTTTTTGTATTTTTTAGTAGAGACAGAGTTTTACCATGTTGGCCAGGCTGGTCTCAAACTCCTGACCTCAATCAATCTGACCGCCTCGGCTTCCCAAAGTGTTGGGATTACAGATGTGAGCCACTGTGCCTGGCCCCTTCTTCCTTTTCTTGAACCATGATCTCTCTTTTCAGCCACAGGCTCAGATTCACAACCACATTCTGTACATTTTCAATGGGACATCAAATTTCACATCTCAAAAACTCTGTTCTTGACCTCTCTGCCATGTGCTAAGGCACCCTAACCGTGTCCTCTTTTGAACATTCCCGTCAGGAAACTGCCCCTCCATCCAACAGTTGACTCAAGCCAGAAGCCTGGAGGTTATCCCTGACATTTCTCCCCCTCTCACCTCCATATCCAGTTCATCAACAAGTCCTATTAATTTTTTTATAGCATTATGGAGGTACAATTGACATACAATAAAATACACGTATTTGAAATGCACAACTGGAAAAGTTTTCACATGCCTATGCCCCTGGGAGAGCATCACCACACAGAAGATAATAAATAAACATATCCATCCCTTCCCAATGTTTCCTTATGATCCTTTGATATTCTCCCTCCTGCCCCTCCCACCTCTCCCGTGTATTTCATCCTTAGTGAACCACCACTCTGCTTTCTGTCACTACAGATTAGTTTGCTTTTTCTAGAATTTTATATAAATGAAATTATACAGTATGCATTTTTGGCCTGACTTTTAAACTCATTATAATTACTTTGAGACTCATCTATATTGTTACATGTGTCAGTAGTTCATTCCTTTTAATTGCTGGGTAGTATCCCACTGTATGGGTATACCGCTTCTTGTTGATTCTTTCACCTGTTGATGGCATTTGTATTTTTTCCAGCTTTTGGCTATTACAACCAATGTTGCTGTGGAAATATGTGTACAAGTCTTTGTGGGGGACAGAATACTTCATTTTATCTCATTGTGATTTTAATTTGCATTTCCCTAAGGAGTGATGATGTCGAACCTTGTTTTCATGTGGTTATTTGCCATCCCAATATCTTCTTTGGGGAAGTGTCTATTCACAATTTTTGCCTATTTTAAAAAATATTGGGCTGTTTTGCTTATTATTGAGTTTTGATAGTTTTGTATATTTGGAATATAAATTCTTTATCATATATGTCATTTACAAACACTTTTTCCCATCCTATGGCTTTCCTTTTCATTCTCTTAACAGTGTCTTCTTTGAAAGAATAATAGTTCTTAATTTTAATGAGGTCCAACTTATCACTTGTTTTTCTTATTCGATGTCATATACAAGAAATCTTTGCCTCACTCAAACTTACAAGGATTTTCTCCTATATTTCTTCTGAAGAGTTATAGTTTTAGGCTTTACATTAGGTCTATGCTCTTTTATTTTTGGTTAACAGCTTCATTGAGATAAAATTTATGTACCATACATTTATGTACCATACAGTTCACCCATTTAAAGCATACCATTTAGTGGTTTTTGGTATATTCATGCAGTTGTACAATCATCACTCTCTAATTCCAGAACATTCTCATCGCCCCCGATGAAATGCCATCACAAGCAATAGACACTGGGGACCACTCGAGTAGAGAGGAGATGTGGCCTGAAAAACTACCTATTGGTTCTCTACCTCTCACTTTCTGGGTGATGGGATCATCCATATCCCAAACCTCAGCATCATGCAATATACCCATGTAACAAACCTGAACATGTACCAAATTTGAATCCAAAATAAAAGCTGAAAAAACTGTATATACAGATATATTTTATTAAAGTAATTTGGCTAGAACTGGGAGGATGGAAACTGATGTTTATTAAAGCTTTACTATGAGATAATAAAAAATACAAAGAAACTCCCTTCCCATTAGCAAGCACTTCCCATTCCCCTCTTCTTCCAACCCCTGGAAGACATTAATCTACTTTGTATCTCTATAGATTTAACCATTCTTGATATTTCATAGAAATGGAGTCATACAACATGTCATCCTTTGTGACTGGCTTCTTTCACTTAGCATGATGTTTTAAAGTTTCACCCACGTGGTAGCATGTGTCAATACTTCATTATTTTTTACTGCTGAATATTAAATTCAGGAATATTGTATGGATAAATCACATTTTGTTTATCCATTCATCAATTGGTTGGCATTTTGGTTGTTTCAATTTTTTTTGGCTATTAGGAATAATTGCTGCTACAGACATTTGCATATAAGTTTTGTGAGAACTTTTTTTTTTCCTTTTGTGTATATACCAAGGAATAGAATTGCTGGGTCACATGGTAACTCAATGTTTAACTTTTTGAGGAACTGCCAAACTGCTTTCCAAAGCAGCTTCACCAGTAATGTATGAGGGTCCCAATTTCTGCACATCCTGACCAACACTTGTTATTGTTCATCTTTTCGATGATAGCTATCCTGATGAGTGTGAAATGGTATCTTGTTGTGGTTTTGATTTACATTTCCCTAATGACTAATGATGTTGAGCATGCTTTCATGGGCTTCTTGGGTATTTGTATATCTTCTTTGAAGAATATCTATTCAAATCTTTTGCCTATTTTTAAATTGGGTTGTTTGTCTTTCTATTATTGAGTTGTAAGAATTATTGATATATTCTGGACATTAGAACCTTATGAGATGCATGATTTGCAAATATTTTCTTTCATTCTGTAGAGAAGTCTTTTTGCTTTCACTCTAATTCTTCTCATTTTCTTGATAGTGTTTTCTGAAGTAGAAATTTAAACAATATCAATGAAGTCAACTTTATGCTCAACTTTGAGTTATTTATTTATTTATATATTTGGGGGATGGAATCTTGCTCTGTCACCCAGTCTGGAGAGCAGTGGCGTGATCTTGGCTCACTGCAACCTCCACCTCCAGGGTTCAAGTGATTCTCGTGTCTCAGCGTCTCCAGTAGTTGGGATTATAGGCGTGTGCCATCATGCCTGGCGAAATTTTGTATTTTTTTTTTTTTTTTTTTTTTTTAGTAGAGATGGGATTTCATCACATTGGTCAGGCTGGCGTTGAACTCCTGACCTCAGGTGATCCGCCTACCTCGGCCTCCCAAAGTGCTGGGATTACAGGTGTGGGCCACCAAGCCTGGGCTTGAATTAATTTTTAATTATGGTACAAACTATGGATTGATTTTTCTCTCTTTTCTGCCTTCTTTCTCCATCTAATTGACTTGGCACGTTTTTCAAAAGTCAACTGACATGTGTATGTAGGCCTATTTTTGGAAAAAGTCCTGTTACCTTTACCTTCAAAGTACCTTTCAGATTTTTTCCCTTTTCTCTCTCTCTCTTTTATAGAGACAGGGTCTTGCTATGTTGGCCAGGTTGGTCTTGAAATCCTGGCCTCAATAAATCCTCCCATCTTGGCCTCCCAAAATGTTGGGATTACAGGTGTGAGCCACCACACCCTGCCTTTGTCCCCTTTTCTCTATCTCTACAGTACCCTGCCAATCCTGGGCCAACACCTGCCACTTTGGTGGCTGCAGCAGCCTCCTCCCTGGATCCCTTTCCCCACTCTTGTCTTACCCCTAATCCATTGTTCACTCAGCAGTGGAAGGAATTTTTATCAGGTGCTGGTATGCTCAACACCCTTCATTAGCTTCCCACTGCCCTTAGATAAAATGCAAACTTTATGTCATGCTATATGTCTGCATGGTCCTTTACTCAACTTCCTTTCTGATCTCATCATCTGCTACCACATTCTCCCTTGCTCCCTGGCCTCCTTGCTCCCTGTCCTTTTTTGAATTTTTGGAATGCATCCTGCTCCTTCTTACCTCAGGGCCTTTGCACATGCTATTCCCTCTGCCTGTGAAGCTCTTCTCCCCACTTTTGCATTCTTGTGTATCTATGAGTTACTCATATTTCTGTTTCAATATTTCTTTTTCAGCGAAACTGACTCATCTCTTATCCTCCATCTAAATTCAGTCTTTCTCTATTGCCTACCTTCCTGTCTCATTATCTCTAATCATGCTCCACATTGTTAAGCTACTGCTGTGTAACAACAGCAAAAATAGCACAGCATCTCAGTGACATTCAATAGTAAGTATTTATTTCATTCATGGGTTGGTGGCTCAGCTCTCATCCACTTCTTGTTCATCTCCTGGGATCAGCAGGCTAGGCAGGGTATGTTCTCATGGCTATGGCTAAAGTGTAAGAGGGTAAGCCTCCTTGTACAAGCTCATGTAAGATTCTTGCTTATGTCGTGACTACTCACATCTCATGGGCCAAAACAATGCCCAAATTTGCCAAAGTCCATGGATGGGAGGGATTGCAATGTTATATTGAAAAAGCTTGATACATAGAGGGGTGGAGAATTGGAGCCAGTCATTCAACCTACCCCATATCCTTTGCACAGTCACATTAAATAATGAATAACATATTTCTTATTTGATTATTTAATTGTTTATCTCCCTGCTCCATGAGAGCAGGGCATTGCCTACCCTGTTTACTTCTTTATGCCTCAGTGTACTGTACTGAGTGTATGCACTGTACCTGGAATATATTAGATTATCAATATTGAAGTAATTGGTTGGATAAATAAAGGAATGAATGAGGCCGGGCATGGTAGTGCATGCCTGTAATCCCAGCACTTTGGGAGGCCAAGATGGGTGGATTGCTTTAGCTCAGGGGTTCGAGACCAGCTGGGCAAAATGGTGAAACCCCATCTCTACAAAAAACACAATATTAGCCAGACCTGGTGGTGCATGCCTGTAGTCCTAGCTACTCAGGAGGCTGAGGTGGGAGGGTCATTTGAACCCAGGACATTGAGGCTGAAGTGATTCTTAAGCATGCCATTGCACTCCAGCCTGGGTAATAAAGTGAGACTCTATCTCAAAAAAAAAAAAAAAAAAAAAAAAAAGAATGTTTCCGTCTTTCACCCTCCCTCTTTTCTATCTCTGTAAAATGAGAATCATCATCTTCCAATCATTGGGATGTTGGAAAGATTCTGTTTAAATGAGGCTTTATCATCTGGAAGACCCATAGGATTTGGTAGTTCAAAGTCCAGCACAAGCTGAGGGTCGTATCCTGACCCAAGGGTCATGTAAGGGGCCAGCATACCCTCAAGCCCACTCACCAGGGAGCAGCACATCCTGTGGTCCGTCTGTAGGTCAGTGGATTGCATCCAGGCTCCTGGAATCAATGCCCCCAGTCTGAGAGTTCCCAGGTCCCCCTGCAAAACTGACAGCTTGATCCCCATGAAAAGTATCTGCTTATGAGGTCAACTATCATGCCTCACTGGGCCCCCTCACCCCCACTCCCTCTGTACAGGCTACAGACATGCTGTGTAGCAGCATGAAGGATGTCCTTCTCAGTATCATCTGGCTCTGAGTAGAGGGCATATTTATAGGATAGGAAATGTCACACCTATGTTTCCAGTATTTCCTCTATTAAAAGGTACAACCTGCCAGGCTGTGCAAGAAGATTTCTCTGCAGTGGGAACAAGAATTGAGGTGGGGGCCAAACTGGGCATGAGGTTTAGAGGCCAAAGTCCTTCTTCACAGCCTTGGCTCACCTGGGAATAGCCCCTCCTTCCTGCTGGGTAAGGTCAAGGACCTCTCTGACTCAGTCTGTCTACCCATGACCCCTTCATCTGGGCTTGAGGCTCTCATCATCTCTGGTCTTTGCATTATTGCTTATTTTTCCTATCCTGTGGCTTAGGATAATTACCAAATAATTATCAAACAAAATAATTATCAAAGCCAGTCTTTATTGAGAAAACAGTGGGAGCTAGGTGCTGTGCTAGGCCCTTTCATAAGCATAATTCAGTTCTCCCTGCAATCTCAGGAGGTAGACAGCATCAGTATGCTCAGATGAGGAAACTGAGGCTTAGAGAGGTTAAATACTTGTTTGAGGTTATGCTGCTCTTGGTTCCTTCCTATGAAGACTCACACATATTTGGAGCCCAGAACTCCCACCCACTCTAGGGGCCTTGTCCCTCTGTATCCTTGCTCTCCTGGGATTACTGCCCATTATCTTTGGGACTCGGGACAAGATGGTCTTGGGGCTCGGTTCTCCAGAATCCTAGGGCTCCTCTAGCTACTGGGAAGAGGAGGCAGCCCACCTCCAGGGACTGTTTGCAGCAGCGAGCTTGAACTTACTTTATTCATATGTCACAAAGGCAAAGATCCCAGCAGGCTGACAGACTGAGTGTGGGATCTGGATCTCTCAGAAACATACAGCCACCTCTGTTACTATAAAAACAATGTTTTTAGAGGATTTCAGAAAAAAATTCATAATGTGAAAGAAAAAAAGCTATGTGACAAAAAACCATCTGAGAGGCAGCCGTTACCATCTGCTGCCTGTGCAGCTGCTTCTAGGTTGCAGACCACTCCCCCACTTCCTCTGATCTGCCTGGGAAGGGTTTCAAGCCCAAGACTTGTGTATTGGTGTGGACTCAACACATCTGAGTAGGAAGCTCAAGGTACTCAGGCAAAGTGCTTTGAGAGCCCCTATCTTGAGCCAAACCCACCTTTCAGCCATCTTTCCCAGCTCCGCTACTGCATACTCTTGACTTTAACATAGTCACTCCTTAGTTTCTCCATCTGTAAAATGCAGTAATATTTGTGTGCATCATTGGCCCAATAAGTGCAGACACAGGGAATCAGCTCTTGCTTTTGAGTATAAAGGCAAACTCCCACCTGCCTTCAGGTCTTTGGATGACGTGGGTCCTCATTCATTCCCCTGATGATAAGCCGTAGAAAAAGGGGAGATGTATTTTTATGGTCACCATTTGGCGACTTCCTGATATAGGAAGAGGAGGCCACAGAGAGTGAAGATGGTAACAACTTTTCTGGCTGGATCTCCCCTGTCTGGGGGGGGGCTCTTGATGGTTAGCCCAGTTGCAGGGGTGCACACAGTAGGTGAGTTCAAGCAGGCTGAGGATACGCTTCCCCAACAGGGAATTTTCAAAAGACTCAGAACCCAGGCCTAGCTTGTCAACCTGGTGGGGTCTTAGCCTCTGTGACATATAATTCAAATGAGCAGAAACTCCCTTCTGATGGCCTCTGTTCCTTTCTCAGGGTCTGAGGGGCAGGTAGCATGACTGCCTCTACGGCATAGATATGAGAGTTGACCATGGCATGAGTATGTCTACTGAGTGCAGAGTGGAACAGGATCTGACCTCATTCTTAGAGAATCTGAAGCAGAAGTCTTCTAACCTCACAGGAAGGATGGAAGAGTGAGTAGCATGATGCCTGGAAAACTCTCAGCACAAAGATTGTGTCAGAGGATGTGCTTAATGCAGAAGAGCAGTTATTATTATTGCCAATAGCATTGGTTATTATTACTTCTATCATCAACATCAGGAATGACATAGTGAGGAAGAGGTGGCTAGCTGACCTCCAAAAGATCATGCTTCCCCTTTAATAGAATAGGGTTCATGCTGGCAGCTACCCAGACAGGACCTATACCTCTCAGACTCCCTTTCATATCATAGGGATCACATGACTAGTTTTCATTGGTGAACTATGAGCAGAAAGACTTTGGGCTGATTTTAGGCTGAGGAGATTAAGAAGTGAATCTACCTTCTCCACCCTTTCTTCTTCCACCTCCTGTCTAGAAGCAGAGTACTCTGAAGCCATGAGAGTCTGCACTGAGGAGCTGTATGCCTGGATGGCTGGGCCAAGTGGGGCATTTCCCCAGAGTTATCAAAAAGGGGGCTTGGCGAGGAAGCTGAAAAGAAAGGCCAAAGGTTAACTCTAACAAGCTTAGCAAGACCATAGCCAGGATGGTGAGTCCAGAGGAGACTTGGGTGCAGTGAGAAGTGGAGTGCATGTGGTTAGGGTGAATAGTTAAGAATGGAGGCTGAGGTTGAAGACGCATGGAAAGGGAGTGATACCCTCAACGCACCTAAGGTTCACCCTCTCTGCCTAGTGGGGAAGCCTCTTCAAGTTGGATTCAGTTTGGAAGTGAATCTTCCAACCAAAACACTGGGGCACCAAGTCCCTTCCCATGACACTCAGCAGGGAGACACTTGGAACAGATCAAAAGGAAGGAAGAAGAGAGACCCCATTTTTGAGTGAATGAAACTGGAGGCAGGTCCTGTTCAGTGTCTGATGGAAGAGATTGTTCTTGACCCTTTTGACATTGAGAGTAGATATAACTGGAGCCACAGAGATAAAACTCTGCCAAGAGTGAGTGTGATGAGTAGCTGAGTCTGAGAATTTTCTGCAATTGGATTTAATGGAGTTAAAAGCCCTGATGCAAGGCAGAGACTATTCCCATGCAAGAGGTGGGATGGGATATTTACTAAACAACACCAGATCCCGAACATCCTTAATGGCAAACAAGAGTCAGAGAAGTCCTGAACCAGTGGAGACATTCCCTAACCTCTATTTCTTGGGAAGTCACCAATTCCTTAGAAAGGAGCAACTGGGCTACTAAACTGGAAACACTTTGCATTTATTAAAACTGTGGGATTTATAGTTTAACTGGTTAGCAGACTGCATGGAGATCTCATTCAAGATGAGTTTCAACATTCCAGATCCCATTATTGTCCATGTAAAGTTCTGATTTTTTTTTTTTTTTGGAGACAGAGTCTTGCTCTGTCACCCAGGCTGGAGTACAGTGGTGCGATCTTGGCTCACTGCAACCTCTGCCTCCTGGGCTCAAGTGATTCTCGTGCTCCACCCTCCCGAGTAGCTGGGACTACAGGTGTGTGCCACCACGCTTGGTTAATTTTTGTATTTTTAGTAGAGACAGGGTTTTGCCATGTTGGCTAGGCTGGTCTCAAACTCCTGACTGCAGGTGATCCTCAGCCTCCCAAAGTGCTGGGGTTACAGGCGTGAGCCACAACACCTGGCCAAAAGTTCTGAATTAGAGAAGTCCTGTAGGCATTTCTATAGATCAACACTTCACAAAAGTTTTCTTGCCCATAGAACAATAGCTCCATGGGATGTTAATAGGCATTCCAAGGGAATAAATTCTTGGTTAGAAAGTGAGAAGTATGCTGGCTAAATACATTTAACAGCTTTGGTTTCCTTGCAGAACTACTGTTATGGACAGAATGTTTATGTCCCCCCAAAATTCATATGTGGAGATCCTAATCCTCAAAGCAATGGTGTTAGGAAGTTGGGCCTCTGGGAGGTGATTAGGTCATGAGTGTGGAGCCTACATGAATGGAATTAGTGTTGAATGAATGAGACTTCCGAGAGCTCTTTTGCCCTTTCCACTATGTGAGGATACAACAAGAAGTCAGCAGTCTTCACCCTGGAAGAGTCTTCACCAGAACCATGCTGGCACCATGGAAGATCCGGGACTTCCAGCCTGCAGAATTGTGAGAAAAAATTTCTGCTGTACATAAGTCACCCAGTCTATGAAACTTTGTTATGGTAGCTCAAACTAAGATAGTTGCTCAGAGCCTTCAATAAGTTGATGTGCATTGAGGTCTCCACTTGTGGGTCCAGGGGACCTTTTTTTCCTGAACCATGCTGTGAGAGTCTGCTCTGTTTCTCATTCTTTGGGGAGGTGGGCACATCGTATACATACATTGTGCAGACCCTTGCTGGCAGATGCTGGCGCCCAGTGGGGACAGACCAAATCAGCAGCCCTCTTTTGCAAATAGGTCAGAGGTAAGTTCATTCTTGTCCAGGTGCCACGCCAGTTATGAAGGCCTGTCTAGGGTGCTGTGGGAGTGCAGAGGAGAGGGATTAACTCTCTTTGGTGAGGTCAGGGAAGGCCACACTCTGGGGGTCATGATTGTTCTGGGTCTTTAAGGATGAGTAAGATTGTATAAAGCAAGTGGGGGGCAAGGTGCGGTGGGTCACACCTGTAATCCCAGCACTTTAGGAGGCCAAGGGGAGGTGGATCACGAGGTCAGGAGTTTGAGACCAGCCTGGCCAATATGGTGAAACCTTGTCTCTACTAAAAATACAAAAATTAGCTGGGCATGGTGGCACATGCCTATAGTCCCAGCTACTCGGGAGGCTGAGGCAGAAGAATCGCTTGAACGTGGGAGGCAGAGGTTGCAGTGAGCCGAGATCGCGCCACTGTACTCCCGCCTGGGCGACAGAGCGAGACTCCATCTCAAAAAAAAAAAAAAAAGCAAGTGGGGGTGTGGAGGGACATTTCAGACATGGAAAACAGCAGGTGTAAAGGTCCTGGCGGTGTGAAAAAGCAAGGTGCATTTGGAGGAAGTTGAGAAATTCAGTGTGCTTAGAGGGGAGTGTGCTAGGTGTGGCATGTCAGGAAATGAAGGGGAAGAGGCTCAAGTCAAACTGTGAAGGGCCTTGGGTGTTAGGCCAAGATTTGATTCTTGGGCAGGAGGAACCAAGAGAGGATTAAAAGTACAACTCTTACTAATTAATTACAATTGGTGACATGTGCTTATTCACTACAGACCAAATTAGTAAATAGGGCAAATGATGAAAAACAAGCCTCCCTCTCTATTTGTTCTCAGCCTTGAGAACCCTTTTCCTTCTACAGAATCAAATATTGCAAATAATGTCATCCTTCCGAGGGATTCTCTGCATATATAAGCATAGATGTATATGTGTATGTATTCTTAAAAAACTCTCACAAATAGCAGCATTCTAATCACACTGTTTAGCACTTTGCTTTTTTTTTCACTTAACAATATATCTTGGAGATTGTTTCATATCCATACATAGAAAGCTGCCTCATTCTTTTTTAACAGCCATAAAGATTCCCATTGTATGACTCTATTACAATTTATTTAAGCAGTCCCCTCTTGATGGACATTCGGGCTGTCTCCAATCTTCTGTTATTATAAGCCGTGCTGCACTGAATAGCCTTGTACATCCAACTTTGCATACATATATGCAAGTATGTCTGGTGGAATACATTTTAGAGCAGTAGAATTTATGGGTCAATGGGTATGTGCATCAAAAATTGTGAAAGAGAGTGCCAAATTGCCATCCATGAAAACTGTGCCAATTTACACTCCCACCAACCTTTGGGACTGCTGGTTTTTCTACAGTCTGGCCAGCACAGTGTGTGATCAAACATTTTGATCTTTGTCAATCCGATAGGTAAAAATAAAGGTATTTCATTGTAGTTTTAATTGACATTTACATTTTATTAAGATGAAGGTTGAACGTCTTTTTGTCTATTTAGAGGTTAAGTTTCCTAAGCCTGTTCACATCCTTTGCCCATTTTTTATTGGATTGTTGGCCATTTTTCATATTGAGTTATTAGAACGCTAGTATGGTGGCTGTAACTCCCGCCTGTTGGTAAGTTTCCTCCTGCCCATGAACCATTCTATAAGTGTCCCTCCCAGCAGATGCAGCGTGGTATACAAATATCCCTGCTCTGAGGTGAGGAGGCAGCAGTGGCAGCGGCCAGGAAATGGCAGGGGTTAGGAGAATTGGGATTCTGGTTAGCTCTTCCATGCAGACGTGATGAATGGGACGGAGCACTTCTATTCCTTGGCAGAGGAGCAGATCCTTCTTGGAGTCTCTCAGTGGGGTAGGGCCCCCTCCTCCTGCTCCCCACCAGCACTCTTCCTTTTTCCCTGGTTTGATACCACCCTCACTCTTCATGCCCCAGGAGTCCTCTCTACTCAGCTTCCCTTTTCCTAATATTAGCACAGGCTCAGCCCTGCCCCCCGTCACAGGCAGTGATTATATAGCAAATTAACCACAAGCTGTTCGGTCCTAGTCCAGTGGCAGTTGGGAAGATGCTACTCTGAGTAATGACTTGTGTAGTCGATGCTCTCATCTGTAATTTGTGTGTGCAATAAATGCAGAAATAAAAACCCAATCCATATGAAAAAGGGACCAAGTAGATGGAGCCGGGGTGGGGGAAGAAATCATGAATTTTGTGGACTGCATCTTACAGTCTGGCTTCAATTTCCTCTTGAGTAAAGCAGTCTTTGCCTACATTTGATTGATGGCTGTGTTTGGCTAAAGCATGACAGCAGACTGACAGAGAGCAGGGCTTGACTCTTGACTTCTCAAAGGATATCTTTGAGAATGAGACAGTTATTCTCTGAGACTCAGTTTCATCATCTATAAAATGGGGATGATAATATTTATCTCCAGCCACATGTTAAAGAGCCTGGATTCTGAAACAAGGTAAATCCATAGTAAATGAATTTACTTTTCTTTCCTCCATCCCTCCCTTCCTTCTTTCTATCATATATAAGGTAGGTTTTTGTTTGTTTGTTTGTTTTTTGTTTTTTGAGACAGAATCTTGCTCTGTCGCACAAGCTGGAGTGCAATGGTGCAATCTTGGCTCACTGCAACCTCTGCCTCCTGGGTTCAAGTGATTCTCTTGCCTCAGCCTCCTGAGTAGCTGGGATTACAGGCACCCACCGCCAAGCCCGGCTAATTTTTGTATTTTTAGTAGAGACGGGGCTTCACCATGTTGGTCAGGCTGGTCTTGAACTCCTGACCACATGATCCGCCCGCCTTGGCCTCCCAGAGTGCTGGGATTACAGGTGTGAGCCACCACACCCAGCCAGCCAGCCAGGTAGAGGTTTTTAAAATTAAACTTTATTTTGAGACAATTGTTGAATCATATGTAGTTGTAAAAAGTAACAGAGACCCTGTGTATCCTTTACCCATATTCCCCCAGTGGTAACATCTTATTAAACTTAATACAATATCACAATTAGGATATTGACATTGATACAATACAAAGCACTTGTTAATATTTCCCCAGCTTTACTTGTGTTTGTGTGTGTGGGTACTTGGTTATATACCATTTTATTACATGTATGGGTTCGTGTATCCACTACTGCAGTCAAAATATTATACATAAGAGTTGTATTTCCATGAGGATCTCTCATGTTGCCCTCTAATACCAACACCCACCTCCCTCCTGCTCTCCAGCCCCCACTAATCTGCTCTCCATTTCTAAAATTTTGTCTTTTCAAAAATCCTATATAAATAGAATTGTACAGTTATAACCTTTTGGGATTGGCTTTATTTACTTAGCATAATTATCTGGAGCTTCATTGAGGTTGTGTTTATTAATAATTAATTCCTTTTTTATTGCTAAGTACTATTGCATGGTACAGATATACCAGAGCTTGTTTAACCATTTATCTATTGATGTACATCCAGGTTGTTTCC
This sequence comes from Homo sapiens, assembly GCF_000001405.40. NCBI lineage: Eukaryota > Metazoa > Chordata > Mammalia > Primates > Hominidae > Homo > Homo sapiens. The sequence goes on along the minus strand of NC_000020.11, from coordinate 40,924,866 downwards.
AGTTTTTGACTATTACTAATAAAGCTACTATGAACATTCAAGTACAGGTTTTTATACAGTTTTACTTATATGTGAACATAAAGTTTCATTTTTCTGGGATAAATACCTAAGAGTGTAATTGCTGGGTCGTATGGTCATTGTATTTTTTTTTTTTTTGAGGTGCAGTCTTATTCTGTCACCCAGACTGGAGTGAAGTGGCACGAGTAGCTGGGACTACAGGTGCTCGTCACCACACTCGGCTAATTTTATATTTTCAGTAGAGGCGGGCTTTCACCTTGTTGGCCAGGCTGGTCTCGACCTCCTGGCCTCAAGTGATCCACCCTCCTTGGCGGATATTGTAACGTGCAAGATTGCTGTAATCCCAGAGTGCTGGGATTACAGGTGTGAGCCACCGTGCCTGGCAGTATGTTTAGTTTTTATAACAGGCCGCTAAACTGTTTTCCAGAGTGGATGTGCCATCTTATCTTCCCATTAGTAATATGTGAGTGATCCAGTTTCTCTGCGTCTTTGCCAGCATTTGGTGTTGCCACTATTTTTTATTTTAGTCACTCTCATAAGTGTGTAGTGATATCTCATTGTGTTTTAAATTTGCATTTTCCAGTGGCTAGTGATATTGAACATTGTTTCATGTGCTTATTTGCCACCCATATGTACTCCATGGCGAAATGTCTCTCTGTGTTTTTTGCCTATTTTTTAATTTGATTGTTTACTTTTTTACTGGTGAGGTTTTTTATTTTTTCGAGCAGTCTCTCCCTCTTTTTTTTTAAATTACAGCTTTATTGAGATATAATTTACATACCATAAAGTTCATGTATGAACTTTTAAAGTGTATGACTGAGTGGTTTTTAGTATATTCAGCAAGTTGTGCATCTATCATCACTATCTAATTTCAGAACATCTTGTCACTCCAGAATGAAGCCTCATACTCACTAGTAGTCAAATTCCATCCCTCTCTTTCTGCAGCCCCTGGCAACTGCAAATCTATTGTCTGTCTCTGTGGATTTGCCTGTTCTGGGCATTTCATATAAATGGAATCATACAATACATGACCTTTTGTATCTGCTTTTCTTCACTGAGTTTCATCCATGTTGTAGCATGTTTCAGAACTTCATCCCATTTGATGAATGAATATTCTATTATGTGGCTATACCATATTTCGTTGATCTATTCACCAGTGAGTAGACATTTATATTGTTTCCACTTTTTGGCTATTATGAATAATGCTGCTATGAACATTTATGTTTAAATTTTTGGGTTCTCTTTTTTTTTTTTTTTTTTTGAGACAAAGTCTCGCTCTTGTCCCCAGGCTGGAGTGCAATGGCATGATCTTGGCTCACTCCAACATCTGCCTCTCACGTTCAAGTGATTCTCCTGCCTCAGCCTCCTGAGTAGCTGGGATTACAGGTGCCTGCCACCATGCCCGGCTAATTTTTAAAAAAAATATTTTTAGTAGAGATGGGGTTTCACCATGTTGGCCAGGCTGGTCTTGAACTCCTGACCTCAGGTGATCCACCATCCTTGGCCTCCCAAAGTGCTGGGATTACAGGTGTGAGCCACTGTGCCTGGCCAAATTTTTGTGTTTTCAATTCTTTTGCTTATATACCTAGGAGTGGAATTACTGGGTCTTATGATAACCATATGTTTTGAGGAATTGCCAAAATATTTTCTAGAGTGGCTGCACCATTTTACATTCCTACCAGCAATGTATGAGGGTTCCAATTTCTCCAGAGCCTTGCTAACATTTGTTGTTTTTCACATTTTCGATTATAGTCATCCTAGTGGTTACGAAGTAGTATTTCATTGTAGTTTTGGTTTTCATTTCTTTAATGACTAATGATGCTGAGCATCTTCTCATGTGCTTATTGGCCATTTGCATATATTAGAGAAATGTCTATTCAAATTCGTTGCCTGGTTTTAGATTGGCTTATTTGGCTTTTGGGGGTTCAATTTGTAAGTGTTCTTTATACATTCTAAATACAAGCTCCTTGTCAGATACATGATTTGCAAACATTTTCTCCCATCTTATGGGGATTTTTTTGCTTTAATTATAGTGTCCTTTGATGTGCAAAAGTTTTATTTTATTTTATTTTTTGATACTGAGTCTCACTCTGTCACCGAGACTGGAGTACAGTGGTACAATCTTGGCTCACTGCAACCTCTGCCTCCAGAGTTCAAGCAATTCTCCTGCCTCAGCCTCCTGAGTAGCTAAAATTACAGGTGCCCACCATCACGACCAGCTAATTTTTGTATTTTTAGTAGATATGGGGTTTCACCATGTTGCCCAGGCTGGTCTTGAACTCCTGACCTCATGATCTACCCACCTTGGCCTCCTAAAGTGCTGGGATTATAGGTATGAACCACCATGCCTGGCCAAAAGTTTAAAATTTTGATGAACTCCAATTTATTTTTCTTTTGTTGTTTGGGTTTTTGGTGTTATATTTAAGAAACCATTGCCTAATCCAAGGACACAATTTGTTCCTTATGTTTTCTATAAGACTCTTATGAATTTAGCTTTTACATTTAGGTCTCTAATTGATTTTGAATTAATTTTCACGTGGTGTGAGGTAGGGGCCCAATTTCATTCTTTTGCATGTGGATATCCAGTTATCCCAGCACCATTTTTGGAAAAGGCTATTCTTTTCCCATTGAATTGTCATGGTACCCTTCAGGAAAATGAGTTGACCATAATGTGAGAGTTTATTTCTTAATTTCAGAATCCATTTCATTGGTCTATATTTCTATCCTTATGTTAGATCCATAATGTCCTGATTATTGTAACTGTATAGTAAGTTTTGAAATTGAGATGTGAGTCCTCCAGTTTTGTTCTTCTTTTTCAAGATTGTTTTGCCTATTCTTGCATTTCCATGTTTATTTTTTTAGAATCATCTTGTCAAGTTCTGCAAAAAGACAACTGAGACTTTGATAGAAATTACATTGATTCCAGAGATCAATATGAGGAGTATTGTCATCTTAACAATATTACTTCTTATAATACATGAATGTCAGGTATCTTTCCATTTTTTTTTTACATCTTTCCATTTATTTACATCTTTTTTTCAATGATGTTTTGTGGTTTTTGGTGTAACTTCTCTTGTCAAATTTATTCTTAAGTATTTTATTCTTTTTGATGCTATTGTAAAAGAAATTGTTTTCTTAATTTCATTTTTGGACCATACATTTCAAGTGTGTAGAAATACAGTTGATTTTTGTATCCTGATCTTGTAACCTGCAAGATTGCTGAACTCCTTAATTAGTTCTAACAGTTTCTTTCTTTCTTTTCTTTTTCTTTTTCTTTTTTTTTGAGACAAGGTCTCACTCTGTCATCTGGGCCAGAGTGCAAGGGTGTAATCTTGGCTTATTGCCACTTTGGCTCCCAGGCTCAATTGATCCTCCCACCTCAGCCTCCCAATTAGCTGAGACTAGAGGCATGCACCACCACACCTGGCCAATTTTGTTTATTTCTTGTGTGTGGGGGGGTCTCACTATGTTGCCAGGCTGGTCTTGAACTCCTGGACTCAGATGATCCTCCCACCTTGGCCTCCCAAAGTGCTGGGATTACAGGCATGAGCCACTGTGGCCAGCCTCTAACAATTTCTTTAGCGGACTCCTTAGAATTTTCTCTCTACATAAGATCATGTCATTTGTGAATGGAGATAGTTTTACTTCTTCCTTCCCAATCTGGATGTCTTTTTTTTTCTTGTCTAATTGCTCTGGCTAGAACCTGTAGAACAATGTTGAACAGAAGTGGCAAGAGTGGAAATTCTTATTTTATTCCTGATCTTAGGAGAAAGCCAGCCAATCTTTCACCATTAAGTATCATTAAATATATTGTTAGCTGTGGATTATTAAAAAAAATAGATGGCCTTTATCAGGTTGAGAAAGTTCTCTTGTATTTCTAATTTGTGAAGTATTTTTTTAAAAATCATAATAAGGTACTGGATTTGTCAAATGCCTTTTCTGTATCTATTAAGACCATCATGTGATTTTTGTCCTTTATTCTACTAATATGGTGTATTACACTGATTGATTTTTGTACATTAAGCCAATCTTGCATTTCTGAGATAAATGTCACTTGGTTACATGTTGCTGAATTTGGTTTGCTAGTATTTTGTTGAAAATTTTTGTTTTTTATGGTTGAATTTTGAGAGTCCTTTATATACTTCAGACACTAGTCCTTTTAGGTAGGGTTTTTGATTCCAAGCTAAACTGAGCAAACTCTGGTTAATCTAAACAAAACCAGGAATTTTTTGCAGCATGTGAGGTCAATAGGTTTGGTTCTGGGGATAGAGTCCAGTTAATCATGGGTTAATGACCAATTGGCTCAAGGGTCCACTGACCTTTCTGTTCTTGCATCACCTATTCTAGGCTCAAAGTTCTGACAATAAGCCTGATTGGCTCAGGTGGGGTCATGTGACCAGGACAGGTGGGACATCTTGAATGACAGTCCCGGAAATATTGCACAAAAAGAGGACGATTTCCCAAGGCAAGTTTGGTTGCTGCTGTCAAGAGAAATGGGTACTTGGCAGGGCCTGTCCAGTAGAAAAATATCTCTGATTCTGAGAGGCACACCATGAAAGAGTCAGCATCTCATAGTAGTTGAGGTTATGGTCTTTGAAATCACTGAACTTAGTTTGCATCCTGGTAGTGCCATTACTGTTTGAGATACCCTAAGTGAGGAACTAGGTCCCACTGTGCCTCATTTTGCTCAACTATACACTTTATAGAGGCTTCATCGTAGGGTTGTTATAAAGGTTGAATGACCTAATAAATGTAAAGAGTTTTGCATAGCATGTGGTGCAAAATGAGGTGCTGAGTAAATGGTAGCTGTGATTAATACTTTTATTTTATTGTATTATTATTATTTTTTGAGAGGGAAATTTGCTCTTATCCCCCAGGCTGGAGTGCAATGGTGCAATCTTGGCTTACTGCAACCTCCACCTCCTGGGTTCAAGCAATTCTCCTGTCTCAGCCTCCTGAGTAGCTAGGATTGCAGGCTCCTGCCATCACACCTGGCTAATTTTTGTTTTTTAGTAGAGATGGGGTTTTACCATGTTGCCCAGGTTGGTCTCAAACTCCTGACGTTACGTGATCTGGCTGCCTTGGCCTCCCAAAGTGCTGGGGTTACAGGTTACAGGTGTGAGTCACCGTGCCCAGCCACAGCTGTGATTAATAATTTTAAAATATTTTTACAGTATAGTAAATAACTAGGGGCTGGGGAGAGATGTCCACACTATGTCCTATGTCGGCAGAGGGGATGGTATCAGACAGGGCTTCCTGGATGTGGCAGGCTTTGAAGGTTTGGTGGATTTGGAGGAGGTCGTAGAGGCTTTTGCTGGAAATAAAGAGTGGTTTTAGCCAAAAATAGGTAGAAAGAATTCCAGGTAGTATCAAGGATTCAGGACCTCTGCCCTCCATGTTCTTTATCATGTGGATCCTATGGGACTGAAATATGGCCTTCCAATTGGGATCACTGACTCTTATAGCCAAAATTATGCTGTGTCCCAAATAGTCCCCCCACTGGAATCTAGCCCTAGCCCTTTTTTTTTAAAAAAATAAAGCTGACCCTAAGCGTCATGGAGGGACTAGGAACTTGGCATTCATCTCAGCATAGGGCCAGTGGGAATTTATTTCCCTTTCATATAATATTGAATGCTTTTTAATTATAAAATTAATATTTTTTCACAGAAATTATGGACTATATAGAAAAGTATGAAGAAGAGAATACACATTACCTGCAAATCTGCCACCCAGAGAACATGGCTACTAACATTTGGAAAACATCTCTCCTATCCCATAAACATCTCTGTGTGTGTTTGAAAACAATCATGATCATATTGTACATATGATTTTGTGCTTGTTTTTTTTCACTTAATAATATATCATGATCATTTTCTCATATCCTAAGTCATTCCCTTTTTTTTTTTTTGAGACAGAATCTTGCTCTGTTGCCCAGACTGGAGTGCAGTGGTGCAATCGTGGCTCACTGTAGCCTCATCCTTCCAGGGTCAATCAATCCTCCCATCCCAGCCTCCCAAGTAGCTGGGACTACAAGCATGCAACACTATGCTTGGCTAATTTTAAAATTTTGTGTAGAGTTGTAATCTCATTATGTTGCCCAGGCTGTTCTAGAAATCCTAGGCTCCAGTGGTCCTCCCACCTCAGCCTTCCAAGGTGCTGGGATTATAAGTGTGAGCCATCATGCTTGGCCCCTAAATCATTCTTTATGACGGTGATTCTTAATGGTTACAAAGTGGTCTTACTGCATGTATATATCATATATCATTTAAACCAATTGTCTATTATTGGACACTGAAGTCATCTCCAATTTTTTATTACGATATTGCAATAAATATTTTGGAGTACAAATGTTAGCAACTGTCTGGTTATTTCCATAAGATAAATTATTTTAAGTTAAGCTGGGCATTTTTAAATTTAAAAATTGTTTTTTACATTCCCACCGATAGAGTGCAAGGGCCCAATTTCTCCACAATTTTGTCAATACTTGCTATTTTTTCAATTTTTTGGATAATAGCCATTGTAACAGGTGTCAAGTGATATCTCATTGTGGTTTTAGTCTGTATTTTCCTAATGCTTAGTGATGTTGAGCACCTTTTCATATACCTGTTGGCCATTTGTATTTCTTCTTGAGAGAAATGTCTGTTCAAGTCCTTTACCTTTTTTTTTTTTTTTTGATGGAGTCTCACTCTGTTGCCAGGCTGGAGTGCAGTGGTGCAATCTCGGCTCACTGAAACCTCTGCTTCTTGAGTTCAAGCGATTCTCCTGCCTCAACCTCCTGAGTAGCTGGGACTACGGGTACGCGCCACCATGCCTGGCTAATTTTTTTTTTTTTTGTATTTTAATAGAGACGGGGTTTTACCATGTTGGCCAGGATGGTCTTGATCTCCTGACCTCATGATCTGCCCTCCTCAGCCTCCCAAATTACTGGGATTACAGGCGTGAACCACCGCACCCGGCTGCTGCTCATTTTTCAGTTGTACTATTTTTTTTCTGTTGAGTTATAAGAGTTCTTTATATATTTTGGAAATAAACCCCTTCTCGGATATATGGCTTGGAAATATAGTCTCCTATTCCATAGATTGCTTTTTCACTCCATTGGTTGTTTCCTTTACTGGGCAGAAGTTTTAAATGTGATGTAGTCCAACTTTTCTATTTTTGCTTTTGTTGCCTGCGCTTTTGGTGTCATAGCCATGAAGTCATTGCCAAGACCAATGTCATGAAGCTTTCCCCCTATGTTTTCTTCTAGTTTTTTTTTTTTTTAATTTTTATTTTATTATTATTATACTTTAAGTTTTAGGGTACATGTGCACAATGTGCAGGTTAGTTACATATGTATACATGTGCCATGCTGGTGTGCTGCACCCATTAACTCGTCATTTAGCATTAGGTATATCTCCTAAAGCTATCCCTCCCCCCTCCCCCCACCCCACAACAGTCCCCAGAGTGTGATGTTCCCCTTCCTGTGTCCATGTGTTCTCATTGTTCAATTCCCACCTATGAGTGAGAATATGCGGTGTTTGGTTTTTTGTTCTTGCGATAGTTTACTGAGAATGATGATTTCCAATTTCATCCATGTCCCTACAAAGGACATGAACTCATCATTTTTTATGGCTGCATAGTATTCCATGGTGTATATGTGCCACATTTTCTTAATCCAGTAGTTTTACAATTTCAAGTCTTTATGTTTAAATCTTTAATTCATTTTGAGTTTATTTTTTATGGTATAAAATAGGGGTCCAATTTCATCCTTTGACACATGGATATCCTGTCTTCCCAACACCATTTATTGGAAAGATAATCTTTTCCTCATTGTGTATTCTTGGTGCTCTTGTCAAAGATCAGTTGATGTCATTTTGAAAAGTTAATACATACACATGGTTAAAACAATCCAAATGATTCAAAAAAGTATTCGTTAAAAGTAAATCTTGTTTTCATTCTTCATACCAGTTTCTTATGTTCACTTCCCAGAGGCAATCAATATAACCAATTTCTTGTGTATTGCTTCATAAGCACACATATATGAATAAGAAAAGCACGTTTATATATCTATCTACTTTGTCTTACTATCCTCTATACATCTTCAGCACTTTCTTTTTTTTCACTTCACATTATATCTTGGAGATCATTCCTTACTACTTCTTGTTCTATAGCCACTCTATATTGTAAAACTGCTGCATAGCATTTCTTTGCATGAATGTACCATAATTTATTTAAGAAAATTTGTAGTGGTGGATATTTAGTTTATTCACAAATTTTGCTAACAAACACTTTAATGACTAACTTTATATATACATCTTTGCACTCATACATATCTGTGGAGTAAATATCAGAAGTGAAACTGCACAGCTAAAATTGAATACACAATGCCAAAATGCCTTCCAAGAGTGAGCATGTATTTCCAACAACTCTTTTAGTGTCTGTTTCCCCCCATTCTTACTGATGGCATGTTATTAGACGTTTTGATCTTTGCCCATATGATTGATAAAAATAGATTTTTAATTGTGGTTTTAATTTGTAGCTGAGTGAGGTTGATCACTCTTTCATGTTTTTAAAAGCCATTTGAATTTCTTTTTCTGGGAACTTTCTGTGTAATGGAGACATTAGTCCTCCTTTATATGGCCTGTATTTTTCCCCAACTTCGTTAGTCTTCGTTTTTCTGTCTGCCATGCAGAGACTTACATTTAAAAAATGTGGTAAAATCTCTCAATCTTTTTTTACTCCATCGTTTCTGGATTTTGTGTCCCGAAGGTGACACAAAAGGCCCTTTCCTATCCTGGCAATTCCAAAAAGTTATCCCACATTTTCTTCTAGTACTAATCTGATTTCATTGTTTCATGCTTAAAAATTTTGATACATCTGGTATTTATTTTGGTACAAAGGATGAGGAAGGGATCCAACTGCTATTTTCCAAATGTCTAGCCAGTTTTTACAACCGAGTAACCCTAGAATGGGTAATTTCTAGAGATTGCTTGAGTCTACTTTGTAATCCCAGTGGCCAAAGGAAACTAGCAGCACCAGCATGGGATCATTTGGGACCATCAGGTGAGACTCACCTCACTGCCTTTTGCAAAGGGAATCTGGGCAGTTAGACTAGGGGGAGGTTGCAGCAAAGTGTCTCTAGGTTTTAACACTGGATCAAGCAGGATCGTCAAAAATATTGTGGAAGGATAATATTGTTTAGAACTGTGCAGAATTGCTCTTTTAAAGTTATATTGTAGAGTTATGCCCTTGATTTCTTCTGTGGATACTACAAGACCCAGTCTTATGGAATTCTCTGGCTACATTATTACCCCAAAGGGCTGTTTTGAGGGCACTGTTTAACATAGTGGTGCTCAATTAGATTTTTTTTTTTTTTTTTTTTTGTAGAGATGGGGTCTCACTCTGTCGCCCAGGCTGGTCTTGAATTCCTGAGGTCAAACCATCCTTGTGCCTTGGCCTCCCAAAGTGCTGGGATTATAGGTGTGAGCCACTGCAAAAGGCCTGGAGTTTTAAATTTTTATTTATTTATTTTTTCAAAAGTATATCATTTATTTGCAAGATAGATCACAATTAAATTTTATAGTTAAAAAGATATAAAACAGAAGGCAAACTATTGTTATCTATAAATAAAAAAAGAAGCACTGAAGAAAAACATGTTTTCACATTGTTACACTTTAAAAAACATGATGTGGAGAGTAAGCCCCTTGCAGTGCATCATGTTTGAAAGGTTCCTGGGAGATCTTCCCACTGAGGATGTGGCCCATCAGGTGGGGTTACTTGACATAATCCAGGATGGCTAGTTACATCTGAATTTCAGATAAAAAAGAATATAATTTTAGTATAAGTATATCCAAATGTTGCCTGGGAAATACTTACATTAAAATATTATTCATTTTAAAAAATGTGAAATTCAAATTTAACTGGGCATTCTGAATTCTTGTTAAATCTAGCAATAGCAAACCCCAGGATACATCTGACAGTATCTGGAGGCATTTTTGGTTATTACAACTTGAAGAGGGTTCGCTATTGGTATCTGGTTAGTATAGACTAAGGATGCTGCTAAATATCTTATGATTCATAGGGCAGCCCCCACACAAGGAATTATCTAGCCCAAAATGTCAGTACTGGTTTAACATATTTATTGTAGTCTTCTATTTACAACTCTCTAGTACAAAATTTCCTTTAGAATAAAATTGGAAGAAACCCTAAGATTCCCCCAAAGAACTGGCATTTCTGAAAATTCTTTTATTAATAACAGCTAGAAAAGAACTAAGTAACCAATTTTATTTCCCTTTTCACGTTGACTATCAGGAAACTCAGACCAACTTAAAGGCCCAAGCATAAAGACTGTGGCATCTTACATGTTGCATATATATTTAGTTTTTCCTTTTGGTCTTGATATTCTAGCCTGATTTGCATTTCCCTGGTCCGAATTCTTGTTCTTTATTCATTTTCCACATTTCTTGTACATCATTCAAATCCTTTGTGGGGTAAAATGGGACACACGCACACAGACACACATAAATAAATGCATTTGCATAAATATTTAAACATATATTTTGCCACGCATTTGACGTGGTCTTACTGTGTCCTTGGGAACCACGTAGAAAAATGAGGGCTGCCCAGTCTCTTCCGCAACAGCCTGCCGATCTCAGGAAATGCCTTTGCTCTGATTTTCTCTTTTACCTTCAGGCCCAGGCCTGAGAACACCTGAAATGGTTGGGCTTCGAAAACCAGAACTGCCGTGAGACTGAACTCTGGGCACTGGGAGAGTGGACATTAGCTTCTTCCACCTTGATGGTGGGAGGCAACCCAAGTCCTTCCTCCTGACCAGAAAGTGAGGTCACTCTGCAAAGGCCAAGCTAGCAGGGCTGTGTGAGGCGCTGTGGCGGCCCACGCAGACACATACTGGGAACGAACGAGATTGCATCTTCCCCCGGACCAGCGAGATTCTATAAACATAATCAAAATGTAATAGAAACTTTTTGGAAATGCTGTTATGAGGAGAAAGCATCAATCTTGATGGAACTCCGCTCAACAGGCTTTGCGGAGCTAATCAATCATGGTCAGGACTCGGCCTCCCCATCTGTCTGCGCCGGGGACCGAGCAGAGCTTGCTCACTCCCCGGCTGGGGCTGCGTCCCCTCACCAGGCAATCCATCATGCTGCAGGGGCATGGTGGGAGGGGAATAATAGCACGCTAATAAACTAAGGGCTTTTTTCATTCCCAACTAATTTTTAGTAAATGAGCCCAATCCAGGCAGAGCAGGAAAAGAGCCCGAGGAGATGGTGCTTCTAAGATGCGCCTCGCTGGTTGGGGACAATGGCTCATGGGCCCGAGGGGAAGCAAAGAGCCAGCTTCCCCCGCCCAGGGACGACTTTCTCAGCGTTCAGCGGAAGGAAGAACTGGACCGGGAGACACAGGAAAGAAGAGTCCGGAATGACTTCTGGACTGGTGGCATGGACTTCCGGGTCACTCCTAGGGCCGATGCTAAGGTCGCGGCTACTGTGCCTGGCCCTGGTTTGGAACGTGAAAGTGAATGGGAATGTGGTTTGCTAGAAAAGCCCAAAGCCAGCGTATTAGGTCCAAGCAATGGGTAACATGAAATGAGCCAAGTCAGAAGCCAAGAAGGAAAGCAAGACTAGTGAGCAGGCTGGGCTAGGGACAGGGGCTGTGAATTATTAGAGGTGCCCAGAGCCCATTTTCTTTTCTTTCTTTTTTTTTTTTTTTTGACGGAGTTTTGCTGTTGTCTCCCACGCTGCAGTGCAGTGGCGTGATCTCGGCTCACTGCAACCTCTGCATCCCTGTTTAAAGAGATTCTCCTGCCTCAGCCTCCTGAGTAGCTGGGATTACAGGTGCCCACCACCACGCCCAGCTAATTTTTTGTATTTTTAGTAGAGACAGGGTTTCACCATGTTGGGCAGGCTGGTCTCAAACTCCTGAGCTTAGGTGATCTGCCTGCCTCACCCTCACAAAGTGCTGGGATTACAGGCCTGGCCCAGAGCCCATTTTCATCCGGCAGTAGCTGCCCTGGGAGTGAAACTTACAGGATATAGAAAGGACCCAGACTGGGGTATTCTTAAAGAGACCTGTGATTTGAGAGACCATGTCTGTTTTGCTTACCCTTCTATCTCCAGCACTTTGCTTAACGCGCAGCACAGAGTAGGAACTCAGAGATATTTGTTACGTGCGTATATGAATGAGAATTGGCTCCGAGATAGTAGATTTTGAAGATCTGGTCTCATAACTTTCTTAAATTCTTTAACTTTAGGCTCTTATCCTGAAATCCATCACACATCCTGTCCCTGGATGTTTCCCTTCCAGGACACTGTCTTGAATATGGATGGAAGGACAGCTTTGGAAAGGGTGAATGTATTTGGCATCTACAGCTATGTAATTATCCTCAGGGAGCCACCGTGGCTCATGCCTGTAATCCCAGCACTTTGGGAGGCCGAGGCAGGTGGATCACCTGAAGTCAGGATGTGTCCAGAATTGGTGGGTTCTTGGTCTCACTGACTTCAAGAATGAAGCCGTGGACTCTCGCGGTGAGTGTTACAGCTTTTAAGGTGGCGCGTCTGGAGTCTGTCCCTTCTGATGTTCGGATGGGTTCGGAGTTTCTTCCTTCTGGTGGGTTCGTGGTCTCGCTGGCTCAGGAGTGAAGCTGCAGACCTTCGCGGTTAGTGTTACAGCTCTTATGGTAGCGCGTCTGGAGTTGTTCGTTCCTCCCGGTGGGCTCGTGGTCTCGCTGGGCTCAGGAGTGAAGCTGCAGACCTTTGCGGTGAGTGTTACAGCTCTTAAGGCAGCGCGGACCCAAAGAGTGACCACTAGCAAGATTTATTGCAAAGAGCAAAAGAACAGACCTTCCACAGTGTGGAAGAAGACCTAAACAGGTTGCCAATGGTGGTTCGGGCAGCCTGCTTTTATTCTTTTATCTGGCCCCACCCACATCCTGCTGATTGGTAGAGCCGAGTGCCCTGTTTTGTCAGGGTGCTGATTGGTGCGTTTACAATCCCTGAGCTAGATACAAAGGTTCTCCACGTCCCCATCAGATTAGTTAGATACAGAGTTTGGATACACAGGTTCTCCAAGGCCCCACCAGAGCAGCTAGATACAGGGTGTCGATTGGTGCATTCACAAACCTTGAGCTAAACACAGGGTGGTGATTGGTGTATTTACAATCCCTGAGCTAGATATAAAGACTCTCCGCATCCCCACCAGACTCAGGAGCCCAGCTGGCTTCACCTAGTGGATCCCGCACTGGGGCTGCAGGTGGAGCTGCCTGCCGGTCCCGCGCCATGTGCTTGCATTCCTCAGCCCTTGGGTGGTCGATGGAACTGGGCGCCATGGAGTAGGGGGTGGTGCTTGTTGGGGAGGCTCGGGCCACACAGGAGCCCATGGAGTGGGTGGGAGGCTCAGGCATGGCGGGCTGCAGGTCTGGAGCCCTGCGCCGCGGGAGGGCAGCTACGGCCTGGGGAGAAATCGAGCACAGCGCCGGTGGGCCGGCACTGCTGGGGGACCCAGTACACCCTCCGCATCCACTGGCCCGGGTGCTAAGTCCCTCATTGCCCGGGGCCAGCAGGGCTGGTGGGCTGCTCCGAGTGCGGGGCCCGCCAAGCCCACGCCCACGCGGAACTCCAGCTGGCCCGCAAGCTCCGCACGCAGCCCTGGTTCCCGCTCGCGCCTCTCCCTCCACACCTCCCTGCAAGCTGAGTTCCCTCAGAAGGACACCACAAGTGCAGGGCCCCTCCTTCGCCCCTATGCAGCAGGAAGTAGCTAGAGCGGTCATCAGCCAAATTCCCAACAGCAGTTGGGGTGTCCTGTTTAGAGGGGGGATTGAGAGGTGACAGCATGCTGGCAGTCCTCAGAGCCCTTGCTTGCTCTTGGCACCTCCCCTGCCTGGGCTCCCACTTTAGCGGCATTTGAGGAGCCCTTCAGCCCCCCGACTGCACTGTGGGAGCCACTTTCTGGGCTGGCCAAGGCTGGAGCCCGCTCCCTCAGCTTGCAGGGAGGTGTGGAGGGAGAGGCGCGAGCGGGAACCAGGCCTGCGTGCGGCGCTTGCGGGCCAGCTGGAGTTCCGGGTGGGCGTGGGCTTGGCGGGCCCCGCACTCGGAGCAGCCGGCCAGCCCTGCTGGCCCCAGGCAATGAGGGACTTAGCACCTGGGCCAGTGGCTGTGGAGGGTGTACTGGGTTCCCCAGTAGTGCCAGCCCACCGGCGCTGTGCTCGATTTCTCGCCGGGCCTTAGCTGCCTTCCCTCGGGGAAGGGCTTGGGACTTGCAGCCTGCCATGCCTGAGCCTCCCACCCACTCCATGGGCTCCTGTGCGGTCCGAGCCTCCCTGACGAGCACCACCCCCTGCTCCACGGTGCCCAGTCCCATCAACCACCCAAGGGCTGAGGAATGCGAGCGCATGGCACGGGACTGGCAGGCAGCTCCACCTGCAGCCCCAGTGCGGGATCCACTAGGTGAAGCCAGCTGGGCTCCTGAGTCTGGTGAGGACATGGAGAGTCTTTATATCTAGCTTGGGGTTTGTAAACACACCAATCAGCACCCTGTGTCTAGCTCAAGGTTTGTGAGTGCACCAATCGACACTCTGTATCTAGCTGCTCTGGTGGGGCCTTGGAGAACCTTTATGTCTAGCTCAGGGATTGTAAATACACCAATCGGCACTCTGTATCTAGCTCAAGGTTTGTAAACACACCAATCAGCACCCGGTGTTTAGCTCAAGGTTTGTGAGTGCACCAATCGACACTCTGTATCTAGCTGCTCTGGTGGGGCCTTGGAGAACCTGTGTGTCGAAACTCTGTATCTAACTAATCTGATGGGGACGTGGAGAACCTTTGTATCTAGCTCAGGGATTGTAAACGCACCAATCAGCACCCTGACAAAACAGGCCGCTTGGCTCTACCAATCAGCAGGATGTGGGTGGAGCCGGATAAGAGAATAAAAGCAGGCTGCCCGAGCCAGCATTGGCAACTCGAGCCAGCATTGGCAACCCACTCGGGTCCCCTTCCACACTGTGGAAGCTTTGCTCTTTTGCTCTTTGCAATAAATCTTGCTAGTGCTCACTCTTTGGGTCCATGCTGCCTTTATGAGCTGTAACATTTATCGCGAAGATCTGCAGCTTCACTCCTGAGCCCAGCGAGACCACAAGCCCACCAGGAGGAACGAACAACTCCAGACACGCTGCTTTAAGAGCTGTAACACTAACCGCGAAGGTCTGCAGCTTCACTCCTGAGCCAGCGAGACCACGAACCCACCAGAAGGAAGAAACTCTGAACCCATCTGAACATCAGAAGGGACAGACTCCCGACGCGCCACCTTAAGAGCTGTAACACTCACCGCGAGGGTCCGCAGCTTCATTCTTGAAGTCAGTGAGACCAAGAACCTACCAATTCCGGACACAAGGAGTTCGAGACCAGCCTGGCCAACATGGCGAAACCCCCATCTCTGCTAAAAATACAAAAGTTAGCTGGGCATTGTGGCGGGTACCTGTAATCCCAGCTACTTGGGAGGCTGAGGCTGGAGAATCACTGGAACCTGGGTGGTGGAGGTTGCAGTGAGACGAGATTGCGCCACTGCACTCCAGCCTGGGTGGCAGAAAGGGACTCCATTAAAAAAAAAAATTATCCCCAAATGAAATGGGTTTAACTAACAAAAAACATATATTATCTCATAGTTACTGTTGTCAGGGGTTCAGTGGCTGTTTTGTCTGGACTGTTCCCAGGCCTGGTGAGGCTTTCTGGAGATGTGGTCTTCAGTTCCACATCAGGAATTTACAGATGGCTGCAGATTTTTTGACAGTCCTCATTAAGAGGTGGGGTCTGTTTCCCCTCTTCCTTGAAGCTGGGCTGGCCCCTAAATGTTTTGACCAATAGAGTGTTGAAGAAGGGATGCCATGCCAGTTCTGGGCCTTTTTTTTTTTTTTCTTTTCAAGACAGAGTCTCACTCTGTCGCCTAGGCTGGAGTGCAGTGGTGCGATCTCGGCTCATTGCAACCTCCGCTTCTCGGGATCAAGCTATTCTCCAGCTTCGGCCTCCCGAGTAGCTGGGACAACAGGTGTGTGCCACCATGCCCAGCTAATTTTTGTATTTTTATTAGAGATGAGGTTTCATCATGTTGGCCAGGATGGCCTTGATCTCTTGACTTTGTGATCTACCCACCTCGGCCTCCCAAAGTGCTGGGATTATAGGCATGAGCCACAGCACTCGGCCGTTTTTAAAAAGACTGGCCGCTTCTACTTTGGTCTCCTGGAGCCTGAGATGCCGCATGTGATGTCTGACCATGCTGTTGGATATGCTGGACAGACCAGAGTCTACATGCAGAGGGGAGACACCCAGCTGAGCCTAGACTCCTGGCTCCTGCCAAAAGGCACATATGTGAATGATGCTGTCTTGAACACTTCAGCCCAGCCCAGCTGCTGGCTAAATACCACTGAGTGAGCATAGTCAGTGCCACAGAGGAGAAAAATGGCCTAAAAATCATGAGACATAATAAATGGTTGTTGTTTTAAGCCAGTAAGCACTGGGGTCATTTACTTTGCCCCAAAAGATAATTGGAACACCCGGACTCCAAGGAAAAATTGTGGATTGTTTCTGGTGCAAGTGCATATTCTGTGTTTGAACAATTTCTGCAATTATTTTTCCTAGATGTCATTCAGTCTTATTTAAATACCTTGAGGGGGAGGGCAATTATTACTTCTGGATTTATTCCATTTAATAGTGGAATGGTTATGGCTTTCCTCCATTCTTCCTTCTCTCTCTTCGTCCTCTCTTCTCCTTGCCTGTCTCCTCCCTGAATATTTACTGGGGAGAGAATCAGAGAATGGCTCCCAGAGGAGGTGATGCCTGAGCTGGGTCTTGATTGGAGTGTAGGAGTTGAGCAGGAACATTGGAAAGAGCTCATTCTAGGCAGGGCATGTGCAGAGGCAGGGCTGGTTCTGAGAGTGCATGGTGTGGGAGGTGGGCAATAGCGGGACTTGAAGTGAGAGGAGAGGGCGTTGTGACTGTATCATCATAGGCTTTAATGTCATTCAGGAGTTTATGCTTTATGGCCAGGCTGGACAGAAAGAGATTTCCCTTTTAGAAGCCACCTTCCGGATACTGTGGGGATGGTCAGTGTAGTAGCAGGAAACCAATTAAGAGGTTGCAGTTGAAAGAAAGTGGCAGCTTGGACTGTGGTGGAGGCAGAGGAGTTGCAAGAAAGTGGATGGTTTGGGAAGTGTAACACGCGTTTGCTGCATTACATGATAATATGTAATTCTTTTATAAAGGATAAGAAAAGCAAATAGGATGGATGAACCTCCTAAGAAGTGTTCAGCATAGATGGTTCATAAGCTAGGAGCTTATGAAATAGAGACAAAATTTAGAGGAAGTGTTAAGCATACACAACTCAGGCAGAATTCATAAGGTATGTTAAATGTGTTGATAGATAGTAAGAATGTTAGTAACTTACTAATCATAGATAGATTAAATGACTTCTATGGCAAAACAAATAAGAGTGTTGTAAATAGAAATGGGTGAAAAGACCAAGTTGTGATGGTGTCACTGCTAGTCTGACAGCTAGGTCGTCCCTAAATTGGCCACCCACTGGAGTCACCAATCCTAGTCTCATTCTGGCCCTACGTATGTTCCATCCAAGAAATGCAGATAAAGCCCTTGGCTGTATGGCAGGCTAGTGATCAAACTACAGCAGTGGCCAAGACTGTGTATTTTTCTAGGTCTCTCCAGTCCAGTAGAGTTGTGTGTGATTGGCCCCGGGCATCTTTATCTGTTGGATGCTCCCTTGCTCAAACCTCAACACTGCTCCTCCAAATCCATACTTCAGCAGGGCAGGCTGGTGTGTGTGTGTGTGTGTGTGTGTGTGTGTGTATGGGGAGGGGGACAAAGAAAGAGAGGGAGAGAGAGAAACAGGACACATGAATGTTGCATACCCCAGGGATCCAGGATCATTTGTTCCTTCCACTTACTTGTGTGTACCCAATTCTAAATGAGCCAACCAACCTTATCATTTTTTTCTTGATTTTTTTTGAAACAGGGTCTTGCTCTTTCACTCAGTCTGGAGTGGAGTGGTGTGATCATAGCCCACTGCAGCCTCAATTTCCCAGGCTTAAGTAATCTTCCCACCTTAGCCTTCTGAGTAGCTGGGACTACAGGTATGTGCCACCATACCTGGCTAATTTTTCTTTTTTTTTTGTAGAGAAAGGGTCTCTACTATGTTGCCTAGGCTGGCCTTGAACTCCTGGACTCAAGTGATCTTTCTGCCTCAGCCTCCCAAAGTGTTGACATTACAGGTATGAGTCACCATGCCCTGCCTCCTTGATTTTGTTTGACTTTGGGTTTTAATTGGTTAATGAATGGTGTGAGTTGAGCATCTCAATTTAGTCTGTGAGGTTTTCAGTTCCATGGCCTCTGATTTAGTTACCTGATGGTGTTCTTAGGGGTCACCATTGCATCAAGGTAATTTTCCATGAGACAGGAAGACATTTAGAAGGAAGACTTGCCAAGACTTGCTGATGGATTGGATGTGGAGGGGGAATGCTGAGAGGAGGAGAAAGAGCCCCAGGTGATACCCAGGTTTTTGGCATATGGGTGAGTGGAATGGCAATCATCTGAAGGAGTTGGCTTGGGGAGACCATGATAGGTTCCACATTAGTTATCTGTTGCTCTATTATAATATTATTACACACTTAGTAGTTTAAAACAATACATTTATTATCTCAGAGTTTCTCTGGGTCAGGAGTCAGGGCATGGCCTAGCTGGGCCCTTTACACTGGGGTCTCACAAAGCTGCAATCAAGGGGTTGGTTAGGGCTGTGGTCTCATGTGAAGCTTGACTGGGGATGGATGCACTTCTGGGTTCATGTGTTTGTTGGCAACATTCAGTTCCTTGCAGGCTGCTTACTGAGGGCCCAGTTTCTTGCTGGCCCCTTTGCTGGCTGTCATCTACAGGTTACTTTAATTCCTTGCCATGTGGCCCTCTCCATAGGCAGCACATAACATGGCAGCCTTGTTCTTCAAATCCCACAGGGGAGAGAGTCTCTTAGGAAGATAGGCATTACAATCTGATGCAACACAGTCATGCACATGCAATCACACATATACCATTACCGTTGCTGTATCCTGTTGGTTAGAAGCAAGGCAGAGTCCTGCCCACACTCAAGGGGATAAGATCACACAAAGTCCTTAACATTAAGAGGGGGGATCATGGGGCCACCCAAGAATCTGTGTACCACACATTCAGTTGTGAGGAAGGAGCCCGGGTCTCACTGCTCTGAGGCTAGGTCTTTGGGGGCACATGAGCCATTCTCTCCCTCCTGTGATGTGGGTGGCTACTGGCAGCTAGAGAGCTTAATCCATGTTATGGGCATTGACAACCATAGCCTGAAAAATGACCTACCTCCCCAACAAGATATCCATGTAAAATCCCTGGAACCTGTGAATGTGACCTTATTTGAAAAAAGGATCTTTGCAGATATTATTAAGGATCTTGAGATGAGATCATCCTGGATTATCTGGGTGGGCCCCAAATCCAATGACAAGTGTCCATAAGGGATACCCTGAGGAGAGACACAGGGAGGAGAAGAGAATATGAAAACAGAAATCAGAGTGATTCAGCCACAAGCTTAGGAACTCCTGCAGCCACCATGAACTGGAAGAGGTGAGGAAGAGATCCTTCTCTACAGCCTCTGCAGGGAGTGGGACCCTAACCAACACCTTGGTTTCAGACTCCTGGCCTCTAAAACTGTGAGGGAAGAAATTTCTGTTTTAAGCCACCAGGTTGTGGTATTTTATTATGGCAGCCACAGGAAATGAACACAGCAAATTGCAGGAGGACAGAGCTCTCATCTGGGCATCAGGAGGCCCCAACTCTGGCCTTTACCTGGCTGAGGGAACTTGGGAGAGTGACTTGCACCTCTTGGGATTCAGTTACTTCACGTGTACAATGCAGGGTTGGACCAGATGACTGTTAGGGGCTCACAGAGACCCCAGAACCTTGACTTCTTGGGCACAGACCTGTGTGGAAGCCTTCTGCATTCAGGATGAGACAATCAACCACTCATGGCCCCTCCTCAGCCATGATGGTGACTGTGGTGGCTTTTCCTGGATTGTACCCCTTAGGCAGTGTGGTATTGGGACCTCTAGAGGTCCAATGCACTGAGAGATGGAAGAGCCCCTGTTCATATGCAGTTCAGAGTAAAAACAATAATGAACTCAAAACCTCAAAGCTCACATGCATGTGGAAATTAAAAAAGCTTTTTAATAGCCCTTTTAAATATGCAATTAGAGATAAATTCATCCAGGCTATTTTCCACTTTGTCTGGGCACCATAAGTACGTGTTCATTTTGCCTTGGGTAAGCCACAGGCCACTGCGGGTGGGGGCTTCCACCCTAACCTCTAACCCTCTATTCCTTCAGAAAATCCTGTTGGCTCTATCCATGCCACTTCTGACCTGGTGACAGTAACCACCATGGTCCAAAACACCCTTGTCTCTTGCCTGGACTATTTCAACAGCTCCTCCTTGTCTCCCTGCCCCAGTCTTGGCCCCTTCAGTGTACTCTCTGCATAGCAGGATCCTCCAGAGGATCCTGTTAGAGCAAAGTCCATTGTCAGTCTGCTTCCTGGCCTCAAATGTCTCCCCATCTCACTCACAGAAAATCCAGTCCTTTAAAAAAATTAATAGATTTCATGGCTTGGAGTAGTTTTAAATTTATGGAAAGATTGAGTGGAAAATAGAGTTCCCGTATACCAATTTCCACTTTCCCTCCCCACATCTTCTATTACGTACATCTTGCATTAGTGTGGTACATTTGTTACAATTGATAAGCCAATATTGATGCATTATTATTAACTAGAGTTCATAGTTTACATTAGGGTTCATGCTTTGTGTTGTGCATTGTATGGGCTTTGTCAAATGCGTAATGTCATGTATCCACCGTGACAGTATCATACAGAGGAGTTTCCTAAAAATCCCCTGAGCTCCACCTAATTCTCCCTCCCTCCCGAACCCCTGGCAACCACTGATCTTTTTACTGTCTCTATAGCTTTGCCTTTTCCAGAATGTCATATAGTTGGAATCATACAGTGTGTAGTCTGTTCAGACTGGCTTCCTTTAATTAGTAATGTACATTTAAGGCTTCTCCATGTATCAAAGTCATTTTCTTTGGCCCTAAAACTTCATAAATTGTCCTGCACTATTTTTGACCTCATTTCTTTTCGTTATCTTCTTGATCACTTTGTTCCAGCCATGCAGGCTTCCTTGTTATTCCCTGAACACACCAGGCATGTTCCTGCCTCTGGGTCTTTGCCTTTGTTTGTTCTCTCCTTCTGGAATGCTGTTCTCTCAGGACTTGCATGAATGATTCCCTCATCTCCTTCAAGTCTCTTTAAAAGCCACCTCCACAGAGAGGCCCTCCTGGAACATCCTAAGTAGCAACCTGACCAACTTAAAAGAGCAGCCCTGGCCGGGCACAGTGGCTCACGCCTGTAATCCCAGCACTTTGGGAGGCTGAGGCGGGTGGATCACTTGAGGTCAGGAGTTCGAGACCAGCCTGGCCAACATGGTGAAACCCCATCTCTACCAAAAATACAAAAATTAGCCAGGCATAGTGGTGCACACCTGTAGTCCTAGCTACTCCAGAGGCTGAGGCAGGAGAATCACTTGAACCCAGGAGGTGGAGGTTGCAGTGAGCCGAGATTGCGCCACTGCACTCCAGCCTGGGCAACAGGGTAAGATTCTATCTCGGAAAAAAAAAAAAAAAGAAAAAGGCAGCACCTGTGCCTGTGACTTCCTTTTATTATTCTCCACAGACTGTCCCCTTGCAGTATTACAATATACCACATAATTTAATCTTTGAATTTTCTTAATGTCTGCCTTCCCACACTTGATTGGATGGAAGATCATGAAGGGCAGAGATTTTTGCCTGTTTCCTTCACTGACACAGATCTCTAGGGCTTGGCACAGAATAGGCACTTCACAAACATTAGTAAATGAATAAGTGCAAGACGGCATGGCTAATTGTTTGGCAGGGGAGTGCCAGAGTCAGACTTCTGGGGCTCAAATCCCAGCTTTGCTGGTCCCCACTTGTGTGACTGGCAAATTGCTTAATCTTTTTTTTCCCTCCTGTTTCTTTTAATTCTGTCAAAAGGGGATTATAATAATACTAACTGCTTCTTAGGACTGTGGTGAGTATTAAACCAAATAATTCACTTAAAACACTTCAAATAATGCCTGGTACCTAGTGAGGACTCAATATGACTAGCTCTTCTTGTTATTTTCATAGTACTTATCTTCTAACTTGGTTTCTGTTATGTATCTGTTTGTTTTATTGCCCATCTCCTTGACAAGAAAGCAAGTGATAGGTGGGTAGGGATGGTGTCTGTGTTATCCACTGCTATATCCCCGAGGCCTACAAGAATGCCTGGGATGTAGGAGGTGTGTGACAAATGTACACTGAATGAAACAAAGAATGGATTTTCATCAGCAAAGCCTGTAAGGAATAAGGGGCTGTTTAATGGGTATAGAGGTTCAGTTTTGTAAGATAAAGAGTTCTAGAGATTTGTTGCACAACAGTGTGAATATACTTAGCGCTACTGAACTATACACTTAGAAACTGTGGCTGGGTGTAGTGGCTTAGGCCTGTAATCCCAGCACTTTGGGAGGCAGAGGCAGGTGGATTATTTGAGGTCAGGAGTTCGAGACCAGCCTGACCAACACGGTGAAATCCCACCTCTACTAAAAATACAAAAAATTTAGCCAGGTGTGGTGGCACACACCTGTAATCTCAGCTACTCAGGAGGCTGAGGCAGGAGAATCACTTGAACTCGGGAAGCGGAGGTTGCAGTGAGCTGAGATTGCACCACTACAATCCAGCCCGGGCGAAAGAGCAAGACTCTGTCTCAAAAAAAAAAAATTTTTTTTTGTTTTTTTGTTTAAACAACTTTAATTCAAATAAAACCGAAGTTCCATTTAAACATGAAATTATATAAAATAAATGCAAAGATAGAAGTAATATGTTGTCCATAGTCCCACCACACAGGGACTAAACACTGTTCATCCTTTGAAGACCCTGCTAGACACTGAATATCCACATGGAAGCATGTGTTAACTTTCTTTAACAAAAAGAATGCTGCTATAGGCCGGATGCCAGTGGCTCACGCCTGTAATTCCAGAACTTTGGGAGGCCGAGGTGGGTGGATCACTTGAAGTTAGGAGTTTGAGACCAGCCTGGCCAACATGGTTAAACCCCGTTTCTACTAAAAATACAAAAATTAGCTGGGCGTGGTGGTGCATGCCTATAATCCCAGCTACTCAGGAGGCTAAGGCACAAGAATCACTTTTACCTGGAGGCAGAGGTTGCAGTGAGCCGAGATTGTGCTGCTCTACTCTAGCCTGGGTGACAGAGTGAGATTCCATCTCAAAAAAAAAAAAAAAAAAAAAAAAAAGAATGCTGCTATAAAACTTTCCTGTGATCATTTTTTTCCCCCAGAAAACTGCCTGTTGACATGTTTTGTAGTCAATACATAGGGCTCCCATCATTTTTAATGGCTGGATAGTATTTCATATTTCATGTGTTCTAATTGTGTCAGTTTATAATGCTTTGTAACAAAACACCTCAAAATTCAGTGGCTTACAACAACAACCATTGGCTGGGTGTGGTGTCTCATGCCTATAATCCCAGCACTTTGAGAGGCTGAGGTGAGTGGATCGCTTGAGTCTAGGAGTTTGAGAGCAGCCTAGGCAACATAGTAAGAACCTGTCTCTACAAAAAATATAAAAATTACCAGGGCATGGTGGCACATGCCTGTAGTCCCAGTTACTAGGGAGGCTGAGGTGGGAGGATCGATTGAGTCCAGAAGGTCAAGGCTGCAGTGAGCTGTGATCATGCCACTGCATTCCAGCCTAGGAAACCCTGTCTCAGAAAACCCCAAACAAAACAAAAACAAAAACAAAGAAGACAGTAACTATTTATTACTGCTCATGAGGATTATTGTGAAAATATTTTACTGGGCTCTGCTCTCAAGAGAAGGGAAGTTAAGAAAGCATGATCAAGCAGAAGAAAGTTGAGTAAAGATGAGGTGTTAGCCTGACATAAGCTTCAGCCTGGTTCCATGGAGAGCTCTGGAGGAAAGATGGCACCCCAACATTGGTGCCACCTTAAAGTCCTTTGATACACTCCTCCCTTGCTAATCCATCACTGGCCCCAAGCTGACAGATCCTGTTTAGCCAATGGCAATTCCACAGAAAAGGTGAACACTGTTAGTAGCCAATATTATAGCAGCCTGGTGAAGAAGAAGATGGTAAATTTAGTTATGTGTGTTTTACCACAATTAAAAAAAAATCAAAGGGAAGTACCCCACACTTCCCACAATGGGATGCCCTGCAAAGTTAAAAGGCAAAAGGTGTGGATATATAGCCTTGGTATAGTGGAGTAAGATTTGGGAGCGTTCACCCACTCAATGACATCACTCTACCATGAATCCCGTTTTACAGATGAGGAAACTGAGATAGTGAGAAGGGAAGTGTCTTGCTTAAGTTTGCACAACTGGTGAGAATCAGAGCTGGCATTCAAAGCCCCCTCTGCCTCCAAGGCCTGTCTTTAACCCCTGTGCCCACCACCTTGTGGAGGGAGACAGGCAGGAATCTGATTTGACCTCCAGATTTGGGGACAGGTAGATGGTTGCCCCATCCGCTAAGGCTGAGCAACACAATTTTGAGATCAACTGGGGAATTTTGACCTCCCATTGGAGTGATGTGGGAAAGAAAAGTGGTAGGAGACCGATTTTGAAAGGCAAAGGAAAACTCTCGACTCCAAAATAGCAGCGTTTTCCTCTGGTCTTGCTTTTCTCTACTTGTTTACCTGTAACTTCTTCCAACTTCTGCAGGGACAGAGAGAAGGGGAGGATGGGAATCCTCCAGGGGCTCAGGCTGCTGTTCAGCTCGCAATGTAGCCTGACAAATCAAGTGGGTAAAACCCATTAATTAGCAGTTTTGGAAACAGTTGCAAAGTTAATTATTCCGTTTTCTGATGAAAGAAAGCTAATTTTTGGCATTTACCCTGACAGTGACATGAACTAACATTTTTCGAGTTGACATCCCTCAAGATAAATGATGCTGTGAAGCATTTGTGCAAACATCCTGACCCATAGCTTGCTGCTACTGACTGTCTGCAATGGGTGTCTTTGCCACAGTGTTTTGCCCAGCAAGTTTTGGGGGTGGGCGAGCCAAGGAAGGGATTATCTGAGTCAGGGGGGTGGGAGGGAGGAGTGAAGAAGAGAGAGCTGGTGGCTCGTGAAATACAGAGAAGACTCAAAGCTCCAGGGAACATTTGAATATTCAGAAGGATTTTACTGTAACTGGAGAGCAGGGGAGTGCATTAACATTGTTGTCCATCTGTCTGTCTGTCTGTCTGTTGTGAAATGCATAAACAGAGGAGAAACCTAGTTTTTCCAAGTGGTTGCTTCCAAATTTAGATCTTCTCCCCAGACTTTGCTTTTGAATACTAGGCCCCTGCATCCAACTGTCTGTTTTATATCTCTACTTGGCATCTTTTTTTTGAGATGGAGTCTCTCTCTGTTGCCCAGGCTGAAGTGTAGTGGCAAGATCTCGGCTCACTGTAACTTCCACCTCCAGGATTCAAGTGATTCTCCTGTCTCAGCTTCCCAAGTACCTGGGACTACAGGTGCATGCCACCATGCCCAGCTAATTTTTGTATTTTTAGTACAGACGAGGTTTCACCATGTTGGCCAGGCTGGTTTTGAACTCCTGACCTCAGGTGATCCACCCACCTCAGCCTCCCAAAGTGCTGGGATTACAGGCATGAGCCACCATGCCCGGCTCTCCGCTTGGCATCTTACAGGCATCTGAAACTCACTATGTCCCATAGGAACCCTTAGTCCCCACCCCTACCCCAGCTTTTCCTCCCCAAGTCTTCCTCATTCAAGAAAATGACACCATCTTCCAATTAAGTGCTGGAGCCAGAAACTTAGCCATCATCTCTGGTACTTCCTCTTCCTTCACTCGTTCCCAATATCCAATTTATCAGCAAGATCTGCCAATGTGACCTACAAAACATATCTCGGATCTATCATTACTGTAGTCTAAATCACCATCTTTCCTCCTAACTCAGTGCTGTCCTATAGAAACACAACGAGAGCCACACATAAAAGCTTACATTTCTTGTGACAAAATTTTAAAGAAGTAAAAATAAACAAGTTAATTTAGTTTTAATAATCTATTTTATTTAACATGATATATTCAAACTATTACCATCTTAACATGGCCAATATACACTATGATTGAAATACTTGTTCTTTTGCTTTTTGTGTCCTAAGTCTTCGAAATCCATTGTGCATTTTACACTTACAGCATATTTCAATTTGGATGATAAATTTCCATTGAAAATACTTTATTCGTATTTAGATTTCATAACATTTACTGTTGGAGAAAGTAGAATTATGTACCTAGGTTGTTCCAAACATACTTCAAAGTTTTAAAATAGCTGAATTAAGTATTTTACTTTAACTTTAATTAATTTAAATAAAATATAATATTCAGTTCCACCATTCAGTCATTCAAAAGAATAAATGTCTTTTGCAGCAACATGGATGGAACTGGAGGTCATTACCTTAAGTGAAACAACTCAGACACAGAAAGTCAAATACCTCATGTTTTCACTTATAAGTGGGAGCTAAATGTGTACACGTGGATGTAGAGAGTGG
Source organism: Homo sapiens (assembly GCF_000001405.40). Taxonomy (NCBI): domain Eukaryota; kingdom Metazoa; phylum Chordata; class Mammalia; order Primates; family Hominidae; genus Homo; species Homo sapiens. The sequence goes on along the minus strand of NC_000020.11, from coordinate 40,898,152 downwards.
AATGATAGACAATGGTGATTCAAAGGAGTTGGGAGGTGGGAGGGGGTGGATGATGAGAAATTACTTAATGGGTATAATATACATTATTCAGGTGACAGACACCATAAAAGCCTTGACTTCACCATGATGCAATGTATGTATGTAACAAAATTACACTTGTGCCTCTTTACATACATGCAAAAATAATATAAATAAAAAATGAAGCCTGTAGCAAAAAATTTCATTTCCTCAATTGCACTGGCCACCTTTCAAGTGCTCACTGTGGCTGGTGCCTGCTGAGTTGGACAGTGCAGTTTGAAGCCATCTCCTCTCCCAATCTTTCCTCTGTCCAACCGATTCTCCATGAAGCACCTGGAGACATATTTCAAATATGCAAATTAACAATGTCACTTCTAATCAGACCCAGGATAAAAACAGAAACTCCTTCACATGCTCTATAAGGCTTTGTGTGACCTGGCCCCTGCCTCCCTCACTAAGCCACTGTCCTCTCTTGTCAGTGTCTCCAGTGACCTCAGTTTGACTTTCTTTTAGTCCTTCAAATGTGTCCCGGTTGGTATTGCTGAAGTGTCAATTGTGAAGTGGGAGTGAAGTAGGCCCTCAGGTGCCTGCAGGCCAGGTGGTCCTGGGGGTTCAGGGAGCCCCTGAGGGTGTGGGTTGGGGGCAGTGGGTGGCTAGGATCTGCATTCACTCTCTGTGACTGCTTCTCTCTGCCCCTCCAGAACTGAGGTTGAATCGCATGCTCTGGGCAGCATCTCTCTTAACACAGGCAGATTAATTGAAAGCAGATGTCAAGCAGTGGGAGTTAAATACAGACATCTCACCAAATGTCAGCCTTTCCCCTGGGTCACGATGGAGTCCTTGTTTCTCATCCTCACCAGGGAATTGGGAAAAAGCCTCTTAGACACGCTGGTGGCATGGTTGACCCTGAGAGTCATTTTGCTCTTCTGAAAAGTGCTGGGCAAATTATGACTCTGAAATTGGAACCTAAGCGATGAATTTATTTGTATCAGATGCAGACAAACAAAAGGCTCTTTCAGAACAGCTGACTCTTACATGGGTGCCCAGGTGGTTGGGGAAGGACCACAGAACCCTCAGATCATAAGAACTGGAACGGATAGTCTTATCTTCTCACTTCAAAGTGGGTAAAACTGAGGCCCAGAAGATGGAAGGGATGCGTCTAGCGTCACTCTGCCGCTTAGTGTTAGAGCTGGGGATGGGACTCAAAGCCAGAAACTATTTTTTTTCTTTTATTTTTCTCTCTGTCACAGACAGGGCCTCACTAGCTCTCCTAGGCTGGACTTGAACACCTGGGCTCAAGTGATCCCGCCACCTTAGCATCCCAAGTAGTTGGGATTACAGGCACACACCATAGTGTGCAGGGTTTTAGAAATTATTTTCTAAAGTGTAAATCTGACGTCTCCCTCCATGCCACCCTGTTGCCTGGAGAATAAACCCGAACTTCTTGGCAGGGCTGGAGGTCCTTTATCTCCTCCCAATTATCTCAGCCTCATCTCCCCTAGGCTAAGGGACTTCCTTGGTTTCCTAAACATATCTTTCTGATATTTTTGCCCATGATATTTCCTCTATCTCATCACCTTAGTAGTAAACTATTCAACCTTCACAGCCCAACTCAGATGTCTGACTTTTCAGAAATCTTCTCAACTCCTTGGTAGAGTTACTTTGCCCCACTTCTGGGATCCTACAGAACAGAACATGTGTCATTGGAATTACTTGTAGATTTTCTGTCCTACCCTCCCTGCCCCCAAACTACTGCTTTATTTGACCGTCGCTTCCCTGGAGCTTGGACCCTGGAGCACACAGTAAGCACTTAAATATTTGTGACATTGGCATTGCCAAAGCCAAGGGACCTCTTTCTGTGCTTTTTAAATTAGGTTTTTCATAGCATCTGATGCCACCAAACTCTCTCTCCTTGAAATGCTCCCCTCTCTTAGCACCTATGATTCCTGGCTTTCTGGGCTTCCCTCCCACTTCTCTGACTGTTCTGCTGAGGTCTCCCTTTTGGACATCTGTTATAGGCTGTGGTTCTTCAGGGATGTGTCCTGGTTCTCTGCAGTCCTCTACTGGAAAGCCTTCTCTGTCTGGATTAGGTGTCACGGGACTCAGGACCTTAGCCTTTGCTGTTCTGTCTCTGGGACACTTTTCATTTCTTTTTCTTTTTGAGACAGGGTCTTCTCTGTTGCCCAGTCTGGAGCGCAGGCTTACTGCAGCCTTGACTTCCTGGACTCAAGTGATCCTCCCACCTCAGCGTCCCGAGTAGCTGGGACTACAGGTACACACCACCATGCCCAGCTAATTTGAAAGATTTTTTGTAGAGATGGGGGTCCCACTTTGTTGCCCAGGCTAGTCTCAAACTCCTGGCATCAAGTAATCCTTCTGCTGTGGCCTCCCAAAGTGCTGGGATTACAGGCATGAGCCACTGTGCCTGGCCTTTCCCGCTTCATTTCTAGCATGACCATCTTCTTTTCAACCTTCAGGTTTCAGCCCAAAGGTTGCCCTCTCAGAGAGTCCTTCCCCAACCACCTAAGTCACCAGCCTGGGGCTAAAATTGAGCAGCAGGAAGGACCTAGGCAGGGCAGAGCACAGGTATCTGGAGGTGCTGGCATCTTTAGTGCAAGTGCTAACATCTCGAAAATCCACAGCTGGGGGTTCCACTTCTGAATCCAGAGACAGGCAGGCCCCAGAGTTTTTGGGTTATTAACTCCCCTCAGTAGACTTCCAGTGAGTGTGATAAAACACTCAGCAGAATGCAGCAAGAGCTCATAAAAGCAGGATTTAGTGCCATTTTATAGATGTCAGGCCTGACGTCTATACTCAAGCTGGTATATATTTAAAATTCATGCCTGACTTACTGCCTTTGGGGAAAAAGCCTGAGGCCTGCAGGGAGAAGATGACAGGCTCCATGCTCACCTGCAAGCTCTAGCACACCTGGAGCGGACACCAGGGTGGGGGGCCTCCCAGCAGGAATCATGCTGAGCCAAGCTGAGCCTCACTCCACCTCCTTTCAGAAAGCAGCCCTCCTCATGGTCTGTGAGTACGAGCTTTGGAGCCAGACAGGCCTGTGTTTGAGTCCTGGCTGGGTGACTAGCTAGGTGACCTTGTTTGCCCAGGATGTGGGCTTTCAGTGCTAAAACCAGGCAAATGCTGGCATGCCAGGATGAGTTGATCGTCCTAAGCCCTGGCTCTACTCTTTCTTTGCTTTGTAAACTTGGATGGATCCTTTCCCCCTCTGAACCTCATTTCCCACAGCTGTCAAAAAGGAACAGTTAACCTATTTTGTTAGTCGGGTTAATCAGTGCAGCTGCTGTGACAAACAGTCCCCAAATCCCTGTGGTTTAACACAATATGTTATTTCTTGCTTCTGTGGCAGTATAATACGGGTTAGGCAACTTTATAGCAGTGACTCAGGGAACCAGGCCCTTTAATTCTGTGGCTCTGTCTTTCCATAGGGCCCCCTCAGGTTTCCCCACTGTATCCTGTGAAATAAGCCAGCCAGGTTTTAAGGCAGGGATCAGCAAACTACACTCATGAGCCAAATTGAATCTCCAGTTTATTTTTATAAATAAAGGTTTATTGGTACACAGTCACACCCACCTGTTTACATATTATCTATGGCTGCTTTCATATGACAGTGGTAGAGTTGACTAGTTGTGACAGAGGTCATACGGACTGCAAAGACTGAAATATTGCCCAACTAGTCCTTTACAGAAAATGTTTCCTGACCTCTAAGTCTGTGGTTAGGCCTGAGAGTGGTCAGGGAAGTGGACATCAATTCCATTGCAGTTCACAGGCTGCAACTCAGTCTAATGATCCCACACTAGTTGCAAGAGAGGGTGGGAAATGTAGAGGAGCACATGAATTTTGCACTACAGTCCCTGCCATACCTGCCTCTCAGGGTCACTATGCAATTATAATAAAATAATGTCTGGAAGCTGTTTTTTAGAGGATCTGGTACATAGTAACTCTTTCATAATGAAACCCATGGTTCTCCAAGCCTCAGGGATATGCTGAGTGGCTGGGATTTGCGATTGTGTGGGAGGACCCCTCTCCACTCTTGGAAGAAGGCCCTGGAGAAGACAGGGAGCTGGATTGGTCAAGATTCTTGGTAACCAGGACATGAACTGAGTGCCTGGTTCCATTCCATCTGGATTTGGGGCTCTGGCTATCTCTCTGTGGCAGCTGGGTCAGGGAACAGGAAGAACTCAGGAATGCTTATTTGAGCCCTAAACCTAACACATCCCAAAATGATTTTTTTTTCTATTGAACAGGATAGATGCTGTGTGTTTACCAGACTCAACCCTTGGGATATTGCCCAGGATCTAAGTGACCTGGCTGGACCTTTGCAATCTGATGCCTGCTCACCCTACCCCACCCCTGACCTTGTCCCTGACTAGCATTTAAAAACAGCAAGCTTGAAAAATTAAAAAATACTATTAATCATGGTATATGCAAGATATATAATATTGAATATATATGTTATTACTTATATTTTTACTTTTGAAAGTAACTATAATACAACTTAAAGTATCAATTGAGGGTTAGTCAGTACTTAAGCCTGATAGTTTAAAGTTAATTCACTAATGTGAGAGTGATTACTCACTAATAATAAAGAAGAAATTTTCATTTTAGGTTCAAGTTTGCTAAGTCTTCCCCCTTTTTGCATTGATTTTCCTAAAAGCTGATACCTGAATGTACAAAAACATGGCATTGAAAACACACAGCAGAATTGTCAAGGCTTTTTTTTCCCCAGTGATGCAAGATATGTTTTTGTAATAGAAATCTAGATCTACTTGGCAAGAGAGAAGGCTGAAGGTTTCATTTTTGAGGTTGTACTCTGGAAATAGAAGTTAATTTGTTAAATAAAATAATATAAAAATCAGCAATAACAGCACTGCAATCATGACTTCAGTTGCAGGGGGTCTTGCAAAGTCTATAAAATTACCCACAATGATCAGTCTAGGCGTTGGGTCACCCTTTAGCACCAGGTCACTCTCTGAGGAGACCCATTTGCTGTCATGATCCAGAAGGAGGAAAAGTTCTAGCCTGTCCGAGAAAGTACCCACTCTTTCTGGTGTTTGAGAGCTGAGCCCATGTTCCAATTTATGCTGTCAACTCAGCTCAAGGATTGCAGTCATGAAAGCAGAAGGACTTCAACACAGCAGTGTGCATCCTCAGGCTGTTTGACTGTAGCAATGCTGATGCTCTGTACAGGTCATCAGTTTCAGTGCACATCCCCACCTGCTGTCCTGACTTGGGTATGTTCTCAATGGCTAGCCTTTGTGTCTTCTCTTTTCTTTGGAAAATTGGCTTGGGCTATTAGAGTCACTTTGTTCACATAAACAGAGAGCCAGAATGTTCCCGGGAGTTTACAGTTTCCGTCCTCACCCTCATCTCCACCTATTCTCTTGTTGGAGCTCTCTTGCCTTGGATCAGGGCCACCCTGCTGTGTAACCTACTCTGTAGAGCTCCCCTGTGAATAGGCTGAAGCTACCCTCAGTGGGATTTTTGTCTGGGACTACACCTTGCTTGGCTTCTTCCTCTTTCCTATCATGTTTTTCTGTCAATCCCTTACCAGTATGTCTGGGGAGCACTTCTCTAATACATCACTTGCACCCAAGTGTTTGTTTCAGATCTCAGAGTCTGCTTGTGCAGAATGTGACCTAAGACATGAACATCTACAGAAATGGGTGCTGCCTCTGAAGAGTTTGTGTGACTTGAGAACCAGGTACACAGCTATGGGGTAAAGAATGGGGGGCATTGAAGGGCTGGACTTTCAATTATGGAGAAATTTAGACAATAGTGCCCCACCTTTACGAGTATGGACTTTAGTGCCAGACAGACCTGTCACTGACATGCTTTCTGTGGCTGTGAGCAGTTTGCTTTACATCTCTGGGCCTGAATTTTTACCTCTGCAAAATAGTGATAATGGTAATAGCTACTCCATGAGATGGTTATGGGGATGAAGAAGGAATGTATGTAATGTATACATACATTTACATTCTCATGCATGTAAAGTGCATGAGCACAGTGCATGCTAGCTATTACTATTATTTGGCTCAAGGTATTAATATTTTTTGGCTTGAGCTCCATCCCAGATTTATAATCATGACACTAGCCTGGTCAGCAGCCCTGGGGTGGCCAGTTTTCATTTCTAGGCAGAGAATGTGTAGTTAGGAGAGAGAATTAATTCCCTTTTTATTTAGGAAAAGGGGAAATATTTAAGCAGTGTTTATTGTAGCCTTGTACCAATGGCGTACAGTACGATTGATTGATGCCTCGGGGGTGTTGGTTGTTAAATGTTTTTAACATTGCCCTTGCCTGGGGATATCCTGATGAGCCAAACTGGGCAGATTGTTTGCTTTGATTTGACATATTCTTCAAGAAGGTAAGCAGAAAAGACTGTAGACTGAAGATGGAAGCTAATATGTATCTAGAAACTTCTATGGGCCAGTCATTATCTCATTTAATTCTCCAAGTCCTACATGATTGGGAGTATTATCCCCATTTCCCAGCTGAGGAAATAAAAAGCTGGTAAAATAATTTGTGCAGCATCAAGTGACCAACTCACTGGGCCTGAGGGAGGTTACCCAATGTCAGGAGGTTACCCAATGTCAAGAGGTTACCCAGGCTATCAAGTGGTACAGCAGAACTTCAAAATAGATCTGTTTTCCCCAAAGCTCCTGTTTATTCTAGCACAAAGAGTTAAAGGAAAACACTGAAATTCCACAGTAAAATTCTACAGGAGACTGGGCATTGAGAATGAAGTAAAAAATCACAGAAGTTTTTAAGGTAATACTTGGAATTGAGGATCTCAAAGTCCCTAGAAGCCCAAGGAATTTGTGCTTGTAGAAAACACCTTCTAGGCTCAATTGCAGAACTTCCAGAAGGTTCTAAGGACCTTTCCTCTTTCAGTCGCAGTTCCTGATGCTATCAGAGTGAGAGTCTCTTTACTAAAGACCCATTCACAGTAGTAGTGAATGTCCATTTTGTTGTTGGTCGGCAGTATTGAGACAGCATGTAGGAATAGGGACTTCAAAATCAAGCAGACTCAAATTCTGGCTCAGCCAATTAATAGTGATGACCCCTTGGGAGGGTACATACTCTCTGTTTTCTCAGTGGCAGAATGTACCTGAAGGTCTTATGTAGTAGGTGCTCAATAACATCCCCTTCTTAGTTCCTGCCTCTTTGCCTTGTTGCCTGTGAACAAACCTTCTTTGGGGATTCTGTTCAGGGATCACCTCTCTTGATCCTCCCCAAACCAAGTAAGCCAAATTTCTCTTTTTCTGCTGTCTCAGCAGAAAACTGTGTGAATACTTTGATTATGGCACTTGCCACATTGTGTCATAACAATCTGTTTAAAAATCTGTGTCTGTCAGAAAGCCTTTGGCTGCAAGTAATAAATGATCAAATTCAAAGTGGCCTATTCAGTGGGGAAATTAATGATGTCAAGGACCAAAGAGCCTAAAGCAGCTAGACTCTGTCTCTGAGATTGAGTGGTATCATCAAAAGGGAGAGAGGAGGTGGTGGCTTTAAAGTAAGGATAGATTGCCACGTATTGATTGGCGCAGGCTACTTGGTATCTCTTTCTGGAGGTGCGTTAGGTGGAAACCTTGAGAGATGATTCTTGTAGTGTCTCTGAGATTGGGCCCAACCCAACCCTCCTGTCCCCTGATGGCTGACTCTAGCTCCTTCTGATTCTGACTTCCTCCTGTCTCCTCTGCTGCTGGGTGAGGGAAGCTGGTCTATGTTTGGAGGTCCTCAGATTTCATCAGGAAGTTGAATAAACCAGTGCATGAAATATATCACAAGCTAGGCAAATCCCTAGGCTGCAGCAACCTGGGAATATGCTCAGTAGAGGAAACTGTTGGTAGGGACAACTGCATTCAGAAATCCTTGGGGGAGATTATGATAGTATTCAGGACCCAGCAGTGGAGTTTTCCTCCTCTCCCACCTTCTCTCCCTTTCTGACACTGAGCACATCCTATGTTTGTCTTACACCACAGAGGCCACCAAATTGAGAAAATGCTACTTCCTTTCATTGCTTCTAATTTAGGATGGTGTCTACTTTTTGTAAGTTCATCCTCACATGCCTCAAGAATCAAATGGTCAGGTAATCGGCTTAGCAATCAGAAAAATCCCAGCTCTGCTAGTTAGTGGCTGTGGAACCTTATGTAATTTACTTAATCTTCCAGAGTTTCACTACCTTCATCTGTCTCATGGGTTAATAATTATATCCACCTCCTAGAGGTATTATCAGTATAGAGTGAGGTCATGTAGGTAATGCGCCTTGGAGAAGACAATATTTCTAGGAATATCGATGGATATTCTGCACAAAGAGAGTCAAGTAAATCAGGGAAACCCTGGGTCATCCAGGTTTATTTACTGCAGGATCCCTCAGAACTCTGAATAAGTTCTGAACAATAATGTTCATTGTGACCCTCTAAGAAAGGTATATTAGCAAGTGGTGCTTCCTTAGTATATTTGACCTTAGAGTCTTATTTGGAGGGCATCTGATATGATTTGGCTGTGTCTCCACCCAAATCTTGAATTGTAGCTTCTGCATGTCACGGGAGGGACCCAGTGGGAGGTAGTTGAATCATGAGGGCAAGTCTTTCCTGTGCTGTTCTTGTGACAGTGAATAAGTCTCACAAGATCTGAGGGTTTTATAAAGGGGAGCTCCCCTGCACATGCTCTGTCTCTTGCCTGCCGCTATGCAAGGCGTGACTTTGCTCCTCCTTTGCCTTCTGACATGATTGTGAGGCCTCCCCAGCCATGTGGAACTGTGAGTCAACTAAACCTCTTTCCTTTATACATTACCCAGTCTCAGGTATGTCTTTATTAGCAGCTTGAGAACAGACTAATACAGCCTCTCATGGAACTAAATCCATTGCCTCAGCTCTGCATTTGGCAAGCCAGGTGTGGCTACCCATGTCCTGTGTAGGCCCATGTCTGGTACTTCCTTAACCTTAGGGTGGCTCTTCTCTTTGAGGTAGAGGGGATATCCTATGCAGAATGAGTGGAGCTCTGCCTTTCCTCCCACACTCAGTGAATTCTGGGAAACAGAAGACTTAGCAATGGCCTTCTGTATGCTCGCACGCATTTCTCACAATGCACAGGGGTTCCTAACATGAAAATGTCTCAAGACAGCCCTGGGCATTGGGCCCCCAGGGTAGGTGTGGAATTGGAAATGCACTTGGAAGGTGGTCCTGAGGGACCCTGGCATACAGGAGGCTACCATGCTCTTCTGATACCCAGTGCCTTGCTGTTCCATTTGTTACCACAGTGAAAGCCACTTGAAAGTCATCTCCATGATGAAATGATCAGCAATTTACGGAATGAAATAAACCTTTATTTATTATTATTATTTTTTTATTTTTTGAGACACAGTCTCACTCTGTCACCCAGGCTGGAGTGCAGTGGCACGATTTCAGCTCCCTGCAACCTCCACCTCCAAGGTTCAAGCGATTCTCGTGCCTCAGCCTCCTGAGTAGCTCGTATTACAGGCATGTGTCACCATACCCAGCTAATTTTTGTTTTGTTTTGTTTTAGTAGAGACAGCGTTTCACCATGTTGCCCAGGCTGGTTTCCAACTCCTGACCTCAAGTGATCCGCCTGCCTCAGCCTCCCAAAGTGCTGGGAGTACAGGTGATAGCTACCATGCCTGGCCAAAATACACCTTTATATTTAACATGCCAAATGAGGTAGCTTACTGGGCAGACTCTGCCAGGCAGAACCATCTTTAGCTTCCTTGGCTGCCAGACTGATGGATGCTGGAGCTTTTCAGGACACTGGCTCAGACAAGACTACACTCAGCCATTTCCCACCCCCAAATTTCAGTTTTCCACCCCGCCCACACCCCCCCCCCACAAAAAACCCAGCAGTTTTTCCTGGCTTCAACAATGCCACACAATGTTTCCTTCTGTAGTGGGTTTTGTCCCCAGCTGTCTTGGGCTGTACTGGTGTGGATCTTCTTACGGCAGCTGAACTCATTGGTGAAGAAAAGAAACCCCTTGGGCTGAGGCATCAGAGTTGTGGTGTCCCCTGTCCCAACAGCATGGCTTTGATCCCCACGATGTGGAGTTAATTTGGTGTTTCCAGTGCCAATAGGTGTTCATCAAGCCTTTATGGGATGAGCAGAGCCTCTGAGAAGTGATTCTTGGTCCATTTTGGGGGATCTGATGGAATCTTTGTTTCCTATTCCCAGAGAAATACAACACGGATTCACACAGACACAATAGCACACTGTCTTGACACTGTATTAGGGCACTGTGAATCTGCTCTCTTACTTACTTTTAGGGGTCCCCTTGGGTGTCACTTTCCTTCCCTGTAGGTTGGCATCAGCGGTGCCAGTGCCAAGGCAACTCTAGCATGGAGAGTGATGGTGAGACACGGTGGTGGAGGGCTTGTGTGTGGTTATCGGCTGTGGGGACAGTGATGGGGAAAAGAGTGTGAGCTTCCCCTGTCCGGAGATGGGGATGGGCAAATCAGGACTGAAGGAGGAGGAAATGGTGGGGTGGGGGCTCTGCAGGATGGGGAGGAGCAATGAGAGAATGGAGGCGGGGGGGGGGCAGGAGACCAGAGAGGAAGGGGCAGGGGTGGGGCAGGTGGGAATCGAGGGGCAGAGGGAGCAGGGGTGCCAGATTGGGAGGCATTCAGGACAGGGTGACATGTGAGTGACGCCCGGCGACTTAAGAGAGGAGAAGTTGGCGGCCTGAAAGGGAGGAAGACAGAAAGCAGGGCTTTTCAATATGAGCATTCATGTCACGGTGACAGCAGTCATTTATCATGCCCTGAATGGGAGCGCAGGGCCCGGCAATGCCGCCAAAGGCCTGTGGTTAAAGTTTTACCTGAGTGTGAAAGGGGCTGGGGCCTGGCCAAACAGCGGCCCTTCCGAGGGTGCGGAGGCGTCCCCGCAGGGGCCCATCTGTTTGGAGCAGAAAGACTCTGGTACCAGGGGAGGGGAGCCATGGGCCAGGATGTTCCTGGGCATGGGGACCCCTCCAGGCATCCTGGGCCAGTGGGAAGGGGTCTGCCTCACACAGGGACCTGGAAAAGCCAGCTTCAGGCACTGGGTTAGTCCCCAAATCAATCTTGTGAGGCTGCTGGGATGTGGGGCAAGGGAGGGGCACATTTTGTTAAGTGGTATATTGACATTTAGCTCAAACTAAAAAGAAAATTATTTAGTATTTACCATGTGTCGGGCACTGTATCTTCTCTCTCTCTCTCTCTCTCTTACTCTCTCTCTCTATCTCAGGTGGCTATCCTGGGAACTGAGGAGTTTCCTGGGATTCAGGACTTTTTGTGCTAAATCTGGGACAGTGCCGGGCAAAACAGAACAGTTGATGACCCTAATGTGAATTCATTTAATCTCACAATAACTCTTGGACACAGGCACTACCATGTACCTCCACTTACCAGTGAGGAAACAGGCACAAAGAGTAAAGTTATGTACCGGAGGACACAAAGTTAGTAAGTGGGAGAGCCTGGATCTGAAGTCTGGTTTGGAAGTCTGAGCTCCCAGCCTCTCCACTTTGCTGCCTGGAAACCTGGAGAGAACACCAGTGTGGTGAGATTTTCTGAACCAAGAATCAGGACAATGAGGTCTGATGTGCTCATTGGTCTTTAGGACCCAACATTTGAGACAGGGCCTGTCTCCAAGTCCTTGGTCTCTCTGGTGCACAGAGGGGCCAGCAATGGAGGAGCCAGCCTGTCCTCAAGGTGTGCAGTGTTTTGAGTGTGAGCCGGGCTCTGATGCTTGTACAGGAATGTGGTTACTGAACCCCGAGGTCCTTGCCAGAACTCCTAGGCCAATAAGGACCAGAGGGGAAGGTCAGTGAGGACAATCGTGTTGGGACTCCAAACCTCAGCAGGGTTCAGAGAGCTGGGGAGGAGGGGGAGCAGTGTGGGATGCTTTGCAAGAAGGTGCTACACCCTAGCCATGGGCAGGCACCTGGACGATGGCAGATGAGGCAGCACAGGGCTTACAGTAGTGTTCCTGGGCAGGAACCACTTGCCTGGTTTACCATCCTGGGCTGTGGTGTGCTCCAGTTGTCCCTGAGCCAGGCTCTCTCCAGGGAGAGGAAGCCAATTCAGATCCTATGAGTTAAATCCCCTCTTCAGAGGTCATTTGGGAGAAAATCCAAACTTGAACTGTCTTTCTTGGGGACTGTGCTGTTGGAGAACTTCAGGGCAAAGAATTTTCTGGATACCAAGTTCATACCCAGCACTTGGGCTGTGGTGCCAAAGTGGGAAAACAAGAGGAGGATGTTGTGTGTATGTGTGTGTGTGTCTATATAGGGGAGGGGGTTGGAAGGTGACAGCACATGCAAAGGCCCTAGAGCTTCCAGTCTTTGAAGAACTAAAAGACAGCTTGTGAGGTGAGAGTGAGTGAGTGGCAAATGGCCTTAGATGGAAGTGCAGATGGAGACCAGATCCTTCAGGGCTCCAGCACCGTGATGAATAGAGGGGTTGAGTGGATGCATTATTTTAGTAGGACAAGGCTTCTGAGTTTGTTACAAGATCTCAGTGTTAGCATAAAACAGTAGGTGTGTTGGATAATGAGTAGAGGCATTATGGGAAGAGCTGTGTCAGAACTGCAGAGGGATGGGATGTCAAGAATGGCTGGTCCTGCTGGGGGGTCGGGGGAGCACAGAGGCAGCTCGGTCTCTCGGAGCTGCCCCTGCCGTTTCCCTTCCACCTGGTCCCTCTGGCCTGTCATGATTGCCTTGGAGGCACTGAACAGGGAGCCTGCTAGGGGGTCCTGCATTTGTGTCCTACACAGGGGACATTAAGTGAACAGAGTCCCTCTTGGTTTTTCATGTCATTAATTGGTGATCTTCAGACTCTGAAATAGCATTTTCCCTCTTCCATCCCGTATTTCATTATCCTCAGTTCAATACACATCAGTGCTGCACGAAGCAAGTGGCTTGGATATATTAGGAATTATTTAAATGACATGGGGATGTATGAGTAGTTAAAAACACTCATTTTTTAACTTAATTCTGCTCTAATTATCTATCAAATTATGTTACAATTATTCCCAAATATAAACTTGCTGAGAACCTCAAAAGGGGAGGTTCTAGGAGCATCAGGAGAAAAGTGAAACAGGATACAGCAGGGATGTGGTCCTAGTCCCTAAAGATGTTCTGAAATCCAGGTGTGCATGTGTGTGTGTTATCAACTCCATCGCCATGTTGTGTCCATTATAGGTGTTACTGGCTCAGGCCTTGGCAGGCATGGGTGAGCAGAAAGAAGTCTTGTCCAGCCTCTGTGTCAAGTCATATCCTAAGACTCTATCATTCCCCATCTGTGTGATCTAAGAGAAGCCTTGTAACCTCTCTGAGCCTCAATTTCCTCCTCTGTAAAGTGAGGGTGATAACAGCAGTTGCCTCCTGTGGTGCCTGGCACATAGGGATCTCTTGGAGAGTGGGTTGAGCCATCATTGTCACTGCTGTTGCTGACCATTTGGGTCTGTCACCACCATCAGATTCTCTAAGGGATGGAGACCTCTGAGGCTGCCCTCCCCATCTGGGGCTTGCTTCCTCTGCTTAGCTGTTCAGGCTGAGCTGGGCCTGGGGTGGCCGTGGCTCAGGGATCGGCTGTAGCAAGCAAGGCTCCAGCTTCAGGCCTTGCCTCCAAGACTTGACCAATGCTTACAGAGCACTCATGTGGTGCAACACCTCTTATATGATGTTCACCCAACCCTGGGGGAGGAGATGAGCCTGCCCAAAATGTTTCAGCCAAAAAGTGGCAAAGCAGGATTTATATCTCAGTCTGCTTTGGGGCTCACATGCTCCAGGAGGTGAGAAGTAGCCACTTGGTTCTCAGGCTGGTGAAAACTCAGGTTTTCTCCTAGTTGTTTTCATTTATTTGTTTTGTGCTATTAGCCAGCCTCCTCTGTAGCTCTTGGGAAAGGTCCTGATTAATCTTTATTAATAACTTATTAATACTTATTAATCATCATGAGGCTAATGATGTTGCAGGGCTCTGAGGGGCTATTGCATTCCTTTTCTCATGTGCCTGCTGTCCATACCACTCACATTCCAAGCCTGGGGATAGGAGATTGGGAGTGTTTCTGTCCGAGGAACACTTTTTCCTCCTGTCTGGTTATTAGGTAGGTAAGGTTGCCCAGGACTGTCAAGGCATCTTCAGACAAGACCCTACTATGTTCCGGGGTCTTGTTATGGGTTGAATTATACCCCTTGAAAGATATTGAAGTCCTGCCCCAGAGTACCTGTGAATGTGACCTTATTTGGAAATAAAGATTTTGCAGATAATCAAGTTAAAATTATTATCATTAGTCATTAGGGTGGCCTAGTCCAGTATGGCTGGTGTCTTTATAAAAGGGAAAATTTGGACACAGAGACAAAGACACAGGGAGAACACCATGTGACGTTGAAGTCAGAGATCAGAGTGATGCATCTACAAGCCAAGGAATGCCAAAAATTGCCAGCAAACCACCAGAAGCCAGGGGAGAGGCACAGAATAGATTCCCCCTCACTGCACTCCAGGTGTCAACCCTGCCAGCACCTGGTTCACAAACTTCTAGCCTCCAGAACTGTGAGACAGTAAGTTTCTGTTTCTTAGCCACTCAATTGGTGGTACTTTTTTACAGTAGCCCTAGTAAAGAGATACAGAACTCAGTGGTGGGATGGAAGCAGGGCAGAGGAGTGGAGAGGTAGTGGGTGAGGACCAGGAACCTGGCCCCACCAAATGCCCAAGGGTGGTTGGTGGCAGGCCTGGTCTGGGCCAAGCCAGAAGCCATCTTTGTCCAAGGGTGAATGAGGTCTTGTCACAGACAGAGATGACATGCCGTCACAGGGATGAGTTATCTTTGGCTCTGGGCCAGGAATCCAGCCGGGAACTGAAGGGAAGGGAAGCAGGCTGCAGTCTTGGGGGAAGGAACTGGTAAGACCTGGTTATTATGGTGGGCTTCAGAGCAGAGATGTCTGAGGCTCACCAGTGACCATCTCTTCTGCTTATATTCCACTAGCAAAAACTAGTCATATGGACCTACTCAGATTCAGGGGCCTCTGGGAATGTTGTCTAGCTTTGTTTCAAGTGCCCCTTCTGTCTGACTAGTTCTTGCTGATGGAATGTAAGGAGAAGAGATTGGTGCTGCCTCTGAGCAGAGGTAGTTAAGAGGGAATGTGCCCTTTCCACACTTTGTCTCCTTTCCTGTCTAATTGGCTGAGTGGATGGGACTCAGAGAACACAGCCTTGACATAAAGGGGACTTGGAGGCTGGGCATGGTGGCTCACGCCTGTAATCCCAGCATTGTGGGAGGCTGAGGCAGGAGGATGTCTTAAGCCCAGGAGTTCAAGACCAGCCTGGACAACATGGCGAAACCCCATCTCTACAAAAATGCAAAAATTAGCAGGGCTTGGTGGCATGTGCCTGTAGTCCCAGCTACTTGGGAGGCTGAGGTGGGAGGACTGCTTGAGCCCAGGAGGCAGAGGTTGCAGTAAACTCCATGCCACTGCACTCCAGCCTGGGCAACAGAGCCAGACCCTCCCTGTCTCACATACACACGCACAAAAAAAAAAAAAAAAAAAAAAGAAAAGAAAAAAAGAGGGACTTGGGGCCAGGATCCTGGAGTCCTTGCTTGGGGATAACTTCCTGGAGAGCTGCTCAGTCAGCTATACCCTTGGGAGTCTTTTGTTGAGGGAGAAATAAATGTCATTTTGCAAAGCCACTGATATTCTGTGGTTATCACGGCAGTTTAGAGAGGAAGGATGGGGGAAAGCTGGGTTGCGCTCTAGGCCTTGACACTTCCTGCCTTTGTAGTGTTAGGCAAACATGGCAACCCCAGAAAACTCAGCTGCCTCAGTTTTAAGGCATGCAGGGTCTTTGTGAGGACCATATAAGCCACGTGGAGGGGTCTAGACCAAGCATAGTGCTTGGAAGAAAGGGCGTGTGTGCTAATGATTTATGTCTCTTTTCTTTCTGAGAGTCTTGCTCCCCAACACCAGAGGTGAGACCACCTGGAGTGACCGTCTCTTGACTAAATAAAAAACCTCTTTCCAAGAAGATCTATCCTCCAAGAACCACCTGGATTCCCCAAGAGATTCTGGGGTCCCCAAACCTGACCTTGGAGCCTCTTTGATTTGCAAGATTGCTTATTTCCATTTTAAAGGAAGCATTTCTAATTAAGGTAAACCAAAACCCATGTGCTATTTTTGGATGCAACTTCCTTTTAGTTTTTGTAAGACAATTTGAGCTAATTATATGTAAAAATCATTCCTGGGAAAATTATATAATTGATGCAATTTACAAAACAGACTTTTGCTATTATTTGCACTGCTGCTTTGCTGTGAAATTAGTGAGGAGCATGAACGCTGGACCTGGGTCAGTGAATTCCAAGAGAAGGGGGCCTAGTTGTTCCAGATCTAGGGTGTGGCTCTCCAGGTGATGCACCAGGTTCTCACTGTAGAGATCCATCCTCTCCAGAGGGAGCCTAGGCCATGACAGCTGACACCAGCCAGGCCCTACTCACTGTCATTGCAGTGTCAGGAAGATTCACACACACAAGGCTTTCTAGAACTCTCAGCTCTGATGTGATTCACTAGTATCCAGGTATGAGGAAAGCCTCTTGGGGGGTGCTTTGGGGGAAAGTGAGGGAGTTCTTCAGTTTACGGAGGCCTCTGTCCTGGGTGTTATTTTATTTTTTATTTTTTTTTGAGACAGAGTCTTGCTCTGTTGCCCAGGCTGGAGTGCAGTGGCTCAATCTTGGATCACTGCAACTCTACCTCCTGAGTTCAAGTGATTCTTCTGCCTCAGCCTCCAGAATAGCTGGGATTACAGGCACCCACCACCAGGCCCCGCTAATTTTTGTGAGATGGGGTTTCACCATGTTGGCCAGGTTGGTCTCGAACTCCTGACCTCTAGTGATCCACTTGCCTCAGTCTCCCAAAGTGCTGAGATTACAGGCATGAGCCACCATGCCTGTAATTAAAACACCCTAGGTGGTGTTTTAATTAGTGATGTGGATCAGGGCTCTAGCATAGGTTAATCACACTGGTAGATGACATGATACTGGAAGGGATAGTAAACACGTTGGAAGACAGGATTAGGATCTGACCATCTCTTGACAGGCTGAAGCTATGTTAAAACCTACCAGGAGGAAATCTAACAGTTGCATCTAGAAAATCACCCACTAGGTATACAGTGGGGGAAGATGAGACTCAGCAGCAGTGTATCAGTCAGGGTCCAATCAGGAGACAGAAACCACACCAGGTATCTTAACAGGAAGAATTTTGTGTAAAGACCATTTGTCATCAGAAAGCTGAAAAGGCAAAACGTTTGCACATTGAGATATTATGAGAGAGCAACTGCAGGAAGCAGCCATTGAGGGCTGAGGGAACAAAGGGAAGAGGTTGGTATTATTAAAAGTTAGAAACTGGGAGGAAGAGCCTCAAGGAGCTGGGACTCAGACCTCTGAGGAGGAAATGCCAGCTGGCAAGTGCTGGTGTCTTTTGGGGGACGTGATGAGACTGGTTCTGCAAGGGTTGAAAAACTGAAAACTGAAGTCAGTTTCAGTTGCTGGAACTAAATGCTGCTGCCAGGGTAAAGTAGCACGTTGAGACAAAGCTACCTGGAACAGGAGCTAAACCATGAACAGAGAGGAAGCATGAAGGAGCATGCCTCTTCCTCTTTCAGCCTTCCAGTCTCCCTCTAGTGCCCCTGTTGGCTAAGCCTGACATGAAGCCTTCTGGCCAAGAAAAAATGTGGTTTACAGAGTCTCAGTTCTAGCATCAGAAAGCAGAGCTTGGAAGGGTAGGTTTGAAGCTGGTAGACAGTAGCTTAATAATTGACATAATATGAGTCAGTAATAATGTAATATAGCTATAGGATGTATCATTAGAAGTATAGAGCCTAGTTTGAGGGAGGTGATAGTTACTTTTTACCTTGAACTGGTCAGATGTCTTGTATTCAGGTGTATGTACTAGAATTTAAACAGGATCCAGGTTTCCTAGAGCTCACCTAGAGAAGATAACTTAACCTCGGGAGGAGATTCAGAACCACAGCAATATTAGCAACACATGATCAGAGGAACTAGAGTAGACAGAAGAAGCGAATGTTGTCTTCAAACTACTGAGGCTGCAGGTGAGAGACAGCGCTGACTTGGTCTGGATAGTTCCAGGTAATAACAATAGGGGGTGGCTCCAGAAAGGCAAGTTCCAGCTTGGGAAAAAGAAAACTTTGTTTTCCTTCAAAAAGAAAAATAAAACACTGCTTTCTTCTGATTGTAGAAGCAATGCCTGCTTATTGTAGAGAACTTGGAACATCCAGGTTACTGAGATGTCAGCTAAGGTGTAGAGAGAGAGACATTACCTTTCAGAGTTCCAGGTGAAATGAGCTAGACTGCTCCGTTCTGTAAGGGGAGGGTATTCAGTGTACTTGCCAGGAATTCTGTGCATTTCCTGGTGGTTTATGTTCTCCAAGCTTTCCCCTCTTCCTAGGGTCCCCCCTGCCAATATTACCCTGAGACAAAGCTTGGCCTGGCATCAGTTTTCCCCATGGTCCAGGCCTCAGGGATTCAGCTTCTAGCCCATGTGCTCATCAAAGCGTTTCTCCAACTTAGTTTCTTTCCTAAGAGGAATGTTGGCACCATGTCTTAAGATAATTACATTTTTTCCACCTTATTGCATAGAGAAAAGTTTAAAGAAGCAAATAAAAATCATTTGTAATTATACCTCCCAAAGATGACCACAGTTAACATTTTGGCCTTTTAAAAAATGCACAACTATATTCATTTTAAAGGTAATTGGGATCATAGTGAATATACAATTTTGTATCTTGCTTTTTTCCTCCCCACTTAACACATGAGCATTTTCTGATATTTTAAAAATATCTTTTTATCATGGTGGCTTAATATTCAGCTCTTTGTCTGTACCATAACTTGTTATGGGATATTTTGCTTATAACTGATTCTTTTTGTTTTTTTTTTGCTTTCATGACCAGTTTTCTCATTTGTATCTATGTACATAAATCTTTGTGCACATTTTTAAAAAATTTCTGCATATTTTTTCACATTTTATTGTGAAATTAACATTTTATTTTATTTTTTTTAAATTTCAGTAGGTTTGGGGGGAACTCGTGGTGTTTGGTTACATGAATAAGTTCTTTAGTGGTGATTTCTGAGATTTTGGTGCACCCATCACCTGAGCAGTGTACATTGTACCCAATGTGTAGTCTTTTATTGCTTACCTCCCCTGACCCTTTCCCCCAAGTCCCCAAAGTTTCATTCTTATGCCTTTTCATCCTCATAGCTTAGCTCCCACTTATGAGTGAGAACATGTGATGTTTGGGTTTCCATTCCTGAGTTACTTCACTTAGAATAATAGTCTACAATTCCATCCAGGTTGCTGCAAATGCCATTATTTCACGCCATTTTATGGCTGAGTAGCATTCCATGGTGTGTGTGTGTGTGTGTGTGTGTGTGTGTGTGTATACACACACACATATACACCACATCTCTTTTTTTCTTTTTTTTTATTATTATACTTTAAATTCTAGGGTACATGTGCACAATGTGCATGCTTGTTACATATGTATACATGTGCCATGTTGGTGTGCTGCACCCATTAACTTGTCATTTACATTAGGTATATCTCCTAGTGCTATCCCTCCCTGCTCCCACTACCCCACAACAGGCTCTGGTGTGTGATGTTCCTCTTCCTGTGTCCAGGTGTTCTCATTGTTCAATTCCCACCTATGAGTGAGAACATGCGTTTTTTGGTTTTCTGTCCTTGTGATAGTTTGCTGAGAATGATGGTTTCCAGCTTCATCCATGTCCCTACAAAGGACATGAATTCATCCTTTTTTATGGCTGCATAGTATTCCATGGTATACACCACATTTCTTTATCCACTCATGAATTGATGGGCATTTAGGCTGGTTCCATATTTTTAAAATTGCAAATTATGTGCAGATCTTTGATAATTTCTTGAGGATAGAATCTCAAAGAAGGATGGCTGGCTCAACTGACATATTCAAAATATCTTTTATTACAGGAAAGCTCTGGCTATACATAGGAGAGAATAGTATAATGGGCCCTCCTACCCCATCATGGATCACCCAGCTTCAACAATTACTAACATTCTGACAATCATGTTTTATCCATCTCCTCCCCAGTTTGTTGGAATATTTTAAAACAAGTCCCAGATGTTGTATCATTTCTCCTGCAAAAGTTGTTTTACTTCTCCATAGGTAAAATAACTTATTAAAAACATAACCAGAATGTTATTAACATACCTACACAAATGAACAATAATTCCTGAATATTATCTAATGTCAGGCCATGTTCAATTTTCTCCAATTATCTCAAAAAATGTCTCTTTAGAGCCAGCTTGTTTGGATCAGCATCCAAATGAAAGTCCACGTTTTTCATTTGGTTGATGCAACTTGCAAGTCTCTCTTAATCTATACCATTTCTCCCTCCTTTTGAAACCATGCTCTTTGTATATTAAAGAGTCTAGTAGAAAGAATTTTACAGTCCTTGATACATGTTAGAAAGCTGATTTCCAGGAGGGTTGTAACAATTTGCGCCTCTTCCAGCAATGTGAGGGAGTGCACATCTTGTCATCCCCAGCACTGAATATCATTGCAATTAAGAAAAAATCAATTTGATAGGTGAATGATGGCATCTTATTGCTGTTTTGACTTGCATTTCTGTGATTATATGCATGATTGAACATTTTTTTCACATGTATATTGGCTGTTTGTATTTCTTCTTTTGTGAATTATCTGCTTTGACCTTTGCCCCTTTTAAGAAGTGGTATTGATTATCATGCTCAAGTTTATAAGAGAGAAATTTTAAATTTTTATGTAGTCACATTCATTATCTTTTCTTTCGTGAGTTCTTCGAGTGTTTTAATGCTTAGAGAATCCTTTTTCTACTCTCAAATGTCATTCATATACATTTTCTTTTTCTAGTTTTTTTGCTACATTTTTACTGAGTTTCTAAATCTCTGTGGGATTCCGTATGGTTAAACCATTGGTTCTAGTATCACAGATTGAATAATTCTTCATTTATTCACTAGTTTGTGATATAGCTTTATTATGTGCTAATTACATATATGTATATTTACATATAAGATATATATACACACACACACACACATTGGTCTGTTCAAGAAGAACTTGTGCAGTCACTCATTTCCCAGGGGGCCTCCTTGAGCAGTAATGAGTGCACCATTGTGGGAGGTGTGCAAACAGGGACTAGTCAGACACCAGATCAGGCTGGGGTCTTCTGCCCTTGGCATTCTGGGGGTTTCTGGTTTCTCTGCCCTGGCAGGCCCCTGCACCTCCTGTCACCTTCTCCTGCCTCCAGGATGGACGTGCAGATTTCTGTTTCTGTCAGTGCTGATGGTAGGGATATGGAGCCTGGACTTCACCAGAAAGGCCTGGCCTGAGGGACCCAAGAGCCCTTTTGGCCAGGCTGCCTGCTCACACTGTGGACTCACGTGGTGACTGAGATCCAGGCTCAGCTCTAAGGAGAAGTGGAGATATCCTTTGCCCTCATACCATTTCCCCTAGTTTTTTTTTTTTTTTTTTTAATTGAGAGAATAAAGAGTCATGCTATGTCACCCAGGCTGCTGGAGTGCAGTAGCTTGATCATAGCTCAGTGCTGCCTCTGCCTCTACCTCCTAGGCTCAAGAAATCCTCTCACCTTGGCCTCCCAATTAACTGGGACTACAGCTACTCTACTCCTGGCCAATTAATTTTTTTTTTTTTTTTTTTTTGTAGAGATTGGGTCTTGCTTTATTGCTCAGGCTGGTCTCAAACTCCTGGCCTCAAGTGATTCTCCTGCCTCAGCTTCCCAAAGCTCCCGGGATTACAGGCATGAGCCACTGTGCCCTCAATTTATAACTTCAATTAATTCTTTTATTTGCTCCTCCCTCCCCCGGACCCACTGGACCATAAGCCCCAGGGACAGAAGCCTTGCATTCCTCCTTCCAGCACCTGGCCGCACCTAAGAGTTAAAGAATATATGAACGGCCCCTTGGTACTGGCGGGTGAGGGCTCTGGTGACCTCACAATCTGAATAAAAACCAGAGACTGTTGTCTGACCAGAACAAATGCTCTTTGGGGAACAAAGGGACAGAATACCTGAAATTAAGGGCCATCGCAGAAAATCCAGAACAGCTGGTGGCCACAGGAAAGGCCAAACCTCCTGAGTCTCAGGTCTGTGTGGAGCCATGAAAGTCACTCGTTTTGACTCTGAGCTGACATCTGACCTCTAGAGTCAATTATTCCTCCTCTCCATGAACATATTCCCGACAAAATGGGGTCAGGAGACATTTGCATCCAAACTACCAAGCTCTTTAAATGTTGGGGCCTGGAGGCCTGATGGGTTTATTAGATTATCATTGCGGAAGTTAATAAAGAATTAATTTCTCTTCATATGACATCCAAAGGCAGTTATTTCAGGAGCCTGTCCATTTACACAAAGCTGAGTATTTGTCAAGTGTCAGAGGCAATTCCCAGGTCCCAGCCCCCCCTCAATAATTCTGGATTAGGGACAGCCTGAAATGACATTACACAAATTTTCTTTCAAGATGCATGGAGCTCTGGGGACCACTCAGGAATTTCAGGTTCCTGAAGGTTATACTGTCAGCAAAAGGGCTGGGGGGTGGGGGTGGCTGGAGCAACTGCAGCTTCCCAGCTGGGCCAGCTCTGGACCGGGGCGGGGGAAGCTCAGGGAGGGAGGGGGAGGGAGCCACTGAAAGCCATTAGTCTGTGGGGGCCCATTTGCCTCCTGAAAACAACTCACTGCCATTTGTATCGCAAACCTCGTGACCAGCTTGATGGTTTTTTCTTGTTCTTTGCTCAGGCCCAGGGAGGGGCCATGGGATGACCAGAACTGCAGGACTGGCCCACGTTACCTTGTAGCAATATATTAGGGAAGGTCAAGGCACCATAAATACCTGTCTTAGAGTTAAGTGCTAGGAAGTGGAGCCACTGCAGGGACAGACACTACTAGACCCTAAAAGCAAGTCATTGAACAGCCAGGCATCCCCGAGAGCCAGGGAGAAGTCCCTGGGGCTGGGCTGGTGGGATGGGGGCCTTAGTCTGGTCCAAGGTGGGCTCCCTGGAATGGCATCAGGAGGGTGGTGTGGAGCAGCTCAGCCCTGTTGCCAGAGCTCCAGGCATGGGCATTTGGCCACCTCCTAGACATCACTCCATGAGTGTTCCGCAGTCCCCTCAGACTCTGCACATCCCAAGCTGAACTCTGCATCTCCCAATCATCTCCTCCATGTACCTGATGCTCCAGCCAGGTGGAGCTCCTTCTTCTTCCTCTAAGTGAATCAGGCCCCTACAGACTTTTGTGCTATTCTCTTTCGTAGAATGGCTCTACTTTCTTTCCACGTCTGTTCTTTTTTTTGAGACTGAGTCTCACTCTGTCACCTAGCTCTGTCACCCAGGCTGGAGTGCAGTGGCAAGATCTCGGTTCACTGCAACTTCCACCTCCCAGGTTCAAGTGATTCTCCTGCCTCAGCCTCCTGAGTAGCTGGGATTGCTGGTGCCTGCCACCAAACCCAGCTAATTTTTGTATTTTTAGTAGAGACGGGATTTCACCATGTTGCCCAGTCTGGTCTTGAACTCCTGACCTCAAGTGATCTGCCTGCCTCGGCCTCCCAAAGTGCTGGGATTACAGGCTCCATGTTTGTTCTTTAAGATCTAGCTCAGATGTTACTTCCTCTGTGAAGGCCTCTCTGACTATCCCAGGAAGAGTCAGAGTCTCTTGCCAGGGCCATAGTTATCTGGGTAGCTCCTTTGTGCAAATTAGGAAAGACCTCCTCCCCAAGCCTGGGTGGACACATCTTTTAGCAAATGAAAAATGCCTGTATGTACATCGGAAAAAGATGCTCCTTGTCTCAGAAACACAGTCCTCATAAGGGCTCACGGCTTGGCAAGTGGAGTGTGGGCCAAATTTCAGCCGCGTTCATCTCCTCAGCTGGCAAATTTTTGGCAGTGTGCTACCTGGATAATTATACGTGGCAGCCCTGTTGCTTTCCCTGAGATCCTACAGTTCCCTGTGCTTAATGGTGTGACTGTGAATACTAGTTTCCTATTGTTGCTGTAATAAATGACCACAGACTACAGTTCTGGAGTCACATATTTGAAGTGTGCCTCACTAGGCTAAAATCAAGGTGTTGGCAGGGATGCCTTCCTTCTGGAGGATCTAGGGGAAAATTTGTTTCCTTGTCTTTTCCTGCTTCTAGAGCCACTTGCATTCCTTGGCTCATGGCCCCTCCTCCATCTTCAAAGTCAGCAGTATAGCAGCTTCATCTCTCTGACTCGGACAACTGCTGATTCCATCACATCTCCTTCTCTGACTCTGATTCTCCTGTCTCCCTCTCACTTACAAGGACCTTGCGATTACATTGGGCCAACTCAGATAATCCAGGATAATCCCCCATCTCAAGTTCCTTAATTTAATCACGCCTGTAGAGTGCCTTTTGCTATAAAAAGTAATATATTCACAGGCTCTGGGCATGAGGACATGGACATCTTTGGGGGCCATTATCCTGCCTACCCTGCTGAGAGATCTCATTGTATCAAAATTGTTTCCTTCAGTAACTGTAAAATCCCTGCAAGCAGGATCACTGTTCTATGCAGTGCCGTCTTCACGGCCCAGCACATAGGCACAAGTCTGGCATAGAAAAAGGGTTCAGAGAATGTTTGTTGATTGAATGCATGAGGGCATGGGCACATAGGACCTCCTCTGGGAAACAGAGGCAGTAGGAGACACTTGCCTACAGCTTTCATGGTTTACACCAGTGGTTCTCAATTGGAGGCAATTTTGCTCCCTAGGGGTCAGACACTTGGTAATGACTGGAGACATTTTTTGTTCCAAGGGGGGCTGCTTAACACCCTACAATGCATGTGGGCATTGCCGGGCGCGGTGGCTCACGCCTGTAATCCCAGCAACTTTGGGAGGCCGAGGCGGGCGGATCACGAGGTCAGGATCGAGACCATCCTGGCTAACATGGTGAAACTCCGTCTCCACTAAAAAATACAACAAAAAAAAAAATATTAGCCGGGCATGGTGGCGGGCACCTGTAGTCCCAGCTACTCGGGTGGCTGAGGCAGGAGAATGGCGTGAACCTGGGAGGCGGAGCTTGCAGTGAGCTGAGATCGTGCCACTGCACTCCAGCCTGGGGGACAGAGCGAGACTCCGTCTCAAAAACAAACAAACAAACAACAACAACAACAACAACAAAAATAAAACAAAAAAGATTACAATGCATGTGGGCATTAAAGACTCATGCAGCACAAAATGTCTACAATGCAAAGGTTGGGAAATGCTGCTGATTTGGACCAGGACCGTGTTGCTGGAAAACCCAGGAGGCAGCTGTGTGCTGGGACTGGCAATAATATTTCAATGTGTCACATTCCTTATACCCCAGCAGGTTGAGTTTGTCCAGCTCCAATCTTCAGATGGGAAAACAGACTTCTGGAGGTACATCCACTTGCCCAGGTGTTACAGCTGGTTCTTGATGGGGTCAGATTTTGAAATTGGTTCTCCCTGCCCCGTACAGTGGGCAGACAGAAGGACATGAGGAAAGGTGGGGCCTCCCTCCAAGCATGCTGGGCAGGCCTGGCTTTCTTCCCCTCTCTCTGGTCACTCCTCTGCTTTCCTGATCATATTGCCCTTCCTGAACCCATCTTCTCTGCACTACAGTTGTCCCCAGATTCTGTACAATTTCACCCCTCTTTTTGCTCTCCCTCAGTGACCTC
The DNA here is from genome assembly GCF_000001405.40 of Homo sapiens. Lineage (NCBI taxonomy): Eukaryota > Metazoa > Chordata > Mammalia > Primates > Hominidae > Homo > Homo sapiens. Next base: position 40,872,385 of record NC_000020.11, on the reverse strand, counting down.
AGTTGCCTTCTTTGTGGGACAGCTCTTGAACCTTGGTTTCGCCCAAACTTCTCTCCTGATCTCTGGCCCCACGTTTTGTACTTTCTTGTGGAGCTACCTGCTCTCCGCATCAGCACAGCCCAAGTCTGATCATGCCACAACCTCTCAAAAACCTTCATGGCACCCTGTAACCACCACCTAAGTCCAGCATTCAAGGCCATGCACAGTTGAGTCTTGCTCTGGCCAAACCAAATACTCACTCCAAACCCACTTAGCATTTCCTCCCTCTCTTGTCTTTGCTCAAGCTGTTCCCTCCATCCTGAACACAATCTCTCTCATTCCATGTCTTTGTTTTCCTGGTACTGTCAGGAGTTCCGTGGACTTGCATCAAGCCCGTGGCTCAATTTGTGGTTTTGGTAGAAAGAAGTAGGAGGTTGACTAAATAATTAATTATTTTGTTTATTTACCTAGCTCACGTTTACAAAACACCATGATGTGACAGGCACAGGGTGGATTTGGGGCATATGGAGGTGGATGAGAAAGTTGTCTCAGTTCTTGTAAAGCTTACAGTCTCTAGGGGAGACAGATACAGAACAGCTAATTCTGTAATCCATTGTTTAGTTTCATTTGAGGTGGGGATGTTGAGGAGTTGTTTGGGCTTGGAGGAGTCAGGTCAGCAAAGCTTCCATGAGGAGGTGACATTTGGGTCCAAGACCTACTGGTCATTATCTGAATGTGTATTCTGTGCTGGAGTCCCAGGGCTGAACTGAGATGCCGCTGGAGCTGCAAGAGCCTGGAAGGCTGAAGGATGAGCTGCTGCTGAGAGGATGGCTCATCCAGGGTGAGTGTCAATCAGGGAGACCTCTGCCAGGCCCGTGGGCTCTGCAGAAAGATTACCTCCAGCGGTGGTTCCTGGGCAGGTTGCTCAGATGCCATGAATCTGGCTTCTAGGAAAGACCTCAGGCTGGGTAGGGGTTGGGGCCAGATAACCAAGGGGCCAGATAGCCAGGAGAGGAGGAGCTGTGGGTGGGGGTCAGCTGCACTGCAGAACAGCCCAGGGAAGCTGAGGATGCTTACACTATTGTGATGCCAGCCCCAGCTCGACTTCTTACCTGGAGTGTGACCTGGTTCTGCACTTTTGTAGCTGCTCACACCTCTGCTTCAGAGCTCCTAGCACAATTTGTAATTGTACAGTTGCTTTTGTAATTGATTGTCCCTGTCTCCCCTGCCACCTGTGAACCCACAGAGCAGACACCAGCTTACCACTGTACCCCTAGTACCTTGCACTGGGCCTGATGGGTGCTCAATACACATTTGCCAAATGAATGAGGATCCCCGAGGCTTGCCTCTCACATGGCCCAAAGGGGGAAGAGTTAATGGGGCTCTTTGGGGCTGTATGTACCCCCAAATTCATATGTTGAAGCCCTAACCACGGTACCCCAGAATGAGACCATATTTGGAAATAAGGTCTTTACAGATGTAGTTAGTTAAGATGAGGTTATACAGAAGTAGGTTGGGCCCCTAATCCAGTATTACTGGTGTGTTTATGAAAAAGGAGAAATCTGGGCTGGGTGCAGTGGCTCACACCTATAATTCCAGTACTTTGGGAGGCGGAGGTGGGCAGATCACTTGAGCCCAAGAGTTGGAGACCAGCCTGGGAAACATGACAAAATTCAGTTTCTACAAAAAATAAAAACAAAACAAACCAAAAAACAAAAAAACCCCCAAAATTAGCTAGGCATGGTGGCATGCACCTGTAGTCCCAGCTACCTAGGAGGCTGAGGCAGGAGGATTGTTTGAGCCTGGGAGGCAGAGATTGCAATGAACTGAGATTGTGCCACTGCACTCTAGCCTGGGTGACAGAGCAAGACCTTGTTGCACACATGCACATACACACACACACCACACATGGAGAAATCTGAACACAGGTGCATACACACACATGCAGAACGCCAGGTGAAGATTGGAGTTATGCTGTCACAGGCCAGGGAACTATCAGAAGCTGGGAGAGAGGCCTGGAGCAGAACCTTCCCTAGCTCCTTCAGAGGGAACATGGTTCTGCTGGCACCTTGATCTGGGACTTCTAGCATCCAGAGCTGGGAGAGAATAAATATCTGTTAAGCCACTTAGTTTGTGGTACATCAATACAGCATCCGTAGCAAACTACTACCATGCCACTCTGAGAATCCCATGTCCAGAGCTGCAGTTCTGCTTGGCTCAGGGTGACTTGGGCTGTGTGTGTGGGTTCACAGGTTGATGCAGGCTGAGCTTTAGTCCTGGGGAAGTTGAGAGGTCTCATTCTTTTGGTCAAGCTTCTACCAGGCCCAGTGGCCCAGGCAGGGCAGGATAGAGTGGGGCTCTCTTAGGCTCCCATTTCCAGTGTCTGGATTTGCAAATCAAAGGGCCTATTCCAGGCAGGTCCCCGCACCACAGGAGAGTGACAGTATCATTCTCCAGGCCCCTGTAGGCCTTGCTTAGATGGATTTCAAGGATCGGCTTGGGGAGTTGGCCGGAAGGGAAACTGTTAGCAGGCAGGAGCCGGATGCATCTGAAAGGAGCCTGCCCTGGGCCCTTCCTTCCCTACAAGCTGGCTGTGAGTCCTTACAGACAGACATCCTAGACCAGGTTAACCTTTAACCAGGCAGCTCCGGTTCTCAGCTCTTGGGCCTAGGGCTCCTGCCGGCCTGTGAGCAGGCCTGCTTTTCTGCTCCTGTCTCTGGCGAACCAGAGTCCCTGATGAATTGCCCACACACCCCCACCCTGAGCCCTGCCACCATGTTGAGTGCTGGTGTCCCAGCAAAGATGAATGGGCCCCACTAATGAGCTGGAGGTGGTGGTGCTGTGACCCCTGACCCCACACACTCGTAGCCAGAGGCTTGGGGAATGGCTGCCCCAAGCCTACTTAATGTGTCGGGCTGGCCTCTGAAAGAAAAGCACATTTATTGCTACTTAGAGAAAATTGATCTAATTGGGATGGAAGCATTCTGCTGATGGAACATGGAATTTTTATTAGGAGGGTGACTCGAGTTCAGCCAATGTATCCCAGCTGGAAGGAGGCAAGAGAATGTTTCTAGGGATTTTACCCAAAAAAACCTCTTTCCAGCTGATACCAAATATCTGAGGAGGTCTGGGTTTGAATTCTGGCTGCGCCGCCTACAGAGCCTACATTCTAGAAGCATTTGGCAGCTTCTATCAGGCCTGATAAATGAGAAGAAATTATGGCATTCTCGCTGATTTGTTGTGAGAAGAAAGTGAGATTATGCATGCATCAGGGCTATGGCACTGCCCCTAGCAAGAGACTGGGTCCAGTGGGAACTTCTCGAGCCAAGGCTACACATGGTTTCAGTCCGTTTGGCCAAACATCCTGCAATTCAATAACAAACCAGCCAATTCCTTGTTGGCTGCAATTGAGGTGACTCATTTGAGAGCTATTTTTAGACAGAGCTCTGGGCTCTGAAATGTGGGGGCCATACCCCCTTGATAGCCTCAGAATCACCCCTGGCTGCTGCTTCTCTGTCTCTTACCGCAGCCAAGTTTGTTTAATATCTCCTAAGTTTTCCTAAACTTACTGTGACCCCATCTTCCACTGCTCCAGCCTTCATATAGGCGGTCATGATCACTGACCACTCTGGCTGAGGGACTGTGTTTATCTCCTCCCTGGCTTCTCATCTTGTTTTCCCCTGGTCAAGCCTCCACACCCATTCTCCAAACCAGTCCACCCTCCATACCAGTTCCTCCCGCACACTGGTGCATTTTCTGCAAATGGATCTTTCTAAAACACAATTGGAATGAGATCACTCCTAAGCTTAAAACCCTTCCATGGCTCCCCACAGCCTCCAGGGTGAAGTCCAAATGCCTTAGCCTGCAATTTGGGTTCCTCAACAGGATAACTATATCATTTACCATTGGTTAAACTAGGATAGTTTTATCCAGGACAAATGGTAAATTGCATGGAATGCACAGTCAACAGGATAAACCAGGACTGTTCTAGGCAAGCTGGGATGTATGGTCACTCTATCTGAAGGCCAGATGGGCTGGAGGGACCAGTTTCAAGACGGTGCACTCATGTGGGTGTCAAGATGGTACTGCTATTGGCAAGAGGCCTCAGTTTCTCTCCATGCAGGCTCCTTCATAGGACTGCTTGAGTGTCCTCAGAGCAGGGCAGCTAGCTGGCTTCCCCCAAAATGAGTGGCCTAAGAGAGGGCAACGAGGAAGCCGCAGTGTCTCTTATGCTCTGCATGGTACATCCTGGTGCTTCTCATATCTCACCTGGCTCAAGGGCTGGCCCTTGTTCTGCCCCTTCCTCTTGGAAGCCACTTATCACATATTATTTAATATCATTTCTTCTGTATTCTGTTTGTTAGAAGCAAGTCACTAAGTTCAGCTGATTCTTAAGGGGAGGGTTCATTTTTTTAGAGGGAGTGTCATAGCATTTGTAGACACAATTTAAAACCACCACACCTTATTTAATAAGAGAGTTTCTTAGAGGATAGTCCCCAGGACACCTGTGTCTGAATCACCTGGGACATGTGAAAAAAAAATGTATGTTCCCATGTCTCATCTCAGCTGATTGAACCAAAACCTAAGGGTGGAGGGGGTATGAGGGGAGGTGAATGGGGCCAAGAATCTGTGTCCTGCACAAATTCTACTATGAGGTGGGAACTACTGCCTTCAGAGAATGGTGGTTAGAAACATGAAGTCCAGTTCTCTGGGTCAGAACCCTGGCTCAGTCACTGATGAGATGTTGTGACTTTATCTAAGTTACTTAAGCTCCATGTGTCTTAGTTACATCATCTGGAGAATGGGGATAGTAATAATACCTTCACCACTGTTCTAAGGTCTGAGATCTAAACTGGTTAAATTTGTAAATTTATAAAGTGCCTAGAACATTGCCTAGCAACTGGACAGTGATATAAACGTTTGTTAAATTAAAAAAATAACAAAAACAAACACTTGAAATGAGCTCATTTGAATCATCTGTTTACCTTTATATTTTCCATACTAGGTAGAAGCTTTTTTTGGAGGACATCTCTGTTCACCCAGTGCCTAGCCTTCAACCAGTGTTCCATATGTGTTTATGGATCAACTGTTGGTGGTTCTCAACTATGGCTGTCTTTTAGAATCACCTGGGGTACTTAGAAAATATAAAAGCCCATCCCCACAACAGGCCAACAGATTAGTGGCCTCTGGGCATGGGGTCTCCAGAAGATTCTCAGGTGTAATCAAGGTTAAGAATGATGAGAATGAGTGAGTGAAACAGGGGCTCCACTGCTGAACTCAAAATACAGCTTTCGCTCAGATAAGACTCTTCTAGAACAGTGTGATTGAGTATAGCACCACTGGGCAGAATGATGGACATTAAGGATTTTCCCAAACCCAAACTGGGACCCGCTAACTGACAAAGGATTTTTGCCCATATTCCCCGTGTTAACTGGAAGCTGCCACTTGAGTGTCAGAACAGTGGAATTTCTGGGACGTTTTATGATGGTAATGGAAGTGTTTATTTCAAGAAGACCCCATGGGTGGGTTGGTGGGAGTGGTTCTGGAACCTGTGTTTGGAAGACCTGGGATGCAGTCCCTGTTCTGACACTGTGGGGACCCCCACTGTGACTGGGGGTATCACACTGATCCCAGGGGGTTGCTGAAGGAGTCATGATGGTAATGCCCCTGGCATTACTTTGCAAATTGCAAAGGGAGCCAAAAGGCAGAGTTATATTATTATTAGTGAACATGAAACTATAGGTTGAGTATCATTTATCTGACTTGGGAGCAGCAGTGTTTCAGATTTGGATTTGTTTTTTTTGATTTTGGAATATTAGCAGTATACTTACCAGTTCAGCACCCCTAACCTAACATCTGAAATCCAAAATGCTCCCAAGAGCGTTTTCTTTGAGTGTGGTGTTGGCGTTCAAAAAGTTTCTGATTTTGGAGCATTTCAGATTTCAGATGTTTGGATTAGGGATCTTCAACCTGTCATTGGTAATCAGCAGTTAGGATGTGCTGGGCTCTGGGCAGCACCAGCTCCTGCCTCTTAGCATATAGAGAGTGTGGAGGTGGCAGGCTGTTTGCTGGACTGCTGCTTGGGTCTCTTCCTGGAGAGCCTGCATCTGGCCTTTCCCAGAGGGTCCCTGGGGCTCTGTGCATGTGCACAGTTGCTGCTGTTTCTTCTGCCAGCAGCAGAGTCCACATTTTTAGATGAGCTCTCTGGCTGGTGGGTGGAGAGTGAATTGGAGGCAGCTGGAGTGGAAGAAGGAAGGAGGCCTGGCTCAGGGTGGAAGCCGTGGAATAGAAGCAACCAGATTCAAGGTGAGTGGTAGAACAAGAGCAGAGAAGACCTGCAGATGTGAGGGCTAAGGGAAAATGAGAGAGAGGAATTGAGGAAGATTCCTTGGTGTTTGGTTTGAGCAACTGGGTGGATAGGGTGGTGCCATTTACTGAGATAGGAAACAGAAGATCAAGAGTTTTGTGTTGGCCATGTTAAGTTTGAAATGCTTTTTGGAAGTCCACATAAAGATGGAATTCTGGTGTTCAGGGGAGAGGCTGGAACCAGAGATGGAAAACAAAAACAAAAACAAAAACAAAGAAGTTGTCAGTATACTGATGATATTTCAACTTTGAGAATGGATGAGATAATTTATGGAGGGAGAGTGAGAGCAAGCTGAAGGTGAAGCCCTGGGTGCTCCAACACTTGGAAGTTGCATCGTAGAACAAAGAGCACTGGCAAAGGTGGAGAAGGAGCAGCCAGAGAAACAGGAGGAGAACCAGGCCTGTGTGATGCCACACAAAGCAAGAAAAGAAGAGGCTGCAAGGCCAAGCGGCAAGCTGGGCCGAGTGCTGCTGAGAGGGCAGGGGAGAGAGCCAGAGTGTCCCATGGGGGAGACAGATGAGACAGGTAGGGAAAGAGCAACCATGAGCCTTAAAGTCTGTACACATTCAATGTGCCCTGTCTGGAGGGCTGGGAAAGTTTCCTAGAACAGGCAGGATGGGGATGGGTGGAGCAAGATAAGGAGCAGATTGTGCGGACAAAGGACTCCTCTGACTCCGGGCCTCTGGGCCTCACCCAGGGGGTTCTTAGCAATGGGCCTGCTCTGCAGGCCCCTTGGGGAGCTGACCCAATCCAGCTGGAGCTGCAGCTGGAGGACGAAGGGGAAATTCCTAATTTTTAGAAACCAACTTGATTCCATTTCATATCTCAGTGGTTTGTCATGAATTTTATGGGCAACCTTCAGGGCCTCTGTATCAAAAAGTGCCTCATTAGTGATACATTTGGAATAAATCCACTTTTAGCTGTCAGGAGTCTCAGCCAGCTCAGCCTCATGGTTTGTGGCTCTAAGGGAGCGCCTGAGGCCTTGTACGTGGGGGCTCCAGCCATCTGGGTGGGTGAGATCCCAGGCTCTGAAGGAGCCCTCGTTGGGGATCCTGGGTCCCCAAGAAACTAAAGTCAATTTTCTTAGGCATCCTCATCTCTGTTCTGTAGTGCTGTGTTATGGCTATAAAGGGTGTGGAGAACTGACTTCTTTTGGTCTGCAATTGGCCACTTTTCTTGGGTAGGGTCCCCTTTATTGTCAGTTACTGACTTAACATATGGCCAGAAGACAGAGTTAGTCCCTGCTTTTGATTCCCAGATATGAAGCATTCCTCCCTTTTTCTATTCTTCCTTCCATCTGTCCATATCCATCCATCCATCCATCCATCCATCCACCCATCTTTATACCCATCCCTATACCCATCCCTCCTGCCTTCCCTCCCTCCATCCCTTCCTTCAGCCAACAGATATTTGACCTCCTCCCTTGCTATTCTCCCCTTTTCTCATTGTGTTCCACCTTCCTTGACCTCTTTTCCTCTTTTCTGTTCTTTGAAGTGCTACGCATATTCCCATAGCTGGAGAGCTTTTGCAGTGACTGTGCCTTTTGCCTGAATGTTCTTCCTCAAGAATCTCACATGGCCAACTCCCTCATCTCCTTCAAAATCTACTTAAGTGCCACCTGTCAGCAAGGCCTTCTAGACCACTTTGTTTAATTTTGCAGGTTGTTCTCTTCCACCCCAATGCCCCATCTCCCTTATCCCACCCTACTTTTCCTCTCCCTGTCCATGGAACTTCATCATCTTCTAATAGCCTATAAGCTTACTTACTTATTATGTTCCTTGTTGAATATGGTATGTAAGTGCCAGGATAGGACTCTTTATTTTGTTCACCTAGAGCAGTGCTAGCACATGATAGACATTCATTAAATCTCTGTTAATAAGTGAACACTTATTTAGCACCTACTATATGTCACAGGCGCAGGGCTAGGCACTAGGAATACAGCAGAGAACAGGACAGGCAAGGCCTCTCCCCTCTTAGGGCTCCCAGTCTAGTGAGTAGGATGGATAATAAACATAACACAGCAATAATGATCATTGTAGATTGTTATTACAGGGGTGAAGGAGGGAAGAGAGGAACATGTGTGATGGGGAAGATGAGGGAGACTGGCCTTAGTGAGCAGCTGTATTAGTTCCTAGGGCTGCTCTAACCAAGTAACACAAACTGCGTGAGTTAAAACAACAGAAATTGATTCCCTCACTGTTCTGTAGGCGGAAAGTCTGAAATCAAGGAGTCAGCATGCTCCCTCTGAAGGCTCTAGGGGAGACTCCTTGCCTCCTCCAGCTTCTGGTGGCCCCAGGCCTTCCTTGGCTTGTGGCAGGATCACTTGGCTCTCCGTCACCATCTTCACAGGGTGTTCTCACTGTGTCTCTGCACCCAGATTTCCCTCCCCTAGTAGGGACACCAGTCATTGGATGAGAGTTCACTCTAACCCCATATGACCTCATTTTAACTTGATTACATGTTCAAAGACTATTTCCAAATAAGGTCACATTCATGGGTTCAGGGGGTGGGGGGAATGAGGACTTGAACAAACCTTCTCAGGGGACATAATTCAACCCACAACAGGGGTCAGGGAAACACTCTTTGAGGTGACAGTTAAGCTGATAATGAAACTTGATAGTGAGCCAGCCATAGGGAAAGGGGTTAAGAGGGAGGAAGACTGCTCCAGGCAGGAGTCCCTGCAAGATCAAATCCCTGCCAAAGGAAGAGCGAGGCTGTGCTCTCCATCCTAGTAGTGGCCCCTGCAGGCCTCAGCTTCTCAACCCAGAGCCTGTCCTGACCAGGGCAGGGGTGAGGAGTGGATGGGTCTATATAGACCCCTAGCCTGGCAGCGGGGATGGGCTAAATAGATCATGATGGCTCCAAAATGCAACATTGACCTTGTCCTTTCATGGCTACCCATTGTCCTCAGGACAAAATCCAAGATGGGCTTCTTTTCTTCTTCCCCAGGCTGCAGAGGAGGGAAGAAGGTATGTAATGAACTCTGAGGCATACCTAGCTGAGTAGCCTTGGATAAGTCATAATCTCTTTGGAACTCAGTTTTCTTATCTGTAAAATGGAAGGAAACCATAGCCCTGCACATGGCTGTTGTGAGGATTACAGATCATGGAGGTAAAATGCTGAGCTTCCTACCCTCCCCTGATCACTAGGTCTTCCTTCCCTCTCCCATCAGATGCTGGACCCCCTCAGCCACCCTGTCCTTAATGTACAGTGAAGTCCAAAGCACAAGGCCTGATGCCCGGGAGCATACCTTTGGTCAACATTCCGGGAATGGAAAATTCACCTCCCTGCACCCACCCTCAGGCCTTGATGCTTATAAAATGCCCTATCCTCTCACCCGAGATCACACTGTTCCAGCCACCAGCACCCATGTGCAACACAGATGGGTGGAGGTCACCCAGAAAAGAAAGACAGGAAGAAGGAAAGCTGGAAAATTCACATGAATATGATTGACAGGATCCCTTTCAGTATTTGGACCACGATGGTCAATGTACTCATTTGTACAGGAGCTTGATGTTTCCACTAAGGGATGAGCTGAGATGAAAACACGACTTTATCTTCATGTGGCATCACTTGGGCTGGTTTGCATGGCCAGGGGTGATGGTAGAGCGTGCTGATCACACTGCACTGTGGCTAGTGTCTCATAACAGTGCCCCAGTCATCTTGGGAGCACATGGGGTCCAAGAGCCAGATTTGAGTCCTTGCTGTGTCCCCAGCCCCAGCACGGGGCCTGACCCTGAGCAGGTAGATGCTCAATGAGAGAATAAGTACATGCCTGAGATGTACCCTCCCCTGAGATGTACCCTCCTATGTTCTCTAGTAAGTCCCCAACCCGACCAAGCCATTGTCTTCATTTAGGTTCCTGCAGGAGCAGCCCCTGAGACAAGGATTTGAGTGCAGAAGTTTATTTGGGAGGTGACCCCAGGATGCATGTATAGGAGAGAGGGGAAATGAGAGCCGAGAGGAAAAGGAACGAAGATAGGGTGTGTTAATGGGCAGTGGCCGCTGTGGGGCTCTACCAGGGACCTCAGGGATCAGCATAGAACACATCCCTGAGTTATCCCACACGAAAGGCATGGGACGCTGGGGTTTTCATACACCATCTCGTTGTATATCACTGGTCGACAGCAGGTATGCTCTGGTCTCTCTGGCCATTCTGGCTCATGCCTGCTGGCTGAGCAGGCTTCCGCAGCCAGAAGCAGCCTCTGGCAGACGTGCATGTGGTGAGTGAGAACTGGCAGGTGGGTGGGGGAGTCAGAAATGTGTGCAGAGGAGAGGAGGAGATGCAGGCAGGGTGCTCTGAGGCTCCTAAGCTCTGGTGACCAACAAATCGCAACTCTTCAGATGAGATGCGCTGCTTCCCCTGACATTCCGCAGGCCCCCCAGCCCAGGGTGACTGATGGAGGAGCCCTTCCCAGGGTTCACGTGGGACTCAGCTGCACGTCCCTGGGGTGGGGGTCTCATTACATTCCCATCCCAGGCTGTGTCTGGCTTTGTGCCCTAGAGAGAGGGGCAGTGGGTGGGAGGAGGGAAGGCATGAGGGGGCCAGGCTGGTGGACTTTGGCTCTCCCCCAGACTGGAGCTGACTTGAGTGCTGAAGTGGGGATGAAAAACGAGCAGCATCGCATGCATTAAATATTTAATATTCTCTCCCTGGGGGGTCTCAGGGAAAGGACCCTATAATAAATACCACACGGGACAATTCTATCACAGAGCTCGTCAGTTAATAGCCTCGTTTGCTCTGACAGAAGCATTACAGGTGCTGGGTCTGGGGCACCTTTTGGCAGTGTGCCTCTGCTGGACCTTGGACCCAAGAGGACAGGGGGCAGCCTGGAGAGGAGGGACCTCCAGTTTGCCAGTTTTAACCCTCCTATGTACAGAATGAGTGAAATCATGGTTGTACAGAAGAAAGATTCATCTAACAAACTCACAACTTGGTACCTAGCAGGCCCTGTTGGAAGTGTTCTGTGAATATCAATTATAGATCCTGACCGTTGCTATATTACAAAGATTATTTCCATTAGGTAGGGCAACTGAGAAGCTGTCGAAGAACTCATCCAAGGTCACATCTCTGGGAAATGGATAAAGGCAGGACTTGAACACAGGCAGGCTGGCTCCAAAGTCTGGGCTCTTAACCACTATGCCTGGCTGCTGGGGCTCTGCAGCTGTGGGTTGTGATTCCAGCTCCAGCTGTGCGACGGGGCAATGTGGTTCGACCGGTCTGAGTTTCAACTGCTGTGTGTACAAAACTGGACAAAACTAGTCCTGCCTCATGGAAGTTGTGAAGATGGTAGGAGGAATCTCATGGAAAGCTTTAGTCACCGCATTCTGAGGTTAGCTCTTGGCATTACTTGAAAGCTGTTTAGGCTCTGTGTCCTCTTGGCAAGCTACTTGACCTCTCCAAGTATCAGCTTCCTTATCTATAAATAGATTTAAAAGTCCTATCTCGCAGGGATTCTGGGGATGCTCTTTGGCCTCCGAGCCTTGGGCTGAGCAGCCAATGTTCTGCTTGGTCTTGGGGAAGTCCCAGCTCGCTGTAGTGGGCCAGCCCTGAGTGAAGGGTCCTAGTGTGACTTGGGGGCCCAGGCCTGAGTTAGGAAGTCTTAGCATGCCCCAGTGTGACAATCCTGAGTCAGGGAGCTCAATATGTCTCTGGGGGGTCAGTCCTGAGCCACAGGGTCCCATATGGCTAAGTGGGCCATCCTGTGACAGGAAACCCATGCCCCCCGCACCCCGCAGATTCTCAGCCCTGTGCCCCTTTGCTGGTATTAAATTGCCTTGTGCTACCTGATGGGAAGTTTGCATCCCTTGAATGATAACTGAACTGATGTGGTCATGGAAGGCCACAGCCTGACTTGGACTACTT